>NC_000002.12:200216890-200519921 GCF_000001405.40 Homo sapiens | reverse complement strand
AGATTATAATGGAGCTAAAACATTCCTGTTGCCTAGTGACATCATAGTCATTGTAACATCATAGCACAATTCCTTTATTTTTTAAATAAATTAAGGTAGCCTAAGTGTATAGTGTTTATAAAGCCTACCCTAATATACAGTAATGTCCTGGGCCTTCACATTCATTCACCACTCACTCACTGACTCACCCAGAGCAACTTCCAGTCCTCCAAGCCCCATTCATGGTAAGCGCCCTATGCAGGTGTACCATTTTTCAAAGTCATTTATATCATATTTTTACTATACCTTTTCTATGTTTAGATATGTTTAGATATACGAATACCATTGTGTTACCACTGCCTCTAGTATTCAGTACAGTATCACACTGTACAGGTTTGTAGCCTAGGGGTAATAGCCCATACAATATTGCCTAGGTGTATAGTAGGCTATGCCATCTAGATTTGTGTAAGTGCACTCTATGATGTTCACACAACAATCAAATTGCATAAAGATGAATTTCTCAGAACATATTCCCATCCTTAAGTGATGCATGGCTGTGTATCTGTAAGATCTATATTATTGCTTATACGACTTAGGTCTACATTAATTCCTCTTTTTTGGCTACTGAGTCTGTTTTGTACTGAAGGTAGTGTCTTGAAGTCTTTTTGTTAGTGTGTTTCTATCAGTGTTTCTTTGCATGTCCTGTAGTTTTTCCTTATAAAGGTTGCTGCTGAGTTATTTGGTGAACAGAATTCGTAACTGTAGTATATCCATTGTGAACTGTGGCATGAAAACATGCCCTCCTTTGTCTCATTTAATGCATTTTGGTTTAAACTTTATCTTGACATTAGTATCACAACCCCTCCTTTGTTGTTGTTTCCATTTGTCTAGTGTACTTTTGCCCATCCCTTTTTAGACTTTCTGAATCATTTTGAATCAGTCATGTCTCTTATTTTCAGCATCTTGCTTTGTGAACAAAATTGAAAATCTCTTTTGCCTTTTTTTTTTGAAACAGAGTCTCTCTCTCTGTCACCCAGGCTGGAGTGCAGTGGCATGATCTCGGCTTACTGCAACCCCTGCCTCCTGGGTTCAAGTGATTCTCCTGCCTCAACCTCCTGAGTAGATGGGATTATAGGCACCCACCACCATATCTGGCTACTTTTTGTATTTTTAGTAGAGACGGAGTTCACCATGTTGACCAGGCTGGTCTCGAACTCCTGACCTCAGGTGATCTGCCTGCCTCGGCCTCTCAAAGCGCTAGGATTATGGGAATGAGCATGTCCAGTGGAAATCTTTTGCTTTTAATAGATAAGTTAAACTCATTCATACTCATTAATATGACAGTTCAACTTATTTTGTTATACATATTTTATACTATAATAATCTTAAAACTGTGTTTTATTTGCTGTGTTTCTTTCTTTGCATGACACTTTTTTTTGCTATTTTAATTTTAAAAAATTTTTTTGTATTTAAGAAAGCTCACAGTTTTATTCTACTGGTTATCTTTGTACTATACCTTTTTCAAGAAACTTCATTCCCTCTTTTTTATTTAACCTTCGATTATCTGACTTTTTAATTTTAATATTGTCCCTTAACCCCTATCCATTGCCTATATCACAATTGGTAGGCTTATTCTATTTTCCTTTTTCTTGTTCCCTTTTCCCATTTTCAGTTGTGTTATTTCTACTTTGTCAGAATGTACTACATACAACATATGCTTTAGTCCGTTCTCATGCTGCCAATAAAGACATACCTGAGACTGGGTAATTTATAAAGTAAATGAGGTTTAATGGACTCACAGCTCCACATGGCCAAGGAGGCCTCACAATTATGGCAGAAGGTGAAGGTGGAGCAAAGGCATGTCTTACATGGTGGAAGGCAAGAGAGCATGTGTAGGGGAGCTGCCCTTTATAAAACCATCAGATCTCGTGAGACTTATTCACTATCACAAGAACAACACAGAAAAAACCCACCCCCATGATTCAATTACCTCCCAACAGGTCCCTCCCATGACACATGGGGATTATGGGAGCTACAATTCAAGATGAGATTTGGGTGGGGACACAGCCAAACCATATCAACATATAACAATATTTTGTTAGCTTTGTCCCCACCTTTGTTTAGTCTTAGGTCTACAATTAAATATAGTAAATGATCACCATCTGTCCTTTTGAGAAAGTTTCGCTACTTGGTTGAGCAGAAATCATCTTTTCAAAGATTCTTCAAGAAGGGTTCATGTATTAAAAATTCCCTAAATTTTTTCATGTTTAAAACTCATCTTTTCTTGGCTTGATATTTAATACTTGAAGAATGGGTTGCCTGGAAGTCCTTGATTCACACTTTTTTCCTTGAGCTTTTTTTTTAAACTGCTGTTCCATTGTTGCCTTGTTAATATATTGTTTTTGAGCAGTCCTGTGCCAGTCTAATTCTCTCGTCCTTGTAATTTCTTGATCTTTTTTCCCTTGGAGATCTCGGGGATTTTTTCTTTATCTTTGAAATCTAATAATTTTACTTGCGTATGGTTTAGAGTTGACAATTCTGGATTAATTTTCCCACATAATTGATGAGTCCTTTTGGTATATAGATTTATATATTCTTTTATATCCTGAAACATGCTTGGATTATGGTCCCAAATATTAGTTCTGTTCCTTTGTTGTTTGTGTATATCCCTTAAGGACTGCAATAATTTGTATGTTGTTTCTTCTTTGCCTGTCTTCCATTTCAACTATTTCTCTCTGAAATGTCTTCCATTTCAACCACTTCTTTTCTCTCAAAGCTTTTAGTTTTGTATCTTCTTTTCATATCTTGGTTATTTCCCTGTCCCTTATTAAGATTTTATTTAATTCTCTTTTCCTCTGGAAACTTTGCAATTTGTTCTTCACTTCTGCAGTAATTTGTCTTTTTCTTATATTTCTTTCTTGGATCTAACACACTCTCTTTTATTTCTTCCCATTTTTTGTCCATTTTTACTTTAAAATTTATGATTCAAGGTGTTTTTTTCATATTCCCAAAAGCTTCTTTGAAGATATTTACTTCACTTTGGAGTTTATGTCAGTTTTCTTCTGCTTTGGATTCTTTTCGGGGGGAGAGGAGAATTTTCATCAGCTGACACGGTCTTGTTTTCTGTTTTCTTCTTATAATGGTTTTGTATATATTTACTCTGTTTTCACCTGTGGTAGTTAATTTTATATGTCAACTTGACTGGATCATGGAATGCCCAGCTATCTGGTTAAGTATTATTTCTGGATATGACTGTGAGAGTGCTTCTGGAAGAGATTAGCATTTAAATTGGGAGACTGAGAAAGCAGACTGACCTCCCCAGTGTGTTTGCTAGGTCTCTGCCTGTGTATTGAGCAGGCATAGCAACCTTCACCTGCCCTGGCTCAGGGCTCATGGTTCTCAGGTCTTCACATTCAGCCTGGAATTTGTGTAGTCAGTTCTCTGGCTTTCAGGCCTTTGAGCTATACCACTGGCTTTCCTGGGTCTCCATCTTGAAGAGAGCAGATCATAAGACCTCTCAGCCTTCATATTTGTGTGAGCCAATGCTTTATATTAAATGCATATTTCTAATCTATATCTGTATATCTGTATCTATATCTACATATATATGCACATACTAATTATTGGTTCTTTTTATCTGGAAAACCTTGAATAATACGTCATCTGTTCATTTCAAAGATTTGATATGGTTTATGAGATTTCAAGTTCAAGGGTATTCTCTTCTGCAGTGAAATACAGTTTGTCAATGGATGGCTTTTGCATGTGTACATGCATGCACATGCATGTGTATGTAGCTAAAGATTGCATATTTTTAAAGCTTTGAGGCCCGGCGCAGTGGCTCATACCTGCAATCCCAGCACTTTGGAGGCCAAGGCGGATGGATTACTTGAGGTCAGGAGTTCGAGACCAGCCTAGCCAACATGGTGAAACCCCGTCTCTACTAAAAATACAAAAAATTAGCCAGGCATGGTGGTGCATGCCTGTAATCCCAGCTACTTGGGAGGTTGAGACAGGAGAATCCCTTGAACACAGGAGGCGGAGGTTCCAGTGAGCTGAGATTGTGCCATTGCACTCCAGCTTGGGCAACAGAGCAAAACAAAACAAGACAAAAAAGCTTTGAAACTCATTTACTTGGCACTAAAATTTCTTTTTACTTATTTTCCTCTTCATTTAGATTCAAAGGGTGCCTCTCTATCTTTTTTACCTTCTGTACCTCCAGAAGCAATGCATTTCATAGACTGTTCCCATGAATCATGCGCACTTTAAGAAAACATATATAGCAAGTGGTTTTATCTCCTAGGAATCTTTTCCAGTATGTTAGCACATACGATGGACTTTCTCTTTTTTCTGGTTTTCTTAGATCAATCACAGGCCTGTCAATGGCTCTCCTCTTCTCTCTTCTATTCACTTTCTCCAGGCTGCTCTGTATCTCTGTTTCTCAGAACTGTATCTCTGTGAAAGTTTATGGCAAGATCTTGAGACACAGCTACTTGAGACTGGATGTTTACTTCCTACTTACAGGTATACTGAAATTTGAACATTCTCTTTTAGTTATGCAGGTGGCATGCATTTCCTGCAGTTTTGTTTGATCTTTTTTATTGTTCTGTAGTGTGGTTTTCAGAGAATGAATTGGGAAATTCAGATTTATGCAGCTATAGCTGCTATTGCCTGGCTGCTCAGAAATTGTCCTGTCAGTGTTATCTTGGTGGAACTGCACACTCTGCACCAGGCATTGCAAAAAGAAAAACGTCCCAACTTATCTAGCCTTTGTGAACAAAGAAGCAACCAGACCCTTCATTCTCCCATACATTGTCCTGGGTTTGAAGGAGGAATGCGTTTATGGTTTGGGAATCTTTTCCTGGAGGACAGTCGCAAAGTTATTTGCTTCTCCTTTACCATGACAAGTACCTATCTTTCCCATCTTAAAGAGTGCCAGAAGAGGAGGGCAGTCTCAAGTCTAATCAGGTGTGTGACTCAGGTTCTGAGTTATATACTGCTTTTTTACCCCCTTCCCTTCAACCTTCTGTGCACCAGAGCTAGGATTGTTCTTTCCTTCCAGGAGAGCTGCAGGAGGGAGTAGTCACCCGAGGATTTTCCTGATGCTTCAGTTCCACATAAGACCCTCCCTGCCCTCAGTCCACCATACAATTGAAAGCAGTCAGAAAATGGGGTTATACCAATGCTATTGAGTTAAATATTTGGCCTTTGCTTGAACCTTGCATTAACAGACCATTAGGACTTTTCTCATTATGTCTAGACCCTGTGTTCTATAATCACCCCAGCAGTCCCAATTCCCCAAGTTGTCCACTGTTACCTGGGGCCCTCATCCTCATACTTCTGATATGTCCACTATTATAAGCCAATTCTCCACTGTTCCCATTGCTTCCAAACATCTCCACAGAGCCCTTTAAAATTCACTTTTAAATGTTACCATCGCTTCTTTCTTCCTTTCTTCTTCTTTTTTTTTCTCTTTTTCTCTGTTGCCCAGGCTGGAGTGCAGTGGTGTGATCTTGGCTCACTACAACCTCCACCTCCTGGGTTCAAGCGATTCTCCTGCCTCAGCCTCCTGGGTAGCTGGGATTATAGCCACATGCCACCACACCTGGCTAAAATGTTACTATTGCTTAATTTTTTTTTTTTTTAACTGAAAGTTGTCTGTTCTTAGAGGTCCTGCTTCCACTGTAGACTTCTTGGGTGGAGACTACTTTTTCTTCCACTCCCCCCATATTCCAGAATCAGGAGGTGGAGCTGGCGTTTCGTTTTCTCTCAATAGTGCTTCCAAACACTTTTCCTTCTTTGTCTTTCTAAGCCCTAGGTAATTTTAACTATATGTATACCTCAGGACAGAGGATCTCTCCTTCTTTCCTCAATGCAGTTTTCTACAACTCTTTTGATGATCAGTTATTGGTAACAATGGCTTCCATTTCATCATCTTTCTCTCTATGCCAACTCATTCTTGTTGACTTTGTATTTATTTACGGTGATAACCCATCTTACAACCTAGCTTGCCATTTCTTTACAATTTTCACCTCTACTAACTTTGTTTCCACCCCGTCTCAGCCCAGAGCCTTGGCACTACATTCATTGCATGACTTCTGGCATCTTGAATTCAAGTATACTCTCTGACCACTGCCTTCAATTCTTCTAGCTCACTTACTCTAGTATTCCTATTTGAAAAATTCCTCAACTCCATTGAGATCTCAAATCCATTAATCTCACTACCTTTTCACTATGCATCACCACATTCATATACTTCCCTCTTTACCCATCTTAGAATCGATGATCCATCATGGTAACCAATCCTTGTGTCATACTACCTGGCTAAATCCCAACTCCGGCTGAGCCCAGGGTTATCTACTTTCTCAGCACCTGTACTGAAGCTGCTGAATGTTGCTGGATAAAAGTCATATAACTGGGATGACTAGCTTGACATCCATGTTATAATGATTACAATCTTCAAGTGGACACTCATCCCTTCTTAGCAATCCTACCAAGTTTCTATAGAAAGTTTGCTTTTCAGTTCCCAAGATAAATAATTCATACCTTACGCTCCTTCTTCACACCTTTTCCACTCCTCATCTCCTTTACTCTCAGCCTTTGACCTTGCTTTAGACTAAATAGAGAATGCAGAAGCCATTTGGTCAGACTTTTCTCATCTCTCCTCTGTGAAATCTACAACTTAGTTGAACTTAAATCTGTCTTCTGTGTTTTACCTCCTACCCCTGCTCTTGTCAAATGAAAATTGCTTAATTTGTGCTTTGGCTCCAACACCCTTTTGCTTTGCCAAGTATTTCATTTCTTCGGTTGTCCCCTCCCTCCCCTTCCTGCCTCACCAATCTCTGCCTATCTACTGAATCATTTCCATCAGCATAACCTGCTGGAATGACTCTCATCCTAAAATTCCTTTTCTTGACTCTTATCCCACCTTCACTACAGCTTCACTTCTCTACTTCTATTTACAACAAAGTCTTCTCTAAAGGGTTACATCCAGCCTTCCATCTCCCATTCACTCTCCAGCCCATTTTTGGCTGGTTTGCGTCCTCACCACAACATTGAAACTGCTCTTGTCAAGGTCACCTAGAACTCCCACAATACCAAATATGATGGACCCTTGATTTCTCAGTGGCATTTGACATGAATGACACTTTGCTCTCTTGGTTCCTGTAACTCCATACGCTCCTGACTCCCCTCCTTCCTCTTGGCTCTTCCTTGTAAGCCTGACTTCTAAATGCTGAAGTCAATGCTTCATGTTGTCTCTTCTCATTTATCTGCCCTTTCTGCAGATGGTTTCATTCACTCTCATAGCTTTAAATGCTTATGCTTTCCAAATATCCACCTTCAACACAGAATTTTACCCCTGAGCTCCAGATTTATTCAATTGCTAATTGATCTCTCTACCTGAATGTCTGAAAAGCATCTGAATCTTAGTAGTCCAAAACACAGCTTCTGATTTCTTCCCTCAAACCTATTCCTCTCCCATAATTCACTGACTCGGTAAACTCACTATTATCCCATTGTTCAAATTAACAATTTAGAGATATTCCTACATTTTTCCCTTTCCCTTAAATCCCATATATTGCAGCCATGAAAATGCACTTCTCAGATCTCCAATTGCAGGGAGCATTGTTGACTGATGCCTCAGCTGCTGTCCTTTGAAATTTATCACCAGGCTGCACTGCCCACTGACTGCTCCCAGCCAGTGACTGAGCAGAGGGATTTAAGGCAGGCCCATTCCTGGGAGACACAGAACTCTTCTGATATGGGGGACTTTGGCTTGAAGGCTTTCCACTGGCTGTGCTGAAACTTTCTCAGAACTGTATCATATCTACAACTTTTCCTACTTTTCCTTTCCTGTTCTCCACAAGGGTTGAAACTGTCTAATGTCTTTCCTAATTCCCCTCAGATGCTTCCCTGTTATTACCTCACAGGTGTTCCCTTCAATAAATCTCTCACATGTCTAATCTGATAATATTGTTTGCTTCTCAGGGGATCCATATTAACACATTGTATTTGATCCACCAACAAATTTTATGTCATGTCTATCTCCTGAGTACCCCTCTTGCATCCATCCACTTCTCTTTATTGCCAACACTACTCAAGGAGGAACTAAGACATTTCTCCCCTGGATTATTGCAATAGTCATCTACTTCCATCTCACACCTTTCCAATCCATTCTCATCTCAGTAGCTGCAGTGATTATTTTTTTTTAATAGTAAATCAATTGTGTCACTTCCCTGCTTAAAACCTTTCAATAGCTTCTCATTATGCTTACAGTCAAATTAAATTTCTACCATGGCCACACAATACTTTAGAGTCTGGGCTCTTGCCTCTCTCTTCAACCTCATCCCATCTCATCTTCCCCTTTGTCCTGATGCCCACCAAGGCTCAGACATACTAGTGGCCTTTCTCTTCCTACAAATTGCTGAGTCCTTTCCTGCCTGAGGGGCTTCCGACTTGCTCTCCCTTCTTCCTAAAATACCCTTCCTCCATCTCTGCAGAAGGTGGACTCATTCTGACTCCTAGCCCTCAACTTAAATGTCCACTCATTTCCTCGCACCTAGTTATCACTCTCTGTCACCACTTTGCTTAGTGTCTGTTTCTCCCACTTGAACAAGGGCAGGCAAACTATGGCCCATGGACCACCATTTGTTTTTGTCTGGCCCATGATCTAAGAATGGCTTGTACATATTTAAGTGTTTGAAAAAGCTGCATTTTTAAAAGAATATTTTTTGACACATGAAAATTATGTGAAATTGGAATTTCAGTGTCCATAAAGTTGGAACTAGCAATGCTCATTTGTTCAGGTTTTGCCTATGCCTTCTTTTAGACTACAACTGCTGAGTTGAGTAGTTGTGCATGGCCCACAAAGCCTAAAATATTTACAGAACAAGTTTTCTGCATGTTGTACTGGAAAGTAAGGTTGAACGCCCATTATTTGTCTCTTCCAGTCCTTTACTCTCAGTGCTTGCTCCATAGCTAGTGCTTAATAATTACAGGTTGAACAAACCTTCCCTCTCTCCTAAGACTGTTAATATCTAAGGGGATAGGTTGACTTACCTCTCTTTGGCTTATTCTCTTCTAAGAGCCAGTCAGGGAAATTTGGAACCAAATATTTTTGATTTTGGGGAAGCACCTTGAAAACAGGACTGTTATATTTCTCTTGAAATATCTAGCACAGTACCTTGCACAAGGTAAGATGGTGCTAGAAACTGGAAGAACTGTTTTAGGGTTATCGTTAACAGGAAATTAAGTAGTGCATGCAAAGCACTTAGCACAGTGTCAGGTGTACAAAAGTGTTGAATAAATGTTTGCTCTCGCCTCAATTTTCCTTGCTATAATGGGAAATAAATATCACCCTTTATATCACTGTCACACAGACTAAACAAGAATGCTGTGTGTGAAAAAGCTTTGTAAGCTGCAGACACTATCCAGATAGACTTATCCAAGTGCAATATATTAACACACGTTGGCACTGAGCAGCCCTGTTTGGAGGGATGGGCACTGACCTGGGGGTGAGAACACTTAACATCCTAATTCTTGCCACTTATTAAGTGACCTTGGACAATCGCAACTTCTGCGGCTGTTTCTTCTCTTCACCTGTAAAACCAGCCTCTGAACACACAAGACCGTCCCTTGGGGTTCAGCCCTGGCCTTCTCTACCGTGTGTTTCCCTTACCTCCGGGATGGAAGACCCACCCGACTCCGAGGCGGCCCACTGGGGCGAGACGAATCTGGGGGCGGGGCGTGGCGTGGCGTGGCGTGCCCGGGACGTGGCCTCCCTCCCTCCCTGAGCCGCTGCCTCAGAGCCGGGCCGCACGGGGGCGCCGCTGGGGCCGCTCTGCTCCCGAGTTGCCGAGCAGCTGAGAAGGCGTTCACTTCCGCGTCCGCCCCGCGGCGTCCGGCGGCCGCGCCGAGGGTCTGGCGGGCCGCAGGTCAGTCTGGGAAGCTGCCGACCCGCCCCACCCCCCCGGTGCGGAAGAGCCGGGCGCGGGATGGGCCGCGGGCCCGGAAGGCGGCGGGGCGCCCTGAGGAAGGGCACGGGCCGCGCTGGTAACGCGCGCGCCCCGGGCTGCAGGCTCGGGCTTCGGGCCGATTTGGGGTCTCCAGGCCGCGGAAGACCGTGGCGGGGCTTTCTGGCTCCCCAGCTCCTCCCGGCTCTTCCCGCTTCGGAAGAGGAGTGTGAGCCCCTTGAGCGATGTTTTTCAAAGTGGGGTTCGCGGGCAGATCCCGACCCCTCCTCAGACTTTCTGAGGAACTGTGTGCTGTGGCCGGAGTGTCTTCGTTTTCCCAAGCGTCCCTGATGGTTTTGATGCAGGTGATCATAGGAATGCACTCTGGGGGACATTGTCCCCGAGGGCTGGACACTTTCCACATAGCAGGGAGCCTAACTGGGTGCTTTTGAGGATGGGGCCTGCGGAGTGCCCCCCTGGTGTGGCCTTGGAATGATGATGTTCCTATCCTTAGGAGAGACTGCCTGGGGTTGGGGTAGGAGGAGTAGCTCTTAAATCCTCGGGATCGGGGTGCTGCTGTGTTATCGTAGCCAAGTCTTGAGATGGACAGATGCTTAGAGAGTGAAAGGGCTGGGTCAGGATCCATAGGGGTGAAACAGTGCTGGAGGAGGCGGTGTGGGGTGAAGCAGGAAGAACTTGGGGTTCGTCCTGCCGTTCTGGATTGGGGCTGGCTCCACAACCTACTAGCAGTCAGTCCTTGTGTGGCCCCTGTACACATCACTCTTTTTTTTTACCCCAATGGCCTCATCTGTCAACAGGGACAGTAATTCCCATCCAATAGAGTTTTTGTGTGAATTAGGTAAAGTGTGTCAAGTGTCTCTTACAATGGCTGGCACATAATAAGCATTCAGTAAATGGGAGTTATTAAGAGTGACACAGGCCCTGGCTTCCTTGGCCTACAGACCAAAAAGTAGGGATTAAACAAGTGGGGTAAAAAGTGGACAGACACACAGTATATTTGTAGAATTGTGCAAGGATTCTAACTTGGGGGGCAGAAGGATACGTGGGACGGTCATGCAAGAAATTAGGTTTGCTGAAGGCCTTGAAGAATAGATAGGATTCCAGGGAGCCAGTAATGAGGCAGAGGGAACAAGTTCCATCCCATGCCTCAGAGGTGGCTCTCACACATGGATCTTTGGAGTGCTGCTCCCAGGACTTCTAGGCAGTGCGAGATGTCACATCCATAAGTGGTTTTGGAAGGCTGGACCTTTGGCCCATAATGGTTTCTGTTGCTGACCGTATTCTACACACATGGTCTTCCTCAGATTTTAATGGTCTCCTTCCATTTTATTGGAGACTAGCTGGCATCTACAAAACGATCTTAGTTGTTCACTGAGTAAAAGTGAATTGACATGGATGTAGTTGAGCCTTTTGGCAGCCATTTTCAACTTGCTATGAAATGTGTGGATACTGCAGATTCTCAATAATTGGGAGTACCTTTTTCATCACAGTATTGTTTTAGGTGGGAAAACACCACAGTGTCACTTGTGGTTCTGTGATCTCCAGAATGGATTAAAAAAATCCAACCCTTAAACCTTCCCTGGGCCTGGTGCAGTGGCTCACGCCTGTAATCTCAGCACTTTGGGAGGCCGAGGTGGGTGGATCACCTGAGGTCAGGAGTTGGAGACCAGACTGCCCAATATGGTGAAACGCCGTCTCTACTAAAATTACAAGAATTAGCCCGGCATGATGGTGTATACCTGTGGTCCCAGCTACTCAGGAGGCTGAGGCAGGAGAATTGCTTGAACCCGGGAGTGAGCCGAGATGGCGCCACTGTACTCCACCCTGGGCTACAGAGCGAGACTCCATCTCAAAAAACAAACAAGCAAACAAACAAA
This sequence comes from Homo sapiens, assembly GCF_000001405.40. Lineage (NCBI taxonomy): Eukaryota > Metazoa > Chordata > Mammalia > Primates > Hominidae > Homo > Homo sapiens. The sequence goes on along the minus strand of NC_000002.12, from coordinate 200,508,094 downwards.
AACCCCCCAAAACTTCCCTAAAGCTTCATCCATTTCACAGTGAAGAAGCTGGATGATTTGGAGGTGTTATTTGTAGTTCTAGACTGGCCTGGCTACTGGTCTACATAGAATTCTGATCTCAGGCTGGGCGTGGTGGCTCATGCCTGTATACTCAGCACTTCGGAAGGCCAAGACAGGAGGATTGCTTGAGCCCAGGAGTTCAAGACTAGCCTGGGCAACACAGCGAGACCCTGTCTCATTTTTTAAAAATTTAAAAAAATTAAAAGAAGAATTATAATCTCAGTTGATAAATTATATATTCCTTAGTTACCTAACTTAAGAATTATAGTTATCATTGTTAATAATTCCTGCTCCTTTATTTCCTTACATTTCCAGAGTCAATATCAAGTCCCTCAGTAGACACCTTATGGTTAAATTTATATCATTATGCATAATATTTATAATTTATTGAATAGTTACCATGAGCTAGATTCTGCTCTTTTGCTGTTTTATATATTCTTTTAATTATTCCTCTTATAGTCCTTTGAGCTGGGCATCATCACTGCCTCCATTTTATGGAAGAGGAAGATAAGTAATTTGCCCAAGATCCTAGAGCTGGTGAGGGGAAGAGCCTAGCAGCTCAATTCCATGCTGTCCACTGATCTCTGCAGTCTAGAGGCTCCCTCAGACTTATCATGGTTAAAAAGATATGTGAATACTGAAGATCATAAGCAGGCCTCTCCTTTGTTTGCTGTGTGACAGAGAGTGCATTACCATGTTTAAACAGTCATTTCAACAGCAATGATTGGGTTGTTAGTCGTTTATTATCTTTTACAAATCCTCTTAGCCAACATTTTCCAACTTCTTAGCATATCTCGAAATTCTCTTATATTATATAAAATCCTTCAATTCAATAATGCCAGTACTGAGGAATTTATTTTCAGTCATGTTAAAGTATATTTATTATATTATCTATTTAGTGTCTTGTTGGAAATGGCGGGGATGACTGTCCTTTGTTTTACAGAGGGAGACCAAGACATCATTGTTTTGAAGTTTCTGAAAGTGTTGGGCGGCAAAAATTCAGGTGCCTGGGGGAGAAATGGAAGGCCACAAGGCAGAAGAAGAGGTGCTAGATGTTCTCCGACTGAACGTGGGTGGCTGTATTTACACAGCCCGGCGGGAGTCCTTGTGCCGCTTCAAGGACTCCATGTTGGCATCTATGTTCAGTGGTCGCTTTCCTCTAAAAACAGATGAGTCAGGTAAATGTCTAAAGTCTGAAAGCATGATCTGAATATTTATTAACACCAGTTTAAGTTCCCTTTGATTTTCTTAATTACAGCGAAATGTACTAGATGACTATACTAATTACTGAGATCATTAGGACTCTATGGAGATTCATTAAGTACGTGGAGAAATTAAATACTACTTCTGAAAATCTGTGATAATGTTAAAAGTTGACAAAGAAGTAAGAGTTCATAAAGGCTGGTCATAACCTAATTATGGGGATTAACTGTATTTTGAAACTTGTTACTTTCATGCAGCTTTGGGTGATGATATTGATGCTGATTAAATATATTTGCTTCTCTCTGTGTTCTTCAAATTGGAAAATGTTTTGTCTGGAGAAAGCAGCTGCCCTCCTTATTGCTAACAGAGCAGCCATCGTCATTGTAGAATTAGTGTTGGGCTCGCCACCTAGCCTAGCTGTGTAGTCTTGCTGTGTGTCCAATGTGCACGGCTGAGAAAAAGTCTGTGCAGTGATACCGTCAGAGGCAAAGGGGCAGCGGACTGAAAACTGGGTTTCAGAACTGTAAATCACACAGGTAGGGTTCTGGGGCTGCTCTCTGCTTCCAGTGCTCTGGTACTCACTGAACCTGCTACTGTTTGTAAAGAAAGTTCATCAATACAAATGAAGTTTTTTGCCCTGTGTATGAGCCCCAGACCCACTCTTGGTTCTGTGTTAGAGGAGAATGATTGAGGAGTCTTGAACATGAGGGACTGTTTTACTGTTAATAACTCTGGTGTTAGGAGGTTGCTTTGCTGGTTAAATGGCAGTTGAAAGAATGGGAAAAAAAATCACCAGTGGCTGGTGCCCAGGGCTTGGTTTCTACCTGGGCAGAAAGGTTGTTGGGGCAAAGATGGTAAGCAGGGATTGAGTTTTCTTCTCTGCCCCTAAATTTTACCTTCTTAATCCCTTCTTTTGTGAGGAATTACTGACTAGCCTCATGTAGAGGTTTTTCTCTCTTTTTTTTTTTTAATTCTGCTAAATTATCTAAGAAAAATATTTTATTATAAAGTAGTACCAGCATAGTGTTTCTTCTTTTTTAAAGTTTGGGTTCTCGTAGTACAAAAGGACTAACCCAGTAATTCGAATCATCTGGCATGCCTGGAGTGAGGAACCCCAGATTTGTAGTGTTGCTGATATGCAAACACTGGACATAGTGATGAGCACCCCACATGCTCTCTTTAGTGAGAACCTCCATATACCTGTTCTAGTCCAGCTGAGATAAGGTTAGGGGTAAACTGCTGTTTCTACCAGCAGTGTGGGGTGCCCTTAGCTTTTGCAGTGGCCATTGTGGGAATATAGTCATTGCATCCAAAGTTCTAAATGGATCTCAGAATATATTTTCCCATATGGTAGTGAGAACGCAAAGGTCCACCACTGACTCATTCAGTTTCTTTGTGTACAAATCAGAAAAGGGTGCCCTTTTATCCAGGAAGATGCAGTTCCATGCCAGGGTGCATGGCTTGGTGAGCAGAGTGTGGGTTTGGTTTTAGCCTCTCTTGCCCACTTGGCCTAGCATGGTGTATATAGTACACCAGTACAACCAAACATGGCAACCCTGGTGATATATATTTGCATTCAAACTTATGTGCAGTATTATAGAACTACAGGTGATTGTCCCACACATCTCATTCAGATTCTATTTTACAATATCACCTATTTGTAAGCAGAGGGTTGCTGGTATATCATATTTGGTGTTTGAATAACCAAAAGTCTAGCTTAGATTACATAAACCTATTTGAACACTAGATGTTAACTTTCATGTGAGAAAGAAACATTTATAATTGTAGAGGTCCTCAGACCTAGTTTGATTTGTTGAAATCTTATTGATCGACAGAATCTCTATAATCATTTTTGAACTGAATGTTTTCTAGGGGCTTGTGTTATTGACCGTGATGGACGTCTATTTAAATACCTTTTGGATTACCTTCATGGAGAAGTTCAGATTCCCACAGATGAGCAAACCCGCATCGCCCTACAGGAAGAGGCTGATTACTTTGGCATCCCTTATCCATACAGCCTGTCTGACCATTTGGCCAATGAAATGGAGACATATTCTTTAAGGTCAAATATAGAACTTAAAAAGGTCTTGGCATTTTTTTAAGTTTTTGAATATATATATTTATGATGCACAAAGCAATATGTACTATTTTGCATAGCCTGTGTTTTCACATTAACCAAACAAGATAGTTTTTATGCATTTTGAAGACATGTTTCTTTACTACTACTTCTCATTTTTTAAGGCCAAAATTCTTGGAAAGTATATTGCCACTCAAAGGTTGATTGAGTTTATATTGCTCACTGAAGATTTAACACTTTTTGACGGCTTTTTTACAGAACTCCTGAAATTCTTGCTTTTTTTTTTTTTTTTTTTTGAGGCAGAGTCTTGCTCTGTCCCCCAGGCTGGAGTGCAGTGGCGGGATTTTGGCTCACTGCAAGCTCCGCCTCTGGGCTTCACACCATTCTCCTGCCTCAGCCTCCCCAGTAGCTGGGACTACAGGCGCCTGCCACTATGCCCAGCTAATTTTTTGTATTTTTAGTAGAGACGGGGGTTTCACCGTGTTAGCCAGGATGGTCTCGATCTGCTGACCTCGTGATCCGCCCATCTGGGCCTCCCAAAGTGCTGGGATTACAGGCGTGAGCCACTGCACCCGGCCAATTCTTTTTAAATTAAGAGAAATACTATACTATGTGAGGGCATAGTGGTATTATTTTATTTACTAAAATGATTTTTGAAAATAATGATCCTGATGAATAATAAAGCATCTTACTTGATTTAGTAAGTGTAGTAGTTTGTTACTAATTTAAAACATTAGTTTGGCTAATTCACTTTGAGATCACTAAATATCTTTTTAAGATGCTTCTATTTTAAATTGCATTTTAAAGATCTTTACATGATTTGAAAATCCTAATTATCTGTTTTTGTCTTATTGAAAGTATTATATGTGTTATTAATTAGCACTTTTGAGCATCTAAGGAAAATATTTTTCTTAGAAAATTGTTAATAGTGAAAACTGATCTGAACTTGTTTGAATTCTTTGATTTGGATGTCAGCGTTTAGGAAGCAAGCTGATGGGTGGTTGGTTATTAGGAGTGCAGCATGAATAGAAAGTTGATTTGGTTCCAGATCCCCTTTAGGAATTTAAATAGTTATATGGGTTCTGCTACTGAAGTTATTCATAAACTATATTTTCGAACGATAGTCTTTCCCTGCTGTTGCCACATCTGCAGAATGAGGCCTGACTAGAAGGTTGGGAGGGTTAATGCTCATCTTCAGAAGTCTCAGCTCTGTAATCTTTTATTCCTGGTTTTTATTCAAAAAGGACACAGCATGCCCACATTCATGCTGTCAGCCAACACATGTTTGTTTCAAGTGCCTGTGACATGTATGGCACTGTACAAGGGGCTGCGTGGGACACCAAGAAATACAACATGTAGTTCTTTGCCCTTGAAGTTTATAGTATAGTTGGGAATTCTTGTAGATGTATGTGTAAGTAAAATTCCAAACCAATATAGGAGTTAGATAGCAATATTAAATGAAAGTGCAAGACATGGTAGGGCCCCATTTTCATTCACTGAGTCAGTAAATACTAGGCATCTCGTTTGTGTCAGGCACTATTCCAGACACTTGGGATATAACAGTGAACACAATATAGTACCTGTCCAGAGTACTTACAGCAGTAAAGCTGTTCCTCCCAGGGAAGGCCCTGGCAGCTTCACTGGGTGAAACCCTTCTGCTCTCTGCCCTGGAGCACCTTGTGGTCTCACTGGTGGCACTTCTTTTTTTTTTTTTTTTTTCTTTTGAGATGGAGTCTTGCTCTTGTTGCCCAGGCTGGAGTGCAATTGCATGATCTCAGTTCACCGCAACCTCTACCTCCCGGGTTCAAGTGATTCTCCTGCCTCAGCCTCCTGAGTAGCTGGGATTACAGGCATGTGCCACCACGCCCAGCTAATTTTGTATTTTTAGTAGAGACAGGGTTTCTCCATGTTGGTCAGGCTGGTCTCGAACTCCCAACCTCAGGTGATCTGCCCGCCTCGGCCTCCCAAAGTGCTGGGGTTACAGGTGTGAGCCCCTGCACCCGGTCCTGGTGGCACTTCTTACACAGGGTGCTGGTGGCTTATTCAATGTCTGTCTTCTGCATTAGCTATAAACTCTGGGAGGACTGGGACCCTGTCTCACCATTGTTCATTGTTATATCTGCAGGACGTTAGAGCTCAGCTCAGAGTAGGAACTTAATATTCAAATGAATGAATGAATAGGTTGATAAGTGCCAAATGAGTTCAGGCAGCATATACGGAGTTTAGATATTGAGTTTACATATTCGTATCTTTCCGTGTAAAAGTAAAATCAATCTGGTTAGTCCATGATTAGAATTTGGAGCTAAAAATAAGGACCAACCATGGGGTTAGTCAGTAGAAGGTGAATGGAAGATTGTGTAAAATGGGAAATTTTGGGGAAATTACTCTAAAGGGAAAAGAAAAAGGTCTACATTTTGGTTATTATATGAAGATTTCTTTTTTTTTCTTTTTTTTAAATTTATTATTATTATACTTTTAAGTTTTAGGGTACACGTGCACAATGTGCAGGTTAGTTACATATGTATACATGTACCATGCTAGTGCGCTGCACCCACTAACTCATCATCTAGCATTAGGTATATCTCCCAATGCTATCCCTCCCCCCTACCCCCACCCCACAACAGTCCCCAGAGTGTGATGTTCCCCTTCCTGTGTCCATGTGTTCTCATTGTTCAATTCCCACCTATAAGTAAGAATATGCGGTGTTTGGTTTTTTGTTCTTGCGATAGTTTACTGAGAATGATGATTTCCAATTTCATCCATGTCCCTACAAAGGACATGAACTCATCATTTTTTATGGCTGCGTAGTATTCCATGGTGTATATGTGCCACATTTTCTTAATCCAGTCTATCATTGTTGGACATTTGGGTTGGTTCCAAGTCTTTGCTATTGTGAATAATGCCGCAATAAACATACGTGTGCATGTGTCTTTATAGCAGCATGATTTATAATCCTTTGGGTATATACCCAGTAATGGGATGGCTGGGTCAAATGGTATTTCTAATACTAGATCCCTGAGGAATCGCCACACTGACTTCCACAATGGTTGAACTAGTTTACAGTCCCACCAACAGTGTAAAAGTGTTCCTATTTCTCCACATCCTCTCCAGCACCTGTTGTTTCCTGACTTTTTAATGATTGCCATTCTAACTGGTGTGAGATGGTATCTCATGGTGGTTTTGATTTGCATTTCTCTGATGGCCAGTGATGGTGAGCATTTTTTCATGTGTTTTTTGGCTGCATAAATGTCTTCTTTTGAGAAGTGTCTGTTCATGTCCTTCGCCCACTTTTTGATGGGGTTGTTTGTTTTTTTCTTGTAAATTTGTTTGAGTTCATTGTAGATTCTGGATATTAGCCCTTTGTCAGATGAGTAGGTTGCAAAAATTTTCTCCCATTTTGTAGGTTGCCTGTTCACTCTGATGGTAGTTTCTTTTGCTGTGCAAGAAGCTCTTTAGTTTAATTAGATCCCATTTGTCAATTTTGGCTTTTGTTGCCATTGCTTTTGGTGTTTTAGACATGAAGTCCTTGCCCATGCCTATGTCCTGAATGGTAATACCTAGGTTTTCTTCTAGGGTTTTCATGGTTTTAGGTCTAACGTTTAAGTCTTTAATCCATCTTGAATTGATTTTTGTATACGGTGTAAGGAAGGGATCCAGTTTCAGCTTTCTACATATGGCTAGCCAGTTTTCCCAGCACCATTTATTAAATAGGGAATCCTTTCTCCATTGCTTGTTTTTCTCAGGTTTGTCAAAGATCAGATAGTTGTAGATATGTGGCGTTATTTCTGAGGGCTCTGTTCTGTTCCATTGATCTATATCTCTGTTTTGGTACCAGTACCATGCTGTTTTGGTTACTGTAGCCTTGTAGTATAGTTTGAAGTCAGGTAGCATGATGCCTCCTCCAGCTTTGTTCTTTTGGCTCAGGATTGACTTGGCGATGCGGGCTCTTTTTTGGTTCCATATGAACTTTAAAGTAGTTTTTTCCAATTCTGTGAAGAAAGTCATTGGTAGCTTGATGGGGATGGCATTGAATCTGTAAATTACCTTGGGCAGTATGGCCATTTTCACAATATTGATTCTTCCTACCCATGAGCATGGAATATTCTTCCATTTGTTTGTATCCTCTTTTATTTCCTTGAGCAGTGGTTTGTAGTTCTCCTTGAAGAGGTCCTTCACATCCCTTGTAAGTTGGATTCCTAGGTATTTTATTCTCTTTGAAGCAATTGTGAATGGGAGTTCACTCATGATTTGGCTCTCTGTTTGTCTGTTGTTGGTGTAGAAGAATGCTTGTGATTTTTGCACACTGATTTTGTATCCTGAGACTTTGCTGAAGTTGCTTATCAGCTTAAGGAGATTTTGGGCTGAGACAGTGGGGTTTTCTAGATATACAATCATGTCGTCTGCAAACAGGGACAATTTGACTTCCTCTTTTTGTAACTGAATACCCTTTATTTCCTTCTCCTGCCTAATTGCCCTAGCCAGAACTTCCAACACTATGTTGAATAGGAGTGGTGAGAGAGGGCATCCCTGTCTTGTGCCAGTTTTCAAAGGGAATGCTTCCAGTTTTTGCCCATTCAGTATGATATTGGCTATGGGTTTGTCATAGATAGCTCTTATTATTTTGAGATACGTCCCATCAATACCTAATTTATTGAGAGTTTTTAGCAGGAAGGGTTGTTGAATTTTGTCAAAGGCCTTTTCTGCATCTATTGAGATAATCATGTGGTTTTTGCCTTTGGTTCTGTTTATATGCTGGATTACATTTATTGATTTGCATATATTGAACCAGCCTTGCATTCCCAGGGATGAAGCCCACTTGATCATGGTGGATAAGCTTTTTGATGTGCTGCTGGATTCGGTTTGCTAGTATTTTATTGAGGATTTTTGCATCAATGTTCATCAAGGATATTGGTCTAAAATTCTCTTTTTTGGTTGTGTCTCTGCCCAGCTTTGGTATCAGGATGATACTGGCCTCTTAAAATGAGTTAGGGAGGATTCCCTCTTTTTCTATTGATTGGAATAGTTTCAGAAGGAATGGTGCCAGTTCCTCCTTGTACCTCTGGTAGAATTCGGCTGTGAATCCATCTGGTCCTGGACTCTCTTTGGTTGGTAAGCTACTGATTATTGCCACAATTTCAGCTCCTGTTATTGGTCTATTCAGAGATTCAACTTCTTCCTGGTTTAGTCTTGGGAGAGTGTATGTGTCGAGGAATTTATCCATTTCTTCTAGATTTTCTAGTTTATTTGCGTAGAGGTGTTTGTAGTATTCCCTGATGGTAGTTTGTATTTCTGTGGGATTGGATTTCAAAATTAAAAGTGATGTTGGCAGTGGAGGAATGATCTTATAAAGATGATAAAATTAAAAGTGATGTTGGCAGACTAAAAGAGTAAGAAATAAAATGGAATTTCCATGTGGAAAAGGTTTCTGTAGATGAAAAGGTGTTGGGGTTTTGGGGGGTATTTTTTGTGATTGTCCTTCCTGCCCCGATTTAATTAAAAAAAATGTGTGTTTGATTTTTAAAGATGTAAAGACTAAGCTGAAATATATAATCTTTTTATTTCCCTTATGATCAACTAGAATTTCAGCTTTTACATGAAAGTAATGGAGCATATTCATTTTTATTTTACTCTAGAATTAAATTCAAATTTTATATATACTTTTTGCTTTAGGCTTTAACAGACTTCTGTGATTCATATGGCTTAGTCTGCAATAAACCAACAGTTTGGGTTCTCCACTATCTTAACACATCTGGTGCAAGCTGTGAGAGTAGAATTATTGGTGTATATGCCACAAAAACTGATGGAACAGACGCTATTGAAAAGCAGCTGGGAGGAAGAATTCACAGCAAAGGCATTTTTAAAAGGTATGTCCAAATTTAAATGTGAAAAAGAACAAAATAAAGTCTTGGTCTCTTTTAAGAGGTGTTTCTGAATGAAATGTGCTTGACTAGAAAAGACCATTAACACCTCTCAGGAGACACAGTGAGCCATCATAGCAGTTGAGATAGGCCTGCTTCATGAGGAAATTATAATTAAGATCATTTCCCATACAGTATGGATAAGCTGCATGCCATCTGCATGATCTAGTGCAGTGGTTCTCAACTGGGAGTCTGCATCAGAATCCCCTCCCCTGAGAGGCTTAAAAAGAAAAGAAGAGAAAGAAAAAAGAAAAGCCACATGCCTGGTGTCTTCCTAGACCATAGAAGCATTGGCAGAAGAAGTCAGCAGGCCTACTGAGTGACTCAGGGCTGGCCTGCCTTGGTGTCTTCTTCTGAGAAATGACGAAGCACTTGCTGGTCCCTTCCAGCTTTAGAATTTTATGACTTGAACATGTTAAATTCTTAAGAGTTATTACTTAATATTTTTCCTATAATCTTATTTACACTGGTTAATTCTCTTAGCAATTTTTAAAAAAATTCTCTGGCAGATGGGATTGGGTCGAATATTAGTGACTAATGAAGGATCATATAAGCTTGCCTTTTGAGATTATTAAATATGTCATCAGTTTCTGAATTCTTTACAGATAGGGATGCTTCTATGTAAGATGTGTAAGTGCCTGGCATAATGCTGGTGAAACGTGAATATTTTCTAAGTTCATTGGAGTTCGCTGATTTTTTTTAAAAACTTGATATTAAAGATGTGTTGATTTGTCTACATGGTGCATATTGTGGAATTAATAAAATACTATGATAAAAAGAGATCAAAATATAGGTTAGTATATTATATAATGTGTACATATGTATCTGTGTAAGCATATGTATACTTAAGGATCACAGAACAACTACTCAGTGCTTACATGTTTTTTCCCTTAATTAACAAGCTCTTATTAAATGTATATTAGCTGTATGTATATATGCACATCCATACCTAGGTAGTATATTTTCATTACTCTTTGCAATATTTCTAGAGAGGCGGGAAATAATGTTCAGTACATTTGGAGCTATTATTCAGTAGCAGAGTTGAAGAAAATGATGGATGCCTTTGATGCTTGGGAAGGAAAAGGTACAGTGCAATTCTTTTATTTCATGGAAGCAGGTGGACTTTAAAAAAAAAAGACAAAGTAAGCTCAAATACTGCATTTCTTTTTTTAGAAAGTATTCTTTTGAGTCTTACAATGTATTTGTCATCTCATGATAACACTGAGGCAGTTTACTTACAAATCTTTAAATCCCATGAGTTGCTAGATATTATTAATAGTTTATAATTCAGTAACTAGGTATGTTTCTGTTAGCTAGGCTTATTTAATTTAATTAAATAAGAGTTCATTTAGTACCTACTGTGCATTGGAAAAATACTTCAAATTAAGCATAAAATATGTAATCAAGGAAAGGGAGAGAAAATAATGTTGGAGAAGATGTCTAAAGAGCCCTTATAAAATAATTACAATAATCTTTAAATGTACACTTTGAAAACTGGTCATTTTTCTCAAACTACAGAGTGAGAGTTGGTAATAATAATGCTGTTTTATATCCCCGATAAGTAGTTTACATTCAGTATCTCTTAGTCCTAACACAATCCTGTACGCTACTTACCATTCCTATTTTATAGATGAGGAAACTGAGTCTCAGAAGGGCTTTGACACTTTCATAAGGATCACAGGTTACGTGTTCTGTTCTATGCCTAAGCATTTTTTTTCTTAATTAACAACCATGTATTGAGTGTCTGTTAGGTGCAAAGTATGATAACAAGTCCTAAAATTGGATCCAAAGATAAATAAGACTTATTCCATCCTCAAATAATCCTGAAAGCTAGTAAAGACTGACTGCCAGTCACACAATGGATAAAAGATCTGGGCCTGGTGTCATGCACCTATTGTCTCAGTTACTTGGGAGGCTGAGGCAGGAGGATTGCCTGAGCCCAGGAGTTTGAGGGTGGAGTGAGCTGTTATCACACCACTGCACTCCAGCCTGGGTGACAGAGCAAGACATAAAAGGAGAGGAAGAGGCTTTTAAAAACTGCATTGGCTGGGTGCAGTGGCTCATGCCTGTAATCCCAGCACCTTGAAGGCCGAGGCAGGTGGATCACCTGAGGTCAGGAGTTTGAGACCAGCATGACCAACATGGCGAAACCCCATCTCTACTAAATACAAAAAATTAGCCGGGCATGGTGGCGCATGCCTGTGATCCCAGCTACTTGAGAGGCTGAGGTGGGAAAATGGCTTGAACCCGGGAGGCAGAGGTTGCTGTAAGCTGAGATTGTACCATTGCACTCCAGCCTGGGCAACAAGAATGAAACTCCGTCTCAAAACAAAACAAAACAAAACACTGTATCAGCTGTTCTTCCTTCAGGTGTCGTGCCAGCTCCAGTCCTTCTTCCTTTCCTCAACTTTGCCCCCCTCACTTTCCTTCCTTTTTCCTTTCCAGTCATACCCCTCAAGAGGCAGGATGACATCTTTCAGCTTTCTATTTTATATTTAATTTACTTTGAGACACTTATGCTCAAGTTGGAGAACAAACTCCATGGTGTTCTCTGTGTCTCTCTTTGTGCCTCTGGACTGGCAAGATGTCCAGGAGCCCACTGCCTTAGAAAGCTGAAGGAGGGCTGGGCACGGTGACTCACACTTGTAATCCCAGCACTTTGGGAGGCCGAGGCAGGTGGATCATGAGGTCATGAGATTGAGACCATCCTGGCCAGCATGGTGAAACCCTGTCTTTACTAAAAATACAAAAATTAGCTGGGTGTGGTGGCACACGCCTGTAGTCCCAGCTACTCAGGAGGCTGAGGTAGGAGAATCGCTTGAACCCAGGAGGCAGAAGTTGCAGTGAGCCGAATTTTTGCAATCAGATCTTGGCGATGACCTTGAGCAGTAGGATATAAATAACTCCCACATGCTTAGTGTTCCAATAATGGAACACTAGGCATAAATGTTAAACACAAAACAAAACAAAAAAACAAGAAACATTAAAAATTATAAATAAAATTTAAAGACTAATAAAAAACTAGGATAAATAATGTTGCATTAACTGGACAAAGTATATCCTTAATAGAAAGAAAGTTTATTAAAATTGATTAGAAAGGCAACCACTACTACAAAAAAAAAAATTACAAGGTTCATGACCATAAAATTCCCAGAAAAAGAAGTAAACACGTGGCAGGCGGTTCAGCTTCATTCCTTATCAATGAAATATACATTTAATAAAAACAATTTTTTATATACCAGATGAGTAAAGATCTCTTATTCATTCCTGGTAGGAGTAAAAATTGATGTAACTTTTGGAAAATAACTTGTTAGGTCACATCAGTGCATCACAATTGTTCATATTCTTTGACCCAGTAATTTTACTTCTTGGAATCTATCTTATCTATCTTAAGGACATAAACACAGACAAAGGCTTAGGAACAGAAATGTTCTCTGGCATTTTTCATAATAGAGACAAAATAAAAACACTTTAAATGTCTAATGATTGAGGGTTAAATATATTTTGGCACATCCACAGAATGGAATATAATAAAGCGATTAAAGTTATTTTAAATAACTTTTTGCATAGATGAATGCCCATGATAAGAAATGATGAAAAGCAGGAAATAAATGTAAAGTATATCATATGACTAGAAAAAAGACTGGAATGAAACATATTAGTCTGTCCTGAGCCAATGATTCCTGGTCTTCTGATTAGGAGTGACTTTGATTCCCTTATATATACTTTTCTATATTTTCCAGGTATTGTACAAGGGATGTGAATTACTTTATAGGCAGGAAAAAAAAAGAAAGTTTTTAAACAAATTGTGGTGTATCCATACAGTGGAATACTACTCACTGATAAAAGAAATGATCATTGCTACATACAGCAACATGGATGAATCTTAAAGCATCATGCTAAAGAAGCCAGACACAAAAGGTTGCATTTTGTATGATCCCATTTATATGACATTTCAGAAAAGGCAAAACTAAGGATATGGAGGGGACATTGATTGCTAAGGGGTATGAGGAAATTTTTGGGGTGATAGAAGTGGTCTACAGATTATGACTATGGATACATAACTATATCCATTTGTCAAAACTCATTGAAATGTGTACCTGAAAAGGGTGAATTTTATTTTACATAAATTATATCTTAATAAATCTGACTTTTAGAAAAAGCAAACTTAATGGACCGGATTTGGGAATGTTTTTATAGTATGTGTAGGTTTTGGAGTGTGATCAAGCAGTTCCAGAAAGTTAATTGTTTTAAAATGAGGATCATAGAGTTATTTGAGTATCAGATATGTCTATCATTATAATGATTTATATGCCCAGCTTGCTAAATTGTTATTGTTACCAGAAGTTTAATAAGAAGACAACACCAAATCCATTATTGGGACTTAGATTACTCCAAGCAATTTTTATTCAACATAATTCCTTGAGCTTTTTTCATGTGTATATATTTATGCTTCTTTTCTAAAAAAAATTGAGATGGAAATTCACATAACAGAATTAACTAAAGCATACATTTCATTGGTATTTACTACATTCACAATGTTGTGCAATCATTACCTCTCTCCAGTTCTAAACATTTCATCACCCCAAAAGGAACCCCTAAGCGGTCACTCCCCACTCCACTGTCTCCCACAGCCCCTGGCAACCAGCAGTCTGCTTTGTGTCTCAATGGATTTACCTACTCTTGATAGCTCTACAAATGGAACAATACAAATGTGACCTATTGTGTTTGGTGTTTTTCACTTAGCATAATGTTTTCGAGGCTTCAAGAATAAATACATTTTTCAGCTCTTAATAAAAAACATAACAGATTTAAAAATTAAAATGAATTTGAATGGCATTTTTGCCTAACTCACTAGCTCAGATTCTTGTTGGAAAAGGTGGTTATCGGGTGGTGATGTCTCATATTTGTACAGTGGTTGCCATTTTCAGAGTAGTTCACAAAGTTCCCCTGATTTGATGTTACAGCAACCCAGTGAAGTAGACAAGGCAAGTGTTACAACCCACCCCCTATACAATACTTATACTGCTCCCTACGACTACTGGGAATAAAGGTACTTGACAGTTTTTGAGTGCTTAGTCTGTGCTAGACCCTGTTCTAAGCACTTTGCATTTATTAACTCATTTAATCATCACAGTGGTCCTTCAAGGTACATACTATTATTGTCATCATTTCACAGCTGAGAAAATTCAGGCCCAGAAAAGTAACTTTCCCAAGGTGACATGAATAGTGAGTGAGAGATGGAGATTGAGACCCACACAGGCTTTGCTGGAGCCTGAGCCCTCACTCTCAGCTGCCCTGAGTATGCATCATAACCTGCTGAATCTTCTCAGCTAATCAGTGGCAAAGCTGGTGGCCAGCTCTTCCTGACCCAGGTCGTGAGCTGTGTTGCTCCCTGGCCCTAGCTCCTCGTGTGAGCGCTTCCTGTTCATGTTGTGCACACCTCTCTTTGCCAAACGGGAGGCATGAACCTCAGACTCTGGCAGGTCTTAGGCGAAACAGTGTTGCTCAGCATTTTGCAGTGGATGGTAGCTGTCTTAATTATGTCTTTTTACCTTCCAGGTGTTAGCTACTGGCGGGTGCCTCATGAGCTGATAGAGTGTTGGACTCTAGAAGAACGGCCTTTACTTGGAAGCCTGCGTCACATGGCTCCAATTCGAAAGAGGTTATCTATGCTGTGTTGTTTATTTGTTTTGTTTTTTTAATCGCTGACATTTTTACTGCCTTTGTGAAGGGAAAATGAATAATAATTCTTGACCTTACTAAGCTTATTAATCACCGATTTGAATATTCTGTCTTACCATCAAAATATAGATCTTGATAAATATAAAGTTACCAAAACTATGTAAAAAGTGGCTATAATTCTTTGTAACTGCATGTGTAACATGTTCTTATTGAGAGAGTGATTCTAAAATTACTAGTGGACACAGTGGGCATGCTGTGGTAAATATTTTTGCTCCACAGAAGTGGAATCCCAGGCTTTACTGGCAATAGTAAAAAAAAAATCTATTTAGACTTAATACTTGAAATTTCTTGTGGCTTATTCTGAGTTCCTTTCTGTTTCCTATTGCCACAAATAGCACTTTTATTAAATGGTATTTTCCTGTGTTCCATGAAATTATTAGCATTAAATTCACTCCACAGCTGTGTCTTTCACTGTGTTTTAAATACATTTAAAATCACATTTTTTTTACAGTGTCTGGGTTTTATTCATGGCCTTCAGATGTTCTGATTTCTTGATCACATGTTCTACAATTTAATTGAATGCCCGTATGGAATTTCAGACTACTTTCTTACATTTGCCCTCTGGGTCTTTCACTGAAATGCGGAGATGCTTATTCAGTTTTTAGTAGTTAACCATCACTTGTCAAAACAGATCTTATTTCTTAAAAGCCATAATTTTATTATCATTTATTTTACCTTTTGAGCCTACAGTTAGCAAATATATTTGAGTCAAGAGCAGTGGTTCTCAACGAGGGGTGATTTTGCCTTCCAGGGGATATTTGACAATGTTTGGCAACATTTTTAGTTGACACACTGTGGGGTGAGAGTTGCTACTGGCATTTAGAAGGTAGAGGCCAAGGGTGCTGCTAAACATCCTACAGTGCACAGGGCAGCCCCCCAGAACAAAGAATTATGTGACCAAAATGGTAATAGTGCCGAGGTTGAGAAACCTCAGTGTGGAGTCTGGTGGAAGATGTAGATGGAAAACATAGCAGGCAGGCAGGAGTGGTTTACGGAGACCCTCCTCTGTGTTAGTTATCTTTCCTCTACAAGTTTACGAAGCATTATTTTTGATGCATCAACAGGATAACGATGATGATGACTGAGAAGCACTTGTAAGGTCCCAAGGAGCCATCTGGTGACCAGGGAAAATGTTCAGTAGGGATTTAGGGTTGAATATATTATATTTGCACTCTTTGCTACAGATGGCAATTTTCAAATAACCACGTTATTATGATCCCATTTCCAAGAATGGGAGTTGAATAAGTTGTAATCGCCTCTAATGACACATTGATGCTATGCAGACTTGCAAGAGAGCAGAGTGAGAGGATTGCAGTCACCTTTCATGCTTGGGGTGGTCCTCAGGAAGTGAAGCTGAAGGAGCAGGCAAGGTTTTGACAATGATTGTTTGACGGTTTTAAGGTCATTTAAAAAAATGTTCCCCCGTAGGCTTTTTATAATGAATGGTAAACTCAGTTCTGGAATCTTTGAAGGTTTGTCCATGACTGTTCTAGCAGTCCCCAAAATGGGTTCCAAAGAATGCAAATTTTACTGGCCATCAAAGGTTTCACTATAGAATGATTGGGAAATACAGATATCTTTAGTATAGGCCTTTCATAATCTTTAATATGTTAACATGAATTTTAAAGCTTCAAGAAGAAAAAAAGATATGCAGCAGTTTATTAGTTTTGCATTGCTATAAAGGACTATCAGGCTGGGTAATTTATAAAGAAAAGAGGTTTATTTTGACTCATGGTTCTGCAGTCTGTACAAGAAGGTTAGGGCCAGCATATGCTTCTGGTGAGGCCTCAGGAAGCTTACAATCATGGCAGAAGGTGAAGGGAAGCAGATATGTCACACGGTGAGAGACAGCAAGAGATGCCAGGCTTTTAAACAGCCAGCTCCCACGTGAACGAATAGAGTGAGAACTCACTCATTACCATGGGAGAGGGCACAAAGCCATTCATGAGGGATCCTCCCCCATGACCCAAACACCTCTGTCAGGCTCCACCTCCAACATTGGGGATCACATTTCAACATGAGCTTCGGGGGGGACATGCAGCCAAACTATATCAAGCAATATTTCTAATATTTATTTGATTGTGAAATCTTTTTTTTTCTTTACTAAATCTCTTTAAACTGCAGTTCTGGGAAAAACAATTTGTGATATTTCTGGTTATCCCGTAGGTCACATCATGATACTTGGGAACAGGGTGATATATTGTATTCTTATGTAAAGTGCCAAATTTTAATTTGCTAGTATTAATATTATGTGTGTGAGTTTACATAATTCGTATTCAAATTAAGACCAATCTTTTGTAAACTTGCTTACTGACCTTGGTGGGAGATGAGAGATGAGGTAGGTGCCCATAAACCTCTTGACTCTTTAATTCTTGACCAAAACCTTTCTGTTAATGCTGAAGGTAAACTTGGGAGATGTTTTCATGAGTTACTAAAACTATACATGTGGAAAATGACACGCTTCTGTATTTCTAGGCGACTGATAACGTTCAATGAAGCGGACGAAAGTGTGAACTATAAGACTGGTCCTAAGCCAGTTAGATTTTTGGGCCCTTCCACAAGTACCCAAATTAAAGTCAAGAACTCGGCCTCAGTCACGGTGTCTCCAGCCAGTGCCATCCAGACGTCGGCTGGGGCGACAGCAAACCGGTTTCAAAGTGGTAGCCGCAGAAAGGCAGCTCAGCGCTCTGCACCTTCCAGAGCCACGGCCCTGGTGGGCACGGGGGCACCTGGGCATCCTCAGGCTTCCCCTGGGGCTGCGAGCGCTGAAAATGGAGGCACGCACTTACCTCCAGCTAAGGTGCTACTCTCCGACAAGAAGCCTACACCCCAGCGGGTGATAAAGCTGAAGAGGACTCCGCTGTGCGCCACCGCGCCTTGCCTGCCCTCCCCCACGGCCACGAGGCAGGCCAACTCCCTCAAGCCGCTTCCCGGCGAAGCTGCCCGTGCCTTGGGAGTGCGGACTGAGAACGGGAAGAACAAGGGAAATTGATGAAAGTGGTGGACTTGAAATTTCCCGTTCATCTCCCAAAGCTTTCAACCCATTCGACGCAAAGAAGTGACACTTTCTTAATGCAGCAGAGGGGAAGCTTAGGTTTATGTTGAGGATTCTGTTCCTGGAATTGTGTGAGCTAGGAATGGAGGAGGGGAGACTTTCAATGGTTAAGGCTCCATTTCTCATTTTCCCAACTTTTATATGATTGTCTATGGGCAGTTTGAATTTCTGGTTTTCAATTTATTTTTTAATGATTAATTCGTATTAAGGCAACAAGACAGTACAACAAATAATCTCTAGAGAGGTCCACTTTGTTGCTGAAGTAAACGTTACTTGTTGCAACCCGAGGATGGGCATGAGGTTTGGCCTTAGGTATTCCTGTCTGGGAAAATGGAGGGGGTGATATTAGTGGTTCCCTGTACTATATCACAGCCAAGAGAGATTAGAGAGAGAAAATGTAGATCAAGGCGAGCTGCCTACAAATTACTCTGTCTCCAAAGGCAACGTGAAAAGAAATGATGGGGAGGAAAAAACCCCATAGATTGAATTAGCACTTTGACTCTCACTTAATTCAACGATTTTCTTTCCTAGATTGGCTTTTCTTACTCTTTTCTGTTAGTAGATTTATTTATAAACACCACAAGAAGATCTCTTGGGATCAGAATTATATAATATCTTTGAAGTAAATTATTAAAATATCCTATTTAATTTGAATAGTGAAGTTTTGAAAATACTTTGAAAAAGAGAAGTAAAAGTTTAACTTTTTAACTAAAGTTAGTATTTGTTTTTCAGAAATGACCACTGAAGATTCATTCTGATTATACAATATGATTTTTATGCATAAAATTTCCATGTAACTTGAATTTAATATTTTTAAACAGAATATTTTGACTAATCCTCTATTTTTTCATGACTATTCAGTTGTGTGTGTTTATTCGTAAATGTTATGTTTTGTAATTGGATCACATATTTCTACTTTCAGTGAGAGTATGCCTTCACTATGTTAAAAAATAAGCTCATAAAACAGGGTACTTTTTATTCAAATGCTTATCATTGTACTTTCATTGCTTTGAAAGAGTAAAGTAAGTATACTCAAAACATTACGTTTTACAAAATCAAATAAAACTTTTCCATAAAAAGTGGTATTTTCTGTGTCTGTACTTTTTAAAGCCGTGGAGCCCTGTAGTAGTTTGAAAACTTATTAGTTTATTTAGGTTATCCATTTTCACTTACAAAATTGCTTTCTTGTGCAGATAAAGTATGAAATAATTAAATCAATTTTGGATAACTATCCATCTACTAGGAACTTTTTAGATAGGCTGCTTACTTTGCTAGAAAAAGTGATTATTTAATTGAAGATCCATGATGACTGTCCTGTGGAATATATAAAATATTCAGTTACTTTTGAAAATGCCATTATAGAGAATCCAGGCATTGTGGAAATCAAAGACCATAGTGAATTTTCAGAACTACCAATGTGGACATTATTAGTATTGCTTGATTTAGGACATTTTGAGTTGCTGGACAGGAAACATGTTGACAATTAATCATGGGTGATTCCGTTGACATCCTCCATTTCTTTGCATCAAGTAGTTTAAGGGAAATCCATTTAGCACACTTAGTCTTTGTAAGAGGAGTGACTTTGGATAACTACTGAAGGCCGGGGCAGCTGCGATAGGGAAGGGGAAGATGCACCCTTATGGATATCAGGAGTCAAAGTCAAATTCAGCATGCTCGAGTAACATAAACATTACTTGGGTGTGGTTCCCTGGGGGCTAGCTTCACTTTACATGGAAAAACATTTTTCTTAATACCAGACTGTGCAAACCCTAAAAGAGTTGGTAATTCATCATAACCCATTGGTCTTCCTGGAAGAAAAAAAATGAAAGCTTTATAAATAGTGATTTGAGAAGTAGGTTTATACAGTTGGATCAGGAGACATTTAGAAATACTTAATGATAAGTAGGATATTTAAGTATTGTTCGTATATTTAAAAAAAGTTTAGTGACTATACCCTTTCACATAATCTGTGTTGAAAACAGGTTTGCCCTGATTAAAACTGGTTAGTTGTTTCATGGATAGCCTAAGGCTGGCAGTGGAGACCTAATGAAGGATTTGTTTTGTTAATAATGCCTTATGTTAGAATTTAGGAAGTATTTTCACATATGTGATTTCATTGCTTTTTATATTTCTTTCAAATTTTTCAAATTTTTAATTTTTGTAGTGATAGGTTCTTGCTCTGTCGCCCAGGCTAGAATGCAGTGGCACGATCTTGGATTACTGCAGCCTCCAACTCCTGGGCTCAAGCAATCCTCCTGCCTCAGCCTCCGGAGTAACTTGCTGGGACTACAGGCATGCACTCCATACCCGGCTAATTAAAAAAATTTTTTTTGTAAAGATGAGGTCTCACTATGTTGCCCAGGGTGGTCTCAAACTCCTGGCTTCAAGCCATCCTCCCACCTTGGTCTCCCAAAGTGTTGAGATTAAAGACAAAGAAAATGAGTTTCAGAAAAGTTAAGGCTACACAATAGGGAATGTACACATTTTAGCCCCATTATCTGATTTCTGCAGAACCACACAGCATCACTGAAAAGCTAGAGGGAGGAAGTAAATGTAAGTGTGAATTTCCTCAATATTTGAAGTTTTTGAGCAGGAAAATATTAGATTATGTGTCTCCTACTAAACAGGGACTGTTGTTTCTGTCCCTCTAGAGTCTGGTACACAGCAGGCCTTTAATAAATTTCTGAACAGTTGAGGGCCACCTCCTGTCTCCAAATTATTTTAGAAAATGTATCTGATAGCAATATTCAGAGGGTATGGAAACTGCTTTTTGATCTTGCAGAGTTTATACTGTCAGGGGAACAAAGGAGGTGCTTTTGAAAGTTCCTTGATACAGTGAATATTGCTGATGACCACAATTACTATTGGTAATGACCATAACAGTTACATAACTTGTCGAGTTGTTTGAAGTAATTTAGAAATATGTATCACCAGATCCCAGAGAGGTCCGTGGCTGATGCTTCCTGACTTTCCAGAGAGGAAGGCAGAGGTCTGGCCTCCCTGCTCCTAATTCAGTACATCTCCTGTGCTGATGTAAGTTCTTTTTCATTCACAGACTGAATCCCATTGCTTCCTTAGCAAGTGCTAACATTAAAAAAAAAATTGTCGATTCACTTTCCAGTCCATGGTTAAATACAGTATAATGACTGACCAGCTGTATCTTGACTTTTACAGCAGGAATTAACATATAAGCGTGTTTGGCTATACCTGAGAAATTGTTCATAGAAAACCTTTGATTTAAACACATTTTGAATGTGCACAAGGCCTGTGGTGGCAAGTTGTTCGGTAAAGGGAAGAATGCTGACATTTATATGAGTATGAGATCATCTTAGATAGGATTATCTTACATCTGCAGGCCCTTTAATAGCTTTGATCTGTATTTGGTAGGATGTTGGTTGGAGACTAAATAGAAAGTATGAACTTGGTAAAACATAGGGAAAGAGCTTCTATTATAGCAAATGAAAAGTATTTTCAAATGACTTACATGTGTGTATTTGAAAGTAACCAGGAACTTTTTAATTATGAAAAATTCTGTCTTTTCCATATGCTGAAACTCTTCCTTGAAAACTATCAACAAGTTGCTGATTCCCCAGTCAGGAAACAGTGAGTGGATGAGTGGTTCTTTGTTGAGGGCAGCAGTTAGTATGCAGGGTTTCGAGCGTGTAGGACCCAAAAAAAGAAACATCATAAATAGCTAACAGGAAAAAAAAAAATTGCTTTCCAGCTCTTTCCGGAATTTCATATTTCAATTTGATTGGTGGTGCAGTCTCAAAGCGACCATTTTCACTTATATTCTTGTCAGCCTCATAAGAGATACGTGGTTTACATTGTTAGAGAAAAGCTAATTTTTCTTTGTTCACATGTGTTGCCTCAGACAGCCCATCCATGTTTTATATTTGCTAGCTAAATGGCTTCTGATGTAGGCTGTGGCTAAGACAGATAGAATTTTACGCTAACTGTCAGTCAGTATTCTGCCCTGCTTGTTTATTTAGCAGCTTTTCATTTTATCATGTTGTTTCTCATGCTTTTCGTTTGCTTCTTCCACCCTAAAACCCTCATTGCCTTAGTAAAATTCTGCTGAGCTCCAGGTATGAAATGGGGGGCCTGGGGCTTAGAAGAGAAACTTGTTTCAAACAGACAGCATGTTTGAATGTTGTTTCAAACAAACATCATTAGAATATTTGCTAATGATGGGAAAAGGCAAACTGCCTTCTGCCAAGATTTCTTAAAATTTTGAATAGTTTTGTTTCAATAGCAGCTCTTTCAAGAATCTATTCTCTAATTTCTTGATGTGGAAGACCTGGGGATTCAGTTTCTATGTATGTGACACTAGTAGTCCAGGGACATCAGAAATTGTACATTTAGACCCAGCTAATCTACCAAAAATTTGTATTTTTAGTAGAGACAGGTTTCGCCATGCTGGCCAGGCTGATCTTGAACTCCTGACCTCAGGTGATCCACCCACCTCGTCCTCCCAAAGTTCAGACAGTCTGGAGTTGGTCACCGAGGCTGAACCAGCCAAGAACCCAGCATAGCTGGAGGAATCAGGGAAACATGTCCTGGCTCATCTACTCAACTTTTGTCCCCTTTCTCCAAACCCCTGAACCCTCTAGATCAGGGTTTCTCAACAGTGGCTTTATCGACATTTTAGACCAAATAATTCTTTATTGTTAGGATTATACTGTGCATTACAAGATGTTGAGCAGCATCCCTGGCTAGCACTCCTGCCCCAGTCGTGACAATCAGAAATATCTCCAGACCCATCCAAATGTCCCCTGGGGTCAGGGGGTGCATCGATTATCTCCAGTTGAGAACCATTGCTCTAACTGGGTGACTTAACTTGAGCAGATTAACTGCCTCTCCTAACTGGGGGCTGTGGATCAGTAAGAAAACATTGCAGCTGTCAATCACAGGCAGGAGTAGAGCCATGGGAATTGAGGGGGAGGGTGATTCAGAAGGAAGGATGTCTCAGGCCTGCTGATTTAAAAAACCCATCCTTTAAGCTCCCAGTTACATTTCTGGTTTTGGCATAAAATTTGAAATATTTTCGTTTGCTGTTCTGACCAAGCAACTACCTAATAAAAGCTAATATGTGCTCTTCTAATTGTTTATAAACTTATTTAATACACTAACCCTATGACGCAGGTCGGTATTATTATCATCCCCATTTTACAGATGGAGAAACTGAAGCACAGAGGGGTTAGATGAGCTGCCTAACTGCTAGCAGAAGGCAAAGCTAGGATTCACATCCATGTCATCTTACTCCAGAGTCCAGGCCCCTAAGCACAACGCTAGGTCTGCTCTTATAGGAGCTTGTTACTCCCATTCCCAGAGATGAGCTAGATAGGATTAAAGTCTTCTGTATGCTGCATAGCTATTTATTCTATGGATCAAACACTTTTTTTTTTTTGAGACAGTCTCACTCTGTCGCCCAGGCTGGAGTGCAGTGGCGCAATCTTGGCTCACTGCAACCTCCGCCTCATGGGTTCAAGCGATTCTCCTGCCTCAGCCTCCCAAGTAGCTGGGATCACTGGGGCCCGCCACCACACCCAGCTAATTTTTGTATTTTTAGTAGAGACAGGTTTCGCCATGCTGGCCAGGCTGATCTTGAACTCCTGACCTCAGGTGATCCACCCACCTCGTCCTCCCAAAGTGCTGGGATTACAGGCATGAGCCACCATACCTGGCCTGATCAAATATTCTTATAGCACTTACTAAGGATGTGTTGTTTATCAATTCATTGCCTCTTGCTTCCAAATCCACTCTTTATTGTGCTGCTTGTGATACTAGAGCTGGACCCTGCAAACACTTCTCTCTCACCAGCTGGCATGATGTTAAGCTTTGTCACTGGTGGGACACTGCAGAAGGGCCCTTTTCTTCCAGGTTCAGGGTGCATCCCGGGTCTTGCTGCTGCAGTGCTTGGTCCCAGTGTGGAATATCCAGTGGCTTTCACCCTCAGCAAGCACTGCCTTGTGCAGCTTCCTGTTGGGTGGGTCTCCCTGCTGGCTCCACAGACAATTCAACAACACCCCTGTGTGTGGTTTCCAGGTGAGTTTTGCTGGTGTTCCAGCTGGAGTCCCAGCAGGTTTAATGGCATCCCTGCAGGTGTATTCCTGGTGAATCTGAGTGGCTTCCAGCTTGCCAGCCCCAGCTTGCAACACCTCAGCGAGCTGCTCCGCCCTCCAGTGGCCACAGCTGCACCCTCTCCAACAAGGCCGAATGTCAGCCTTGAGGGTGGGGCAAGCTCTTTCAAGCTTATTCCTTTCTTGGGTACTCTGTCTCACCTCTAGTAGTGACTAGTCCCTGTATCAGCTATTCCTGTTGTCTTCAGAGTTCTTACCCTTTAGTAGCTAATCTCCCGTTACTAGTTATTTCTGTCGATCTATCTTCCCCATATACATTGATAAAGCTTCCCCGGCAAATTACTCTGTGGTTACTGTCTCCTGCCTGGAATCTATATAAAGTGCCAGGCATTATTCCAAATGCTTTGCAAATATTAACTATTCAATCCTCGTAACAACTCTGTGAAGTAGCTCCAGTTACCTGCCCCATTCACCCATGGAGAAAACCAAGGTAAGGAGATGTTGAGAAATGTACCCTGGTTTACACAGACAGGAGGTGGTGGAGCTAGCGCTTGAATCCAGACAGGTGGCTTTGAGGGTGGGTTACTTCAGCTGCTCTGCTCTCTCCTCCTATTTTCTCTAGGATTGTTTTACTGGGTTACTTTGCACAAGTCATTTAGACTCCAGAATTTTCTGGAGATATTGGAGTTGGTCACCTATTCATATCTTCTCTCTCTTTCAATCAGTGTTCATCAAGTGCCTACTATACGTCAGGTGTTGGCAGAGGAGTAATGATGTTATTGGCTGACTTGTTACACAATGATGGTAATTTACAGAAGGTGGGTTCTTTCAAAGGACTAGGAACAATTAAATCAAATTCAAATCTAAGTATCTGAAGTTAAAAACAGGACAGCTGGGCGTGGTGGTTCAAGCCTGTAATCCCAGCACTTTGGGAGGCCAAGGTGGGCAGATTGCCTGAGCTCAGCAGTTCAAGACCAGCCTGGACACCATGGCGAAACCCCATCTCTACTGAAAATACAAAAATTAGTCAGGTGCGGTGGTATGCATCTCTAGTCCCGGCTACTTGGGAGGCTGAGGCTGGAGAATCGCTTGAGCCCAGGAGCTGGAGGCTGCAGTGAGCTGTGATTGCACCACTGCACTCCAGCCTGGGTTACAGAATAAAATCCTATCTCACACACACACACACAAAAAAAAAAAAAAGAAAAAAAAAAGGATACTTTTTTTTTTTTTTGACAGGGAGCACTTTTTACACTGCTATTTTCTGTAGAAGTTCTTTGGCCATTGTCACAGTCATGCTTCTGAACCATTTTTTTTTTTTTTTTTTTTTTTTTGCCAGAAGTCTACATAATTTCTCAGACAAATTTGCTTTGGAATATACTCATTATTCTGCAAAAGTTGTTTGTGGCAATTCTTCCTATGAAACTGGAACTTAGTGGCAGCCCCAGAAGCTCCTCTGAGCTGTGGGAAAAAACAGAGTTCTCAGACAAAGGGACTTCTGATAATTAATCATTAATGTGTAAGAACCTTGAATGATGAGAGCAGCATTGTGTATTTCTCAGATAGACTAGATTCAGACCAGAGTGCCTTTGCCTGCAGGGCTGCTATAATGAGATTAAACACTGGCTTGGCCAGCTGAGCAGCCTCCCAGGACTGGGGACCTGGTTCTTTGAAACTAAGAATAAACACAAAACTTTGTTAGAATTTATTAAAGAAGCAAAAAGATTTTAAAATCCTTATAATGGATTGTAAAGAATAGTATTTAAATTACATTTCAAATTCTTAGCTAAGTAACAAGAGAATCACTGGGACTTTGCAACTCTTCATAATTTTCTCACAAAATCAGAGCAATTGAGATGGCTCAGTACTTTCAAGGAAATGCTGGAACAATGTATTAGGCGAACTGCTTTTTTTCCTTTTTTTTTGGTCTTTTGCTATTTTATAGTTTGCTTAAGAAACTTAAGAACAAGTGACTGGGGCCGGGCGCAGTGGCTCACCCCTGTAATCCCAGCACTTTGGGAGGCCGAGGGGGGTGGATCACGAGGTCAGGAGATCAAAACCATCCTGGCTAACACGGTGAAACCCTGTATCTACTAAAAATACAAAAAATTAGCCAGGTGTGGTGGCGGGTGCCTGTAGTCCCAGCTACTCGGGAGGCTGAGGCAGGAGAATGGCGTGAACCCGGGAGGCGGAGCTTGCAGTGAGCCGAGACCGCGCCACTGCACTCCAGCCTGGGCGACAGAGCGAGACTCCATCTCAAAAAACGCGTACAGCAAAAAAGGGTGCCGTTACATAGGTCATTGGATGCTATCACTGGAATGTCTGTTGAGAAATAAACGTTTTACCATCTGTAGACACATGAGGGCGCTTTAAGCAGGCAGCGTGGGATGCAGCGTGCAAAGGGAGGGAGGGAGGAAGAAAGCTTTGTCAAAGGTAGCCTGAAATTCAGGCATCTCCCTATCTGGTTGCGGACCTGTGCCTGCGTCGGGGTGGGGAGCACCGAATCGATTTAGGAAAAGAACTGCGCAGGCCCTTGATCCCCACTTCTCATGGTGAAATCAAGTTTGAGGTTCAAATCAAGGCTTTCAGAGAGTCAGAATTTCCAAATCTGTTACTTTGTCAAAAAACTGCTTTTAATCTGGTAACGTTTCCCATTAACCTCATTTGATGTCCTTCCCTAAGAATGTTTAATTAGAATCTCCTTTTCTGATGCCAGCAGAATTGAACTGCTTGTGAACTGAGCTTTAAATTGGACATGTTGTGTTTCTAGTCCTCCACTGAGGGTGAATTTTGCAGCAATTTGCGTTTAACTTTCTGTGTCTTGCTGCATTAAGCACTTCTAGAATAGGATCAACAGGACAGAGCTGGAGTATGCAGAGATTCTCAAAAGAAATGTAAATTTGGAATGTAATTGGGAACCCAACAGGGAGGTGTGGATTTCACGGATGAAGTCTTGGTGGAAGATCTAAGTGCCACAATGTGAGTTTGAAGTTATTCCATCTTCATAAGGATTAAACTATTTTAACCTCTACTAGGCAAATGTTTAAGAGAATAATCTGACTACTGTGCATTAAGTAGAGAGATTAGAGTTTAAAACACTTTAAATGAATGGCAGAATAGGACTCAGTTCTCTAGGATCACACCAATAGTTCCACCAGACAGATGAAGATATGTAATACAGTGTTTAAGCGGCCTGACATTGGCACTAAAATATTGAAATTACTGTTTCAAAAATGCAAACTAATAAATGCTTACATGCCCAGGGTCTATAAGAAAGGCAAAAACCAGCCAGGCGAGGTGGCTCATGCCTGTAATTCTAACACTTTGGGAGGCCAAAGCAGGAAGATCACTTGAGCTCCGGAGTTCGAGACCAGTCTGGGCACCATAGTGAGACCTCGTTTCTACTAAAAATTTAAAAAGTAGCTGGGACGTTGTGGTGCACACCTGTAGTCCTCGCAACTTGGGAGGCTGAGGATGGCTTGAGCCCAGGAGTTCAAGGCTATAGTGAGCCATGATCATGCACTCCAGCCTAGGTGATAGAGCAAGACCCTGTCTCAAAAACATGCACTCCAGCCTAGGTGATAGAGCAAGACCCTGTCTCAAAAAAAAAAAAAAAAAGGAAAAAATATTGGAAAAAATGTGATCAGGTCTGAGCACTTTTTAGCATTCTTTTGTTTCTTTTCAGTGACATGGGAGTGTTTGCTCTGTGCTCAGGAATGTGTTTGGGCTTTCTTAACCCTAAGGGAGTGAGTCGAGGTCAAGAGTGGTTGGGTTCAACTCTGACAAAGGCAGGTGAACTCCTGACCTGGCAAATTCATTTTTTTCCCTGTTCCAAGAATTACTTGACTCATCTTTAAAGCGGTCACATTTACACTGACATTTTTCAGTGGTGAGCAAAATCTTGCTACATAAAAAACTGTGCAAAATCCTTCCGTCTTGTAATATATGAATTCAGGGCCTCAGATGGGGTAAACAGGGCCTACAGTGCCGAACATTTATCTTTCTTATTTGAACGAACAACTCTTCCTTCCTTCCTGGAATGTGACTTAACGTTAAGAATTTCTATTAAATCTCTGGGTACACCCAGAGACCTCAGAAAGCTCTCTACAGAGAGAGCAAACATCCTCCTGTACTTGGCAAAAGAAGAAACAGATGCTTGCGTGGCTTGCAGGCTCAGCTGCTCAGGGCCGCTCTGTGGAAGAGAACCAGTGAACCTGGGTTGCCAGAAAAAATGTTAATGTTGAGTTGAGAATAAGCATTTGCACTTGTGAGTAGTCAACAGATATGTAGGACATGTGAGTGCAACGGAAGCGGCACCCAAACTGGACTGCCCTGTAGTCAAAGTTAGGGGAACTGGGGCTATTTTGGGTTTGGGCCATTGGGTATCCATTTTCCCTTTCTGAGAAGTACCCCTTCTCCATCTAGCTCAGGAACTCTGGGAAGATGGCCACACCCAGGCTCCAGGGGTGGGCTCTAATTAGTCTATGCAAATTAGTTCATCCCATTCACTTCTCTCCCCCCTTTCATGATTGGTTTAAGAGACAGGCCTACCAGCAATGGTATGCAAGACCTTTGCTGGGATTTCTGAGAAAGACACTTGCTCTGTGTAGAAGCTACTAGGATAACTTCTCTCCTCTGGACAGTGTGGAAAATAGACTTGAGTCTTAAGAGCATGGTGGCCCTTTGCCACAATTCTGAATGCAATGTCAACCCAAGGAGGAAAGGAGAGCTAAGATAATTAAGAGATGGGAGCTGGCCGGGTACGGTGGCTCATGCCTGTAATTCCGGCAGTTTCGGAGGCCA
The DNA here is from genome assembly GCF_000001405.40 of Homo sapiens. Classification (NCBI taxonomy): domain Eukaryota; kingdom Metazoa; phylum Chordata; class Mammalia; order Primates; family Hominidae; genus Homo; species Homo sapiens. The sequence continues at coordinate 200,479,153 of NC_000002.12, read as the reverse complement.
AAGCAGGTGGATCACCTGAGGTCAGGGGTTTGAGACCAGCCTGGACAACATGGTGAAATCCTGTCTGTACTAATAATATAAAAATTAGCAGGGCGTGGTGGCACATGCCTGTAATCCCAGCTACTCGGAAGGCCGGGCAGGAGAATGGCTTGAACCCAGGAGGCGGAGGTTGCAGTGAGCCGAGATCATGCCATTGCACTCCACCTGGGTGACAAAGCAAGACTGTCTCAAAAAAAGAAAAAGAAAAAAGAAAAAAAAAAAAGAGATGGGAGCTGAAATCCTGATCAAATTGGACCAACTGGACTTTTCACTCACTGAACCAATAAATTCTTATTGTTGAAGCTAGGCTCAGCTGAGGTTTGTAGTACTTGCAACCAATGTTTCCAACTGCCCAACTGCCACATGGTGTGTCTAAGATGATCAGGGTGCATATCCATCTATTTGTGTAATCTAATTGAAAGGGCATATATATATTTTCCTGAAAGAGTACTTGTCTCAACAGAAACAGTATTTATTGTACACAGCTTTGCACCACAACCTCTAGTCTCTAAAGTTTTTTTTGAAAGCACTAAACAGTACATTCAATAACTAGGTGGGTATCAATAAAAGAAACTAGCCAGGTGTCAAATGCAGCATATTTTAATTTGTTTCAAATAAAGCAATATATGTATATATATTTTTTCAGAAAAACACCAGATGTTAAATTCTACAAAAGCGCATGTGTCCTCAGCAGATCATGTTTGTCTGATTATTAAGAATTCTTTTTTGTAACATTAACTCTCTAAAGACAATCAATGGACTGACATCACTGCTACAACACAGGTTGCTAACTGAGCCTCTGATCTTCAGCCACATCTTGATTTTCCTAATAATGAGTAAATACTGCCTGGCTAAAATGCTGCAAAGTCTTGATGAGAGAAAGCATCAACAGATCAAGCAAAGCCATGAAAATTATGAAGCAAGCTAGAGCTGATTATTAGAATTAGTAAAAATGATTAAGAGAGGATGACACAACCATACGGGATTTGTATATTCTGATTGACACTCTTTTGGCAGCGAATTGGGTCAGCACCTCGGGCAGGGAACCAAAACTGAGTGAAAACTGCTCTTTTTCCTCCTAGCTCAGGCCACCAACGTCACAGCCGGGACTGAGAGAACTGCTGCATCTGTGGAAACTTCTATTCTCGTGGGGCAGAGATTGCACTGTGAAACCCTACCGACACTACCCCGGAAGGGCCTGGCCTCCGAGGTGTCTGCAGCGTGCTGCCTTCGCCGGGGCTTTTCAGAATGGGCCGGGGCCTCGGGGGTCTTCATCCCCAAGGAAGCCTCTTGATTTTTGGCACCGCCTTTGTTTTTGGGCCGGAAGCCGTTGTGCGGCTGTCTTCTGTGTTCGTGGCGGCTGTTGCCCTTTCCCAGTGGCTCGGCTTCATTCCCACTGCCCTGCGACTTGGCAGGCCCATTTAGCCTGTTGTTATGATACTGTGGATTAAATCTCCGTCTTTGGTTAGAAGATCCATTCTACCAAAAAAGAAAAGAGATAAGTATCAGATGCCAGCAAGCCACTGATGACACCAGTAGACATCAGGAAAACCAAATCTCTAAGCCACAGGTAAGCTTTTTTTTTTTTTTTTTTTTTTTATACACCAGAAGAATCAGAAAACATGAAGATGAGGTCAGGCAGATAAAATTATTAATCCTAAAAGAATAGTGGACTGTTTTGTAAATGGAACTGGAAGAAAATGATATTGAAAGAGAGGTTACAGAAGTGTAAGACAGACAATTCAAAAACTGGGTCAAATAAAATTCATAAAGATGCTTAAACTATAGCAGAATAAAACAGAAGCCAGGGGCAGAGTAATGATGATCCTCTACTATGGAGATTTCTGAGACATTCTGTAGAGACTGAGAGGGACAGGAGGCACAGAAATTGTACACAGAAAAAGGGCAGGGTCCCTGGCCAAGACCCACTCTCAAGCCCAAAGTGAGAACTTTACATTCCTGTTTTCCTGCTCAAATATTGCCTTTTCCAAAACCACCCCTGGCCTACCCCACCCCGTATCCTGTACCCATAAAAATCCCAGGCTCCACTGGCACAGAGCAGAGAAGAGGAGAAGCAGCTGCACGTCGGAGACTGCAGTCTGAGTCGGAGAGCAGCAGCTTGACTTTAGCGGGACTGCTTGATGGCAGTACTTCAGGGGAAGAATACGTTCCCACTCCATCCCCATTTTCCAGCTCTCTCCCTCCTGCTGAGAGCCACTTTCAATGGCAATAAAATCCCCCGCGTTTACTATCCTTCAATTTGTTCATATGACCTGATTTTTCATGGATGCTGGACAAGAGCTCAGGATACAGAAAAGTGTCACATTGACCCTCTGCCTTCATGAAAAAGTAGAAGGTCTATTGAGCTGTTAAATACTTAAGCCGTCCTTGGACTGCAAAGCTAAAAGAGCATTGTAACGCATGCCCTCTGGGGCTCCAGGGGTCATGGGTACTACCCTAGGCACTGCTGTGGGACTGCATGGAGTTTTGATCCTGCCGGTGGCCAAAAGTGCTTGCTCTAGCTCCTGCACCTGCTCACCTGCATGCTCTCCCTCCCCCGAGGGGTTCAGAGCTTCAGGCTGAGAAAGTGAGGCACCCCTGTTGCAAGGCCTGTGAAGGGGTCAAGGAAAATTTCCTGTTCAAAACCATGCATAGGAATTCTAATTACGTAAGTGAAGAAAAAGTAAAATTCTGTAACTTTTCTTCTCTAAAGTAGCTTTTCTAATTTATTCCAAAACAAATATCTTTATAGTTCAGAAATATTATCTTGGACAAATATAGGGGTGAAGTGTATCTGGCAGGTCTTGGTGGCATGCAGAAATAAGGTGTATTTTCACAGAGGTAATTCATTGTTTTTCTAAACTTTCTGCAGTTATAAGCAAAGAAAATTTGAAGCCTCTATTAAAAAATCATTCCTTCAACACATCACTGACCAGGAACGTAAATGGATGAGCAGTAAGGACGCAATGGATTAAGCTCCTTTACAAGGGAAAGATTTCTGAACTCCTCAAGGTCAGTAATAGCCAACACTCATTGAGTGCTTACCATGCACTGAATGGGGTTTCTCACCATGCACTACCTCATTTAACATCAGAATCACCCTTTAAGTTAGTTGCTATTATGTGCTTCGTTTTATAGATGAGGATAAGGAGTTTCAGGGACTTGCCCAAGGTCTATCTACAGTTGGGAAATGGTGGAGCTATTCCCGCTTTATATACTATCTCCTGACAAGACTCTTAAGTTGTAACATAAACATAAACCTTTTTTGAAAATCAAACCTCTTAAGAAAACATGAAATTTTATGAGTTACAAATATATAAGGTTCTTCATTTGTGCACTGTGACTGGATGGTATAGGTTTAGGGCAGACCAACCCCCAATAATTCAGAGCCTAGAGCAAGAGTACAAATGTAGGTCCATACATCTGTTAAAGGAAAATAAATCTTGGGGCCCCCAAATCACTAAGCTGAAGGGAAAAGTCAAGCTGGGAACTGCTTAGGGCAAACCTGGCTCCCATTCTATTCAAAGTCACCCCTCTGCTCACTGAGATAAATGCATATCTGACTGTCTCATTTGGAGAGGCTAATCAGAAACTCAAAAGAATACAACCATCTGTCTTTTATCTGCCTAAGACCTGGAAGCCCCCTCCTCGCTCCCAGTTGTCCGCCTTTGCCTCCAGTAGTCCCACCTTTCTGGACTGAACTGATATTCACCTTACACAAATGGATTGATGTCTCATGTCTCCCTAAAATGTACAAAACCAAGCTGTGCCCCACCACCTTGGGCACATGTCATCAGACCTTCTGAGGCTGTGTCACGGGTGCACGTCCTCAACCTTGGCAAAATAAACTTTCTAAGTTATCTGAGACCTGTCTCAGATTTTTGGGGTTCACACACCATATGTCTGAATACTGTCTTTTCCTATCTCTGGCTCCATCCCACATTGTAAGGGGCCTTGCACACACAAATGTGGACATTCCAGCCTGCACACCTAAGCATCGCCTCCACTCCCACCCTTCCAGCGGATGGGTGTGAAAACTGGCAGTGTTGTTCATCTTCAAGATGATGTATACAGGAAAGTGGTCCAGGCAGATCCTGTGAGCAGGCTTGGGCCCACTTGGGAAGAGTAACCCAGGATCTCGAGTACTGACTGGCAGCATGCTTCAGAACAAAGAGTGTAGATTCCAGTGGCCCTGTCTCCTTGGTCTCTCTGATTCCTTACTCTGTAGAGAGGGCCATGGCTGCGGGAGGGTCAAGAAGTTACTTGAAAACACAGGGCCCGGTCCAAGGGCCATTCTTGCCTGGGTCTACAGTGTTCTGACTTAGATATTTGAGTGGATTTCAACTTAAATGAGCCATTACCTAAACTGCTAAACCAGAGAACTGAAGAAGTATCTACATAGATAGTACTTAATCTGGCCTCCTTTGTTTTTAAAGAAATTATGAAAAAGGGAAACTCTTAGACTAAATTTTAGACTTAATTATCAGCATGGTATTTAATAATGAACAGAGAGGCCAGGCATGGTGGCTCATGCCTGTAATCTCAGCACTTTGGGAGGCTGAAGCAGGTGGATCGCTTGAGCCCAGGAATTTGACAGCAACATGACAAAACCCCATCTCTACAAAAATTATACAAAAAAATTTAGTCAGGCGTGGTGGCACGTGCCTGTAGTCCCAGCTACCCTGCAGGCTGAGCCTGGTGGATTGTTTGAGCCCAGGAGGTTGAGGCTGCAGTGGGCCGAGATTGTGCCAAAAAAAAGAAAAAAAAAAGAACAAAAACTGTGAAGATATATTTAGACTACAAGTAAAAACAGATTTGATTATGATCTTTAACTAATGAGATTATAACATGCTCCTTGTCAAAGTGCTATCTTAAAGCTCATGAAGACTTCAGGGCCTGAGAAAACACCTGTCAATATCATTAATAAGAATTCTCAAAGGCTGAGACAGCAAAACCCAACAAGACACCTGTTAGAAAACCACCATTTTTAAAGTCTTACAAAAAAAAAAAAGAAAAGACTTTTTCTTGGAGATGATAAAAGGTATCTTAGGTATCTTTATAGCATGCCCAACTTCTATATCATCAGATCCTTTATTTTTATTTTTATTTTTTTTTGAGATGGAGTCTCACTCTGTTGCCCAGGCTGAAGGGCAGTGGTGCGATCTTGGCTCACTGAAACCTCCGCCTCCCGGGTTCAAGCAATTCTCCTGCCTCAGCCTCCCGAGTAACTGGGATTACAGGCACCCGCCACCATGCCTGGCTAAATTTTGTGTTTTTAGTAGAGACAGGGTTTCACCATGTTGGTCAGGCTGGTCTCAAACTCCTGACCTCAAGTGATCTGCCCACCTTGGCCTCCCAAAGTGCTGGGATTATAGGAGTGAGCCATTGCATCCGGCAGATCCCAATTTTTTGTTAATTCTCTAAGGATAAGGGGGAAATCACCTCCAAAAGATATAGTGGAGAAGCAGAAGGAGAGAAGGAAGATGGTTCTTTGGACACTTGTGTCTTTAGACATCATAATAGATAAGAATGAAGAATGCCATTTTGAAATGTATTCTCCTTACTGAAATCCCAAGAGAAGAGAAGACTGCACTAACTTTAGCCTCTTATTGATCAGCTAAACATAAATGGGGATTAAAATATCTTAAAAAACAAATGCCAGATTTCCTCTCATTAGTAGTTTAGTAGGTTCCGAGTCTTGTTCCAGAGTCTCTGTGGGTCCCTTCCACGTGTGGGCTGGTTTCGGGGCCCCAGGGATGGTGGCAGTCCTAGCCATGAGAAGAACTGTGTCACTGGGGTGGACTCTGCTCACGTGGTCAAGAGTGCATGCAGGCCACTTCCTCCACATGGGAAAGCACCTGGCAGGCATGGATGAGAGCGACCAGGGGAGTTCCCAAGAGGCCAGCTGGGCAGTGCTGCTGGGTGGGGAGTGGGTGAGGGCAGGTGGCGGGAGCCTGAGTGTGACCCCAGGAGGCCCAGAATCTAGTAGTTGCTGTTTTCTTCCTCTGGAAACAGGTTTTTTTTTTTTTTTCCTCTGGCACCCTGCACCAGTGTCGGCTTACCTGCTTGTTGGCCGGCATGGTCTGGTGAGAGGGGTCGGCGGTGCTGGGGAGACTGCTCACCATTTTGGGGTTTGCCGCTTTGCCTTCAGAGGGCTTATTGTGAGTGGATGATTTTCGGGAAAAGTTACTCTGTTTCCCAGAGGTTGCTGCGTGCGCATTCAGCAGAGGCAGCAGGGAGCTGCAGGGAGTTCTTGAGGAATAGTTGTTCTTTGGATGTGTAACTGCAATAATAAAGTGCTCAGTGTTACGAGCTGCACCTCCAACACTGCTGCCTCAGTAACCCATTAGGAAGCGCTAGAAGATGAAGAAACTGGCCAGGAGCTCCACAAAAACATTAAAAAGTTTTCTTTTGAAAGATGTTATTTGAAAGGGCATCTTGGTGCTTAAGAGAACAACCAAATTTCTTTTGTGGGAATCACTGAACTGTGATTACAGCATAATCATCCAAGTTGGGAGACATTTGTAGGAAATAAGACATATCTGACCAACTTAAATATTATTCTTTAGGTCAAGAACCACCAAGGGAAAAGAGATAATGAAACCTCAAGGTTCCCTCTCTGGCCCTGTCTGCAAATGTACTCTGCCTCGTAGAGTCCCCATTACCAAACCTGTTCTCACTTCCCTGATCAGTTCCCTGGACCAACTGGTACTGCAGACACAGAAAGATTGGGAGCTATGCGGACACTCTGGCCTGTCAGATCCACGATGTTCTGAGAGCTTGGGAATGGGGTGATGTTGGATGTTAGGAATTCTGTTACTCTGGGTCATGCATATCCCCCAAACACAGGGCCAGGCCCGCCAGCCCCTAAGGCATCTTGTATATTTCATTAGTGCTCCATCATCACACCTTTAATCAGCCCCGTTTTCTGCAGCCTCACTGCAGATGTGCACCACTTCCAAGGTTACAGGCAAGGCAGGCTGATCAGGCGGACACCCGTCAGAGCTCAGGGCTCAGGGCTCAGGGCTCAGGCAGGTCTGCTCAGCGTTTATTATGACCATTCCCCCTGGTTTTGAAAGTGGTGGTTTCTGCTGGGATGATTTCTATGTGATTACACTGAATCAGAACTGGAGGGAATCAATTCAAGGATAAAGCCCTGACTTCCCTCTCACAGTTCACCAGAATCTGACTGCCAGCTAGACCTTTCTTTGAGGCTTAAAACTGTCACCAATTTTTGAAAGCAACTTTGTCTGCTCTCTTTGTTGGATCAGATTTAATCCCAGGGTTCTGCTAGAGGACTAGGCGGGACCAGTAAGAATCACAATACAGGAGAAATGGAAAGGCCAGGGACACATCCCCAGTCCCTTCAGTGTACTGGGAAGGTGTGACAGCAAGCTGGGGCTGTCCAAATGTGACCAGGGGATTTCCGTGGCTCCTATGCTCACCAGATTCAGTTTCATGGGGTCATTATTGTCTGCAGATCAGGGACCACTATTTCCGGTTCAGTACCTGTGGGTTCTCAATGTGCTCTCAACAAAGCTGAGAAGGAAGGGCCTTTGGATGATTACGGTGTCTGTCTTTCAGAATGGACACCTGGAATTTAGTAAGGGACCATTTCTCCCACTAGATGGCACTTGAAGTGCTCAGGAGGAAAGGAGGTGAAGGGGCACCTCTCCATCGCCCCGAGATCGGTGGTGACAGGGCATCGCTCAGCATCACTGTCTTGCTCATTGAGGGCTGAAGTGGAAAAGAGGGTGGGCAGTTCCCTTTTTTAGAGGTGGGGCAAAAGCTGGGGATAGAGAATGGCAAATAGGTAGATTCTTTCATAAGGAAGAGTACAGGGGGGAACAATAATTTTTAAAAATGCAGTCAGAAAATCAAATAATTGGCAAGGATGTGTGGACAAGGATGCTCGCAGCAGTGTTAATTAATTAATTAATTAATTTTTTGAGATGGAGTCTCGCTCTGTCGCCCAGGCTGGAGTGCAGTGGTGCGATCTCCACTGACTGCAATCTCTGCCTCCCGGGTCCAGGTTCAAGTGATTCTCCTGCCTCAGCCTCCCAAGTAGCTGGGCTTACAGGCACCTGCCACCACGCCCAGCTAATTTTTGCACTTTTAGTAGAGATGGGGGTTTTACCATATTGGCTAGGCTGGCCTCGAACTCCTGGCCTCAGGTGATCAGAGTGTTATTTTAATGGTGAAAAACTGCAAGCAATCTAAATGCAGCAACCAGAAGACCGGTGACATCTATTATATTTAGAGAAATGACTGGTTAAATATATTGATATGAAAAAATGTCTACCATAGATTGTGAAGTGATAAAAGCAAATTGTGTTACTATATATGTATGCAGTGTAGTACAGTATAGTTAATTCTATCATAATAGGAAGTGCAGCCAAATCTTAATTTTTCAGCTGACTGCGAGGCTGTGGGTTTCCACGTCATTGACTAGTCCTTTCCTCCTTGTGGCCGTCCTTAAAGCCGCTTCAGTGCTCATTCCCACCTCCCCTTGTGGGTGGGCTGGTGTAGGGGGAAAATATAGCAGCCAATTTTGTTGCACATTAGCTGCTCTAATTAAGGCTTAATAGGGAACAAGACTAAAGCTAATGGCTGAGTGAAGTCTTTCATTATCTGCAGCCTCACTCAGCACAGAGAACCGAGGGTGGAGGCTCAGGGCACTGCTGAGGGGCTCGCATAACAGCTGGGCCCTGCACAACAATAACTGATTGTTCCCAGACATGTTAGGAAGACTCACTCTCTCTGCCTAACGAGTTTCTGTAGAACCAGGGCTGTTTGAAATCAGAGAAGCAGTTTAACTGGCAGTGCTTAATAAAAGTTTGCAAAAGGTATCAACTAGTTGACCTGTTCTGTTCCACTTAATAAATCCTGGGGAATTACTGATGGGCAGTGGCATTTGAAGACTCTAGGTTCAAATCTCGACATTTCTGGTGACTTGTGTCATGAGCTTAGATCATTAAATCTCTTTAGACCTCACGTTAGCCCCCTGGGGGGACTGCACACCTGACATTTCCAATAGCAACTCCAAATAGCACCAAGGTTACTCACACAGAATTATTCAGCAAATATGCAAAACTCACTTTCTCCGCAGAGCATGATTTGGGCCTTCAGCTGTTCGATGTCACAGGAAAACCGGGCAGCTTTCCCGAGCTCCTCGTCATATTTACGCTCGCTGACAAAGTGCTGGAGGAAAGAGATGAAAAGCAGGAACCCCATGATTACAGAAATGACCAAGGCACCCCCGTGGATGCGTTCACTCTGCTCTTCCGGTGTCCACTGCAGTGCTGACCTGGTGGGGATCTTTCCAGCCCTGTTGCTGGGAGGCTCCACGCTCAGTCTTAGTGCTGACCTGGCTAGGGAATGAGCATCTTCCTGCCTGGGGAATATGTGAGGGGCCTGTGTTTCTCTTGTTTGGGCCTACATGAAATGTGTGTCTGACTCATCTATTTAACCTTTTAGCACCCCTCGCCCTCCTAGTACTTTTCTGAATTGCATTCTGGCAGGGTCTTCTGAGTTTGGCCAAGTGCCTTCTAAGGTATTAACCATCAAGAGAAAACATGTCGTCCTTCCTAGACCCCCATTCCTATTTTAACAGGGAACCGGGACGTCCACAAAGCCTTTAGTGTCTGGAAAATATTATTTTAAATGGCAGAATTTCAAGTGCTGTGAAAAGAAGTGAGAAAGAGATTATTTTTCCATTCATTTAAAATTAAGATCTGTGTGTAGAAGACATGGTGAGAAATACAGAAATAACTGCGACTCAGTCCCTTCTTGAGTTTACCAGGGAGTTTAGCAATGGCAAGGAAAACAGATACCATTAACTACAATACAAGGTGGAATGTGGTTGGTGCTTTAGGAATATAAAAGAGGAAGAAATTATTTCCTACTGAGGGCAATGGGGAAAGAGTTATTTAAGAGGGAACATTGAAAAAATCATTGAACACTTACGAGGCACTGGTCAAATTCTTAGCAGATAATCTCATTTCATCTGATCACAGTATTATGAAGTCAGTATTATTACCTCTGTTTTACAGATGGGGGAATTGGGGTTCTACGAGTCTAAGAGAATGTGTAACTTATCCAAGGTCACAGAAGTAGAAAATTTTGCAGCTGGACTGTTTCACTCCAAAGCCTGTGCTACTAACTATTTTATGATGGGTGGCGTTTTGATAGGCAGAAATGAAACTCGGAAGATGAGGTGATTTCAATAGATCAGGAAGCTAGCAATTTTATATTTCTTACTTGATGTTCTAACAAGCTGGGATTTTTGTAGAGAGAGATGGAAGTTGGAACATATATTGAAGTCCAGCTGTGAATTTCTTTCTGAGGGGAAGGAGATATACTGGGGAAACCAGATCTGCTTTGGGAGTTTACGTCTGGTCTTAGTGGAGTACGAGGCTGAAGGGAGACAGTGTAGGCAGAGAGACTAGTGTGGAGGCCACTGCAATTGGCTGGGTGGGAGGCCACAAAGGCCAGAGCAGAGAAGCTGAGGAGGGAAAGGCCACTGACGCCCTCAGCACCCTCAGGTGAGGTCCTCTTCCCCATGGGGCCCGCTTTCATGCCCAACCAGGAGGGAGGGAGTTGAAAAGTCACTTGCCACTGTCAATCATTGCCAAGCAGTTTTATGCCCCAATTTGCAATCTTACTTTCAAAGCTAGCAGCAGCTGTGTCTTGCAACCACTCTAGTTTCCTGGAAGTGGGTAAGAAGCTGGAAGGCGTGTGTGTGTGTGTGTGTGTGTGTGTGTGTGTAGTATACTGGGTGAAAAAGTGGATAAGGGGAATTTTAAAATTTCTTCCTATTTTGTTGTAAATACTTATACTTGCCTTCCTGGTAACTATTTCCCCTTCTGGTAACTGTACCCTGATGCAGTTTCAAAGATCCACAGTCTTGGTGGGTCTGGCGATCAAGATGTCACACCCTCTCTGGGCCAAATGATGGACGTGACCCAAGTGGAGGCCAATCAGAGCCTCTCTCTTAGGGATCCGAGCCAAGTGGGGTGGTACAGGGCTGATGGTCCCATGAGAGTGTCTAGTGATTATTGCTTCTTATTTCACCAGAGCCACCCCAGTTCCTACCTAATTGTTGAGCTGAGCCTTCAGACAGGGCTCTGCTTTGCTGAGCTATACTCACATCCTGTCAAATTCTACTTGTCCTTGAGGTTAGCCAGGGTCAGTTTCTGTTGCTTGTCAATGAAGGAATCTAATAAATACGTATTTATGGGTAGTATTCTTAATAAAAATGCAACTAAACTAGAAAATAATACAGGAAAGAAATCTCCACAGACCGCATGCTTTCTAATCTTCACCATTACACTACGTTCATGCTTCGTGTGTGTATATATACCTGTGGATGTGTTTATATGCATACATACAAATCACAGTGTGTGAAAATAATATCCCCCATCCCAGCTATAATTCATGGCCTGGCCAAGTTACTTTATTTGGTTCAGTCTCTACTGACTGACAAAATAGCTTGTACCTCTCCTTTGGAGTAACACATTCCTTCAAAGCACATTACACTTAAACACAGTGATTATGTGGGTCTTCCCCCTTCTGTGTTCTCTATTTCCACCCTGTGGAAGAGAGCTGGGTGTACATGTTAGATCCTCAGAGAGCAGAACTCTGTGGATGCAAAACAAACATAATTGGGATCAGCTCTCTGGCTCAGGGTTCAGGCTGTGATATTTTAGAACTGACCTTAATTTCTGCCCTGAGTTCGGCCAGCTGCATCTCTGCCATCTGACTGGCAAGGTCAGTGAGTCTCTTTAGTTCTTCTGCTTTCTTCTGACGAGCAGTCAGGATTTCCACTGCCAAATAAGGAGGAGTCATACATTAGGGCCAGAGATTGAAACATATTAAATAACCTAATTTCTTGGAATCAGTTCTCACTCCACAGACTGATTGCTTTGTTGGACCACGACTGTGTTTTCTGAGTTGGTCATGGAGGCGGGTTCACCCTCTGTGCCTATTACCAACAACCCAGTTCCTCCTGTCCTCCTCCACCAATCCCCAAGCCAAACACAGTCCCTTCTGATTCACTGTACACTCCCACTCTACATTTTCTCCACTGGTGTCTGACCTCACTTACGGAATTTAGACTTTTGAAATTTGTTACTCCGAACAACGATCTCTGAAAAACAACACTTATTAAAATCCTCTCTGAGTGATACCGCCAAGACAGGAAGTCTACTAAGCAGAAATCATTCTATATGTGCTGCACTATTCAACTTTAACAGCAGCAGCCCTCTTGAACTTTAACACATACTCACTTAGGGTGACTAGCTGTGTTACTGGAATCTGACATAAAAATCTAACTTTATTAGTTTTTTTGTGAGCCAAAAATGTCTCTGCTTTTGATACTCTGCAGATATGTTTCCATTCAGCAAAAAAACAGAAGTTCTACCCCAGAGTGTCTTAGGTCTTTCTATAAGTGTCCCCAGTGGAAAAATTTCAAGAGTGAGTGAGGCCAGCTAGAACTAGATTCGTGTGAATTTTTTAGCACCTGCACACGTAGAGAAGACACTGGGGAGTACTCTGGCTCCAACATTTTCACACATCTTCAGATGAACTAAAGGTTCAAATAGATGTAGTAGCCTATCAGTTGGTTTGTGTCTGTGTGTGTATACACGTGTTTCCCAAAAGATTATGGCGCTCAGTAGCAATCAATACAGACACACAGGATGAGATTTAAATATGCAGCTGGATCTTTCAATAGATAGACTTCTGGCTCTCTAATTCGACTCATATGAATTGCCTTCATTTCTTTAGGACAAGCATTTTGAGGTGTAAGAAAAAAGGTATTCATCTAAGATGACATGCATGTCGGACTCACATTCTATGCTTGGCTGAACAAGGATCAACTGCTTTATTAGACCAGATTCACAGCATACGTGCAGGTCCAAACAATATGATTTCTGATTTTAAGAGTTCTTATTACTCAAAATATCAAAAGATAGTCACTGCAAAAGCCCAAAAAGAAGTACAGAATCCATCAAGAGTTAAGATTCCCTGCAAATCATAAACCATTCTTTAGACAGACTGAAAGGCATTATCTTCTTTTGTTTTGAGACAGAGTCTCGCTCTTTCGTCCAGGCTGGAGTGCCGTGGCATGATCTCGGCTCACTGCAAGCTCCGCCTCCCGGGTTCACACCATTCTCCTGCGTCAGCCTCCTGGGTAGCTGGGACTACAGGCGCCCGCCACCATGCCTGGCTAATTTTTTGTATACTTAGTAGAGACGGGGTTTCACCATGTTAGCCATGGTGGTCTTGATCTCCTGACCTCGTGATCTGCCTGCCTCGGCCTCCCAAAGTGTTGGGATTACAGGTGTGAGCCATCACCTGGCCCTAAGACATCATCTTTTTATGCTGATATCAATGTTGAGATGTTAATAAAATAATTAGTCTATAACTCATACAGCTTTATCATCTGCCAAACTATGCTAATCATGCTTTGATTCTTTAACTGGGGCTCCCCCTAGCCCCCATTTACAATACCATGTGGCTGGGCAGACAGATCTGTGCCTAATAGTCTTTCTGAATACAGAGGAGCTAGTGAAAAACTTGTCTGGATGGTGAAAGTGAAGGGAAGTTTCATCTCAATGTAGACAACAGATTGCTGAAGGATGTCTCAGGACACCCAGTGGGACCAAAGGTCACAAAAAGGTGGCTCACTCTCATTTTCAGCCAGAGTACATATGTCTTGTTTGGTCCACACATTACGTTTACAAATTAATTGCCCACATTTAAAAATTAGAAGATTCCATTTGAAAGCTGGCTCTCTGGCATCTCTTAAAGTACTGGAATTTCTGGTCACAGTTGGTCAACCTTCCTACATGGTGACAAACGGCTGAAGCCAAGAAGCCACTGCCCTCTTTAGATGGAGTCAGGTGCCCAGTGTGCCATGGTTTCCCCCTGCCCCATTTGGCACATTAATGTTACCTATCTGTTTCCTGCGAGCATCTCCAGTCATTCTCGGGACTACGGTGTGAACTGCACTATGTAGTTCTTTGTGTCCATGGCACCTAGTGCCTGCTTGGTACACAAGGGGTATGCAATATGCCTGCTGAGTGAAGAATTCAATGAATGAATTAATCTATTACTTAAAGGGAATATCTAAAGAAGGATGGAAGTTCCTTTTCTACAGGGGTCACTTAAGACTGTTTAGGATCCACACCTTTGATTGGTTATGTTATTTGTTTGCCATTATAATTCAATATATGGATGGGACTAACATCTGCAGCATGAGAAAACAATTCAAGTAGGAAGATGAAATGAGGTATGTTCTTCTTGCAAACTAAAATTAAAAAAATTAATTCTGTTGCCAGGCGCAGTGGCTCACACATGTTATCTTAGCACTTTCGGAGGCTGAGGCAGGAGGATTGCTTGACTCAGGAGTTCAAGACCTGCCTGGACAACAATGTAAGACCCTGTCTCATCAAACTGATAATAATAATAATAAAAAAAGTCTGAAGGCCCAGACTTGAAAAGCAGCTAGTAAAGGGGTCATTAGGCCCTCAGTGATGACACAGTCCAACAGATCTAACTTTTCTTCATGGATCATTTGTGAGACTGGTGACAATTAAGGGCCATTGTTCTTTTTGATTAAGCAGAACTTGGGCATTCATACCAAACAAAAGATTTTGTAGAAATAGATATAAATGGGCCCTAAAATAGGAATGCAGGTGCAAGATCACCAATAAATTCTGAGTTTACCCTCATGCCAATGTGCATGGAAACAAATACTTTGGATCAGCAAGTGTTAAAATGCATTTTACATATAGTCTCATTAACATTTCAAAGGCTTTCATTATGAAAAAAGCCTTAAAACTTGAGATCTAAAGCCAATATTCTTTGGCTGAAGGGATGAACATTTTCACCTCAAAAACATCAATCACACAAACAAACAAAAACAGATCAGATCTTAAGCTTCACTGATCCTGTAATTTACAATAGAATAATAAGTATGTTTTGGAAGCACCATGCTTTCAGAAATCTGTAGAGGAAGACAATTCTGTACAGCTTAGGTTATCACTGCATTCAAGACTTAATTAATATTATGTATGTATAAACAGTATCTGGTAAGCTGAAATCCACTTTCTCAATAGGATTTATAAACTCCTTCAAGCTTTTGAAACACATTGGAAGCTTGCTCATATTATCTGAACCATAGAAAATCTGAAGGCTTCTCAAAACAATAACCCTCAGCAGAAAATATACTTAAAATCCCAAGGTGGGGGCCAGGGGCCAGGAGCTGGAGAAGTGGCTCTTTAAGCACAAAGATTCTTTGGAATACTTTTTATTCCTTAAAAATTCTAGTGAATTTTGCATTCTACTTCATAATTTGTTTGTGTTACTATGAATTTACAAAGTAATGTTTTCTTCCCGTATCTCTAGTGAACTTGACACCTGTGCTTATGTGGGTATAAACAGGAAGTTTGAGACCCTAGCACTACAACACACTTGGTTTCTTCTTCTGTAAAATCTGTGTAGGAACTGATCACATGTTGTAGGGGTATTGTGGAAATAAATGGAATAACATACATGAGGTGTTTCGTATAGTATACTCAAAATGCTAACTCTAAATATTATTGATAAAGTGAGATCTCTTCATCTAGAATATACTTCCTCTTTTGTGCAATTACAGGAATGTTCACTAATATTCGTTCCCACAGTCTACAGATACTGACTTATTTACAATAACTCATTTAACAAATATTTATGAAGTACCTGCAGTCTTCTCAGCACTGGGTTAGGTGCCATGAGGGATTTAGGAGCTTCTGTTATAATTGAGGAAATATGATTTATAATGTCTACAGGAAATGTAAAGTGTGAAAAATACTCTTGAGACCACAGAGAACCAAATTAAAGATGGTGGTTGTAAAGACAGTTCTGTAGTTAGTGGGGAGAAATTCCATGGTTCTTTCTATCTGTGGAGAAGACATAGTGTTGATACAGGCTTGTCATTTGAGAGATGCAATAGAACCCCTGACTTCCATTTTTTGACTGTAATATGAGCGGGTTGGGGTAATTTACTAATAAGAACTCTTCCCTTTTTGCACACATATTGTATCAGGCTCTGTGCTAAGTGCCTGACGTGTATTTTTTCATTTTATCTTTACAATAACTACTTGAGATGGATATTATTATTATTATTATTGTTATTATTATTTTTAATACAGGGTCTCTCTCCGTTATATAGGCTGGATTGTAATGGCATGATCATGGCTTGCTGCATCCTTAAACTCCTGAGTTCAAGTGATTCTCCCCTCTCATCCTCTAGAATAGCTAGAACTATGGGCACATGCCACCACACGTGGCTAATTTATTTTTTATTTTTATTTTTTTAGAGATGGGGTCTTACTATGTTGCCCAGGCTTGGTCTCGAACTCTTGGCCTCAAGCAATCCTCCTGCCTTGGTCTTCCAAAAGGTCTGAGATTATATGTGTGAGCCATTGCCAGGGCCTAAGGAATATTAGACTTTGAGAAGTCAACAACATGGTTCAGGGACACACAGCCAGTTAGAGATGGAGGTTGGACTTGAACTCAGTTCTGCCTGCCTCAAAAGCATGCAAATGGGCTTCCCCAGGGCTGAGGTTAGTTCAAAAACCAGGACCTGCCATACCAATTACTCAAGTTAGGTGAACTCTGTCAACCAATCTAGCAGTTTCAGCTAGCCTGAAAGCTTGGTGAGTGCAGGCTCTACATTTGTCTGTTTGCTGTTTATCCTGGACACAAGGAAGCGCGTGTGTTTACTGATTGAGTAAGTTTTTAAAATGGGATGCTCTCCAGAGATGCTCCAAATTCCACAGGTCTTGGCATCAAAGACTATCATGTCTCAAGAAGGAAAAATAAGTACATGAAACCTGAGGTCTTTTCTTGACCTCTAAGAAAGTGATGATGTGCTAGTGACTTTCCATTTTGGTTCAAGAGGATCATTTGTGTCTGTGTTGGTTGTTAGCATTTTTATCATTAGGACATGAAACTGAAGTAAGCTATACTTGAGAAGTAGGGAAAATCCCAAGTTGTGTATATAATCTACTGTTACTGAAGATGTCAACAAATTTCATAAGAATAAAATAATTTCACAATCAAAGAGATTGTTTAACTACCTAAATAGTCCATAGCTTCACCCTGGATCACATTAGTTTCATTTAACAAAGCTTGCTGTATTTCAGGATTCTAAAATGTTGCTTACAATTATTTAGATGCCTGACTAAAGGAGGTCTGAAATGAATAACAAAATAATTTAGAAAACTGTGTAACAAAAATAACGATAGCTATTTTCCATAAAATGACACTTGAATTATGGCCTAGGTCCAGACAAGAAAAATAAAAAAGAATGAAGAATCTGGTCTGATCTTTCATTCTGGCAAAAGAAAGACATCACATCAAAGGTAAAGGGATTTCACTGAAATCTGGTTAGGGGCACAGACTGCCATTTATCCAATTCATCTTTGGGTAAAGATGAGGAATTTAAAATGCCCAGGAGACAAGGATTGTAAAACTGAATCCCAGCTGGAAAATAGGGTCTTAGGGGCCCCATTAACACAGCAAACTAAATTCAATAATAAGGGAGGGCCTCACACATTCACTTGTGGTTTGATGTTGAATCTGACAAAGTAATCTTGTCTTTGTTGAAATTTCCAACTCATGAGCCTCAGTCTATTTAAGATGGTAATTCTTCTCTACTACTCAAGTAACTTTACCACAGTGGAAAGGTTTAGAAATCAGCATAAAGAAAATAAAACAAGTCAAACCCAGAATGTTAATATTTTATGTTAAATTTAGGATTAAGTTTTGCAATGATCAAGATAATTTGAGCGTGTTCATTATTTAAACAGAGAATTTGGTACATTAAGCAATCTGATTTGTGATTTTCAATTTAATATATGGAATTGATTTTCTTTTGCGGTTTTAAGTTGGCAGGTGTCAGTGTATTTGACGAAGTTCATGAACAGAACTGGAGTATTTTAAGAAAACTGTTTAGGCCGGGCGCGGTGGCTCAAGCCTATAATCCCAGCACTTTGGGAGGCTGAGCTGGGCGGATCACAAGGTCAGGAGATTGAGACCATCCTGGCTAACATGGTGAAACCCCATCTCTACTAAAAACCCAAAAAATTAGCTGGGCGTGGTGGTGGGCGCCTGTAATCCCAGCTACTCAGGAGGCTGAGGCAGGAGAATGGTGTGAACCTGGGAGGTGGAGCTTGCAGTGAGCAGAGATTGTGCCACTGCACTCCAGCCTGGGTGACAGGGTGAGACTCTGTAAAAAACAAAAACAAAAACAAAAAAAAACTGTTTAGTGTATCTTTAATTTTGAATTATTAATCTTATTATTATTATTTTTTTTGAGATGGAGTCTTGCTCTGTCGCCTAGGCTGGAGTGCAGTGGTGCAATCTTGGCTCACTGCAAGCTCTGCCTCCCGGGTTCACACCATTCTCCTGCCTCAGCCTCCTGAGTAGCTGGGACTACAGGTGCCCACCACTACGCCCGGCTAATTTTTTATTTTTGTATCTTTAGTAGAGATGGGGTTTCACCGTGTTAGCCAGGATGGTCTCGATCTCCTGACCTTGTGATCTGCCTGCCTCGGCCTCCTAAAGTGCTGGGATTACAGGCGTAAGCCACCGCGCCCAGCCTTGAATTATTAATTTTATAAGAGTTGCTTAAAAGCTTAGGAACACTTTGCTTGTTAGGTTTGTGAGTTTGCCTTGTCTGACATCTGAAGTGCTTAAGACAAATCAGATATATTAAATTTATATATGTAATTAAAAATGTTGAGGGGAATTTAAGTAATTAAGTTTCAAATGGGACTACTTTTCTAGGAAAATTTAATATGATAAACTTAATTGAACCTAAAAAAGAACTAGTAAAAATGATGATGAGATTTGTAAGTTTTAAAGAGTTAAAATTGTCTTAAAATCTAATACTAAATTCAGTGTCATTTTAAATCCAATTAACTATAAGTTCTTTATGTGCACAAACATCCCTTTGGACTTTAGAAAACTCAACTGACACCTATTATGTACTGAGTGTCCATCCTGCCATGTACTCACCTGTACGAGGTGAGTGTTACAACTGTATCTTTTTGCCAGATGATGTAAATGAGGCTTCCAGGGGCTAAGTGACATGACTAAGGTTACAGAGTTCATGAGCCAAAATTTCAATATAAATTTTAGGACCCTGTTCAGAAGCCGGTATCATTGTCAGTCTGACCTATGGATTGCTTCTGATTGGGAAGCTCCTAATCAAATAACCATGTGTTGTCTACTTACTGGCTTCTTCTTTAACTTTATCCATTTCTGCCATTAATGAAACTTCTTTGTCAATGATGCTGGGGAAAAACAAAAACAAAAACAAAAGCAAAGAATGCTTAATCAAAGATAAACTTTTAATAAGCACTGAAAGTAAAATTATTTTCATTAAACAAAATACAAAATTACCATAAATATTTCTATGCTACAATGCCAGCAGTACACTCTGCCTCTCCAAAAAATGAGGCAACATCGAAGGGATGTTCCCAAGGATTACATAGTGACATCTGCTGATTAAATCATTGTCAACAAACCTAAAAAAAAGTCTTTTAGACTTTCAGAATTGTGCTGCTTTGAATTTAAATTTGGGAATATTTTTGTCCTATACATTCCAAAGTTCCAAAACAATATAATAAGTATTTGAAAAGCTGGCACTTAGGTCCTTAAGGACTGTAGTTCCCAGTGTCTCTGTGCTCTACCCTGAGAGATTCTGGCTGGGAAGGAAGGAGATGGGCCCAATTCTGCTGCAGATGGTCCTGGGACCATACTTTGAGAAATATGGTCTGGGCCAATCCATCCACATGCTCAACAACATAAGTCTCTGCCTTTTTCATTCTCCCGAGTAAGCATTTCAAGGTTCTAATGAACTTTTTCTCGTATTTCATTTATTTTTTGGTTAGTCCTTCGAAAAGGTATTACCTGCATAAAGCTAACAATGATCTGTCCCAAAGTTTGCTTCTCTCCTATCCCATCCCAACCCCCAGTTCTCTAGTTCCCCTCCCAGAAGTAATGCATCATGACAAATTCCTTATATGTCCTTTTACAGATTTTTATGTAGGAAGGAGTGAAGAGAGGTTTCAGCAAAAAGGCAGGGAGCTGTGCAGGGTGAAGAGCCTGGGGAAAATCCCCAGGGTGGGTGAGCACAGATGTCAGATTATCTTTATATTTTTAGTTTAGTCATAATATTTAAATATATATCTTTAAAACATAAGGACTTCTGGGGACCACAATAATTTACTATAGCATCTATAAAACATTCACAATAATTTAATGGTATCAGATATCTACTTAGTATTCAAATTTCCCCAACTGTCCCATAAATCTTTTTTTTTTTTAACAGTGTGTTAAAACCAGGATCTAAACAAGCCCTGTTCATTCCAATTGGTTGATTGACTCTTAAATCTGTTTTAATCCAGAGGTTCCCTCTCATCTGTTTTCTCATCCCCTTTGCAATTTATTTGTTGAAGAAATTAGGTTGTTTGTCCTGAAGAGTTGTGCAAAGCCTGAATTTTGCTGATTACATCTCCATGGTGTTATTTAGCCTGTTCTTTTGTATTTCCTATAAATTTGTTATTAGATGTAGAAATCTGATTAGATTCAGGTTTTATTTTCTTAGGAGGAACACTTGATAAGTGTATTGTGTCATTATGTGTGTGCTGATGGAAGTATACGATATGAACTACTCCACCTGAAAAAAAATGAGACTGAATTTAATCAAATTTCTACATCTAAAATGGCAAATTTATAGGAAATACAAAAGACATCTCTCTTTTTTATGATCTTAGCAGCCATTGATGATCATTGCCTAGATTTTATAGGGTTTGCAAAATTGAGATATTCACATTCTATAACTCTTTCTTATTTCCTGGAATTCTTCCATAAAGAGAAACTTTATCAATGATTTGGTTATCATGAAGTATAGTTTGCATAGGTAAGGTAGGATGAATGCTTGATTCTCCCCTTTTGTTTTCAAAATGATAGTTGGTTCCTTAGCATCCTTCAAAGGTAATCAAGAAGATTTTTTTGCTTGTTTGTATATTTTAATTATACACATTAATTATAAACTCATATTTAATGTGCTTCAAAACACTGTTATCATCTTTATTACTCTCAGATTGTTCCATCACATGGACTTTTTCTTCTCCATCAGATGTACTTTTGCAATTTAAAGTGTGTTGAAAATTTACTTCCTCTGAAAAATTTTGCAGTATTTGTCAAAGTAAGAAGTGACTTCTGGAATATATCCATAGCAGTTTAGGGGCTCCTCAAGTAGACTGTGCAACCTAAATACTTGAAGAGTAAAGGACTGTGTGCTGAGGAACTCAGCTCTTCCCAACCAGGAAATCCTAGTGGAAAGGACTAATTGCACAGTGCATGGCATGTTCTCCAGAACTGGGCTCTAAGCCTAGTCCCTCAACTGCAGACAACATCAGCCAGCCCCATGACACACATGGCTTACGGTCACTGGATATGATCACTTTGGTGTAACCAACATATCAGGACGCCTGTCCCTTACCTATTGACATTACATAGGTATGTCAGTGTGTTTTAAATATAGGAAATGCATGATACAGAAAGGTGTACAGTGAGAAGGAACTCTTTATCCCATCTCTGCCCCAACTTACTCAGTTCCCCTCCTTGGAGGTCTCCAATGTGACAAGTTCTTGCATTTCCAGAGACTGTCTATGTAATCAACCAGCATATATTCAGTAATTGTATGAAATGCCGGGTTGAGTCAATAGGCTTTGTGCTCCTGTGATTATGAGCTTCTCTGCCAAGTTCACAAACATAGCCATGACAGAGGCATCTGTGTGTGTGTGTGTGTGTGTGTGTGTGTGTGTGTGTATGTATGTTTTCATTATTTACAACCTTCTTAGAGAGGGGCACTGCTACCTTACTTTAGGGAAACAAAGACTGTTCGAGACAAGCTGTTGGGGAGATATGGGGAGAATCTACAGATGTGGAGCCAGAAGCCCAAACTACAAATATATGGTTAAGCTACTCTGCTTGAGGACATGTTTTGAATTTTTATCCCTTACAGAAAGGGAAGAGAGAAGACAGAAAACTCAGCACGACGACATTCTTTGTGGGAGAGCTGAGAAGGATGTGAGAGGACCTGCCAGGACTCATTGGGGAAATAGTGAAAAGCAGATAGAGAGGAAAGAAAATGACGATGGCAAGAAGAAGCAATTAGGATTCCCTTCCCTGAATCAACTAGAAGGCTTTATAAATAGAGTCCCTGGGTTTAGAGAGCATGCCCAGCACACACTAAGGGAAATACTGCTGCATGTGACACAAGACTGGCATGTCCTCAGATGCCCAGTGGAGGGGAGAGGAGCAGACTGCAGGCAAAGCAGAGGTCCTGGAGGCTTGGGAATCCTCCCACTTGTGTGTGGGGTTGGTGGAATGGTGGTGTGTGCAAGGGCCTTTGCTAATTTCTTTATCAGCTACAAGACCATCGTAACACTTTTGTTGATCAAATTTGTTAACATAATTTTGTGCCCAGAGAATTTACAAGATGGACATTTGGGGTACAATACTTGTCCCCGGGTCTAACACATATTAAACAAAGCTGGGCATTTATATACAATGGTTAGTTCAGACCTTCTGGGCTAGCAACAGGAGGGAAGAGGGTTTACACAATAAATTGTTAATCTGCTTAATGCACACCCTTGAGGATGTGAAAGAGCCTGTGAAGTTGGCATCAAACCAGGCTTCCGTTTCTCTGGGTATTTCCATAGAAGATTGTCTGCAAGCATCGTAGTAATTCAAGCTCTGCTATCTATGGGTGGCTGCTTTCAAAACTCATGTGCACAAAGGCAAGTCAGTGATCTCTGCTGACTCAGGACCCAGCTTGGAGCTGATGAACTGATGCAAACCAAGATCAGGGGCCAGCCCAGGGCAGATAAACCCGGCCTGCCCTTGAGAATCTCAATGTGTAGACCTGAGAGTTCCTTGAGTTTTGCTTTCCAGGCAGTAGGCTTGTCAAGGGAAGAATAATGGTGGGAAGTGGATGTGGAGGAAGTAGTAAAGCCAGCCTGTCCTTTGGCAGGCTGTCAGACAGTGAGGAGCCAGCCTTACATCAAGCGAGTGCCAGACTAAAAGAAGGTCAGAGAGGAAAGACCATGCCTAAATCCTTCTAAATGCCCACAAAGCCTGGGGTGTCTGGGTGTGTCACATCCAGTTTTGGGAGTAATTTCATCGGTGCCATTTCCATGTTCTGTGGAATCTTCTTAGAGGTACCAGGACAGAGACAGACACGTATGGGTGGTCAAGTGTGGCTTGACAACTCTGCAGGCTGGATAGGACAGAGGGCACTTGGCAAAGCCCTGGTATGGAGTTACCAGATATGGAGGGAGGAGCGAGTCCCTTGGAGAGGAATGACATTAGGGAGTTGATGAGTCACAGAAGAATCAGAGACAGTATCATCAACCACATTCCTACTGTGGAAGCTGCAAGGTCACACACTTGCTTTCGAGGTACACCTCTGCAGACACATATCAGCCCTCAGTTGCCTCGAAATGTGAGCTGATCACTTTCTGAGTGCAGATGGTGGGCCAGGCACATTAGGTAGAGTGCCAGTGCCTTCCTGGAATGATCTCATCTAAGCTTCCTGACATCCCAGGAGGAGCAAGCCTGGCTTTCTCCTTGCCACAGGGGCTTGAAACAAGCCCTTCCCTCTACCTTGAAGACAACTCTTCTGCTTAACCTTGCTTCTCTTCATCTAATCAGCTCTGAGTCCTCCTTCAGGTCTTTGCTTAATCGTCACTTCCTTAGAGAGCTCTGACTAAGTTTTTAAAAACTTCTGTTCAATTTCATGATCTTAGACTTATTATGGGTTGCTCAATAAAAATTTCTTGATAGTGATGAATATAAGGGAAGACAACATATTCATTTTTCTGTGGCATAACAATAATGAAACTTACTAGTACATTGTGGTGCTTGCATATACATCACATTTATGCAAAACTTTTGGTCACTGACAGAATTTAATCATTGGAGACATAAGCTTATGAGTAAAGGTGTCATGATACTCACCAAACACACAAGGTTTGGCTGAGTCAAAACAGGCAGTTTGCAAACTATGGTGGTTTAATTACTGAAATTTGTTCTCCCACCACTGATCATCTGAAATGCTAAGTTCTGAATGTTTTTGCTTTTCAACAGTGATCCTGAGTACTTGACAGAAATACATAACTCTTTAATTGGCTTTCCACTGGCCACTAAAAGTTTTCTAAATGGTTGGGTAAAGCCCTCTGGAGGGCACCAGGCACGTCAAACGTGTTCTACATAAACAGAGTTCCCGTAAAATCCACGCGGACCTCACATGTTTCAGATGTGCCCTTTCTCCTTCTAAAAACACATCTTCTCATTTTAGCCAAACTGCCTGGATAGTAAAATTTTATTTTGTTGCCATAAAAAAGCTTTTATTATCAAAGCAATAAGGTGTAAGGAGGAGATTACCATGGCAAAGACTTTACAGTTTATTATATAGTTAATCACAGAGATAAAGTGTCATTTTATAAAAATGTTTCCACTGTCTTGATTCCTTTCTATAGAGCACTGATAATAACAATAATGAAAAGAATCAGAAAGCCTCGTTAGTAGTAATAGATTTATCATTTTCTCCCCTGTGAAAGGCTCTTTAAATTTGGAGATGGAGGCATTGAGTGACAAAATTGATTCATTTGGAAGCTTGGGTGAGTCATGTCAGGCCTAGTGTTCTTCAAATACAAAGATGCCACCATAGAGAGGCAGCCACAGGACCATCAATGTAGTTGATAAGCTGGAGAGCAGAACCTGCTGGTAGATACCGAGGAATGAAAGCAGAATTTCAAAGGGGAGGTGAAGAACTCAATCTGTAACAACAGCCAGAGTTAGATGTTAAAGATTTAAAACCAGGCCACATTCCATCTTCCATGCATTTGCCTCAGGGAGACTAGAGTGAGAGGAATTGCCGGGGACCATCTGATCCCAGACAATTTTGCTGCAGAACCTTCTTGTGGGGAAAGTACTTCAGCTGGAGCTTAACTCATCATTCGCCAAGCCAACAATTGCAGAATGGGAGCATGGGGAGGGAGGCAGGCCCAGCAGGAGGCGCATGCAGTAGAAAGAGAAGGTGGGAACTGCTGGAGAGAAAGGATGCTATGAATGCTAATGAATATTTCAGCCTTCCTGGCCTCTACCAAATAGCATAAAGCATGCCAAAGACTGATAAGCCCTACAGCCAGGCTTCCCTGCATAAAGAATTTCCATTTCTTTCACTAAAAAGAAAAGAGTGGTATAAAAACATCTCCCTCCACTGTGGGCTCTGCCGCTTCTTAATGCAAAGGAATAAGAACTGTGACCAACGGTTCTAACATCCCCTGAGAGGGATGTCAGCTGGGCTGATAGCCTAGTAGTGCCCACTGACCACCACGTGGGCCTTGAGCTGGCAAGCTACAGTTGCCCCGTACTAGCTAGCACTGAGCATCTGTGTCCCTTCCCTTAAATTTTGCCCACTAGTTGCAAGGCAGGAAAACTTCCTTTATACATTTAAGGCCTAATGTACTGTTCCCATGAGTACCATTTCTGGTCCAACTCCCCAAGTATTACCAGCAATTATTGGGCCCAGGGCAAAGCTAGTCAGGGGTTTCAGCTCACCAATTTCTCAATTGCAATTTCTCAATTTCTTTGTTGCAGCTGTCAACAAAGATGCTTCCCTGGCTTGACAGCCACAAATGCAGAAAGACCGTACGGTTCTTTATTCCCAGGGTCAGGAGGCCTGGCAGCCCTAACTGTAAAGGGCACTCACGTTCTTGCACACTGCCAATTCCCGGCTCTTCCTTGCTGTTCTGCTCCCCATCCTGTCCTCTCTCCTGCACCCTCTATGCTGGTTACTGGTGTCATCTCTCACCCAGTGTCCATGGCTCCTCTTCCTTCACTTCCCACATGGTTACATCCTTGGAAGTCTACCCCAGAAATGTCTGTCTGTCCCATGCACCTCTCCACTTCCACTGACTCTTATTTAACCCTGAGCACATTACCCAGTCCTTGGCTATTTGTTGTTGTTTATTGTTACACTGCTGGAATTCCCGGGTCTGTCACCTTCCACTCTGTATATATTTGCATTTAGGTTTTATAACAACCTGAATTCTTTTCAAAACTGAAAAATAATAATAGATTTTTTTTTTTTTAAATGCAGCACTGGTGACAAATTGGTCCTTCTAAAGATTTATTGGGTTTAACAGTGTTATTTGGTAAACATATAAAACCCTGCATACATGTCCACAGCATGTAGACTGGGGTTAGCACATAACCCTTTGAAAGGCTGCCTACTAATCACGCTCATCCGGGAAATAGAGTGGGGGTGCCTCAAGCATGAACCACACTCAACATACAAAGCAAAGTCAAAATCCATCTGACTGTCAATGAACATCAATGACTACACTCAATTGCCAATCAGGCTGACATTTTATTTCTACTACTTTTATGAGAGGCAATACAATGTGTTAATATTGTTTAGTCTGCATATTTTATGTTGGAATCATACAATGATTTGAAATCATGGTTAATAAATTGTTCATCATACTGTCTGAGGTGCATTTCTGGGATGAGACACACAGATTTAGTATAAGGACTAACTCTCAACATTAGTAATATTTTGGAGTTCTTCAAAAAGGACATAATTAATTAAAAAATATACAGGGATTTCTTTTTCTTATTGGAATTTTTTAAATGACAGAATAGCATAATCCCATAGTATGGAAATCCCACAACATTAAATGTTCAACTGAAAAATCTATATTCCTCTGTTTAGAAATTGTACATATGACTTTGATGAACAATAGAAATTTTTATCTTTGCTAATTACTTATTAGTTCAGTTTCTTTTCATGGAGGTCACTATTCAGGGAAAGTAACTTGACTGTATTTCAGTGTCTTTGACTATAAAAATGCTGACTCCCCCGCTTCCCCTTTTAAAGTTACATCTGCCGGGCGTGGTGGCTCATGCCTATAATCCCAGCACTTTGGGAGGGCGAGGCAGGCAGATCACCTCAGGTCAGGAGTTCAAGACCAGCCTGGCCAACATGGTGAAACCCCATCTCTACTAAAAAACTGGAAAATATTAGAAAGCAGGATAAAATGAAACAAATTTCAAAATAAAACAAAATAAAGCAAAATGCCCCTTTGTCTCAAGCACAAAATAGAGCCAATCACTCTGATCACTGTTGTATTTCCTTCCAAAAAAAGAAAAGAAAAAAGAAAACGGTGGGGGCAAGGGGAAGGGCATTTATGTAGATGCCATCATGGTTGCTGAACATAAATAACAGGAACAGAAACTGGAAGAAACTGATATAGTACAAGAAGTGCCAGAAATGCTGGCCCACATTCAACCCAAGGCAGCCAGGCCTAGCCTCCTCTGCTCCTGGCCTCCAGGCAGGCTCTCATGTGAAAAGGGGAGGGGAGGGGCTCTTCTTGTTTTTGGCCTAGAAGGCTCTTCCCCACAATCACAGGTGTTGTTATTGCCCATGGTAAGGCCGTACCCTAGTCCAGGCTTCCAAAATGGAGCAGGAATACAATATTAAATTTTATGTACTCACTTGTTATTCTAAGTAGGCTTTCCTCATCTTTAGTATACAGATTAACAGTAGTACACATGTATAATTTATAAATGAACTTTCTGATTTGAGAGGGATGTGCTTAAAATTCATTTATTGATGGAGTGAGACCATCATCATTAGTTATATTAACTTTCTTTTTGAGACAGGGTCTGGCTCTGTTGCCCAGGTTGGGGTGCAGCGGTGTGGGTGTGATGTTGGCTCCCTGCAAACTCCGCCTCCTGGGCTCAGGCGATCCTTCCACCTCAGCCTCCAGAGTAGCTGGGACTGGAGATCTACACCACCATACCCAGCTAATTTTTATATTTTTTTGGTAGAGACAGGGTTTTTCCATGTTGTCCAGGTTGGTCTTGAACTCCTGGCCTCAAGCAATCCTCCTACCTTGGCCTCCCAAAGTGCTGGAATAACAGGTGTGAGCCACCGTGCCCATCATTATTGATGGAAGAAGGGTACTTCTCCCTGAGCACATATGTTCTTTCTTGCCTCTGGTTCTTTGTGTTGCTTCTTCTGCATGGAATCTTCTTTCTTCCTTCTCCATCTGGCAAATTTCTAGTCTTCCTTCAAGATCCTGCTCAAAGGTCACCTCTGCAATGGAACCTTTCCTAATGAGCCAGGTAGAGTTGATTTTTCCTCCCCCCAGCTCCATTCCAGCTTGTTTACATCTGCAGCCACTAGTGCATGGGCTTTTTTAGGAGGAAGACTGTCTTTATCCCTCAGTCTTTCTAGAAGTGCTCCTTCAAGTGTGGTCTGCAGACCACCTACATTTGTACTCACTAGACTCACTGAGTGGAAGATTCTTGGGTGCCACCTAACATCCACAGAATCAGAATATCTGGAAATGGGGCCCTGATGCTCCTCGTGCACTCAAATGTTTGAAAAGTAGTGGCTTGACACACATTCATCTATCTATTAAGTGGATGAATGAAGAAAGGGGAAGAGAGAGGTAGCGAAGGCATGGCAAGACAAGAAAGGGGAAGGGGAGCTGTTTTGGTGGCAACTGTGACATTCAGAAGTGGGTGTCCCTTTGCCTTACTTCTCTCTTCATCAAGTAATAAAAAGTAGAAGTGGTGATGAACCATTCCTATCCCATAGCTGGACTCCACTGCATGCTAAATAAACAGAAAGTTGGAAGGGATAACTTATTGCCAGTGTCTTGGTGTAGAGGAAAAGAAATTTCCCAAATGCTACTCTGGAAGAGAATCAACCTTAACTGAACATCTCTTATGGGCCAGGCTAGTGATTTTCTAGAATGATGTGACAGATACATTACTTATATATGAATTTTCACAAAACCCCTAGAAAGTGATAACAGTATTCCTGCTTTGTAGCTGAGAAGGAGTTAAAAAACTCAACCAGGTTCAGAGCTAGAATATGTAGAGATGAGATTTAAACCTTAATCTATCTAACTCCACATCCCGTGCCTCCTAATTAAGTGGTTAATAAACCTTGGAAAATGCGTCTTTCATTAGAATATGGCCTGGTAAGAATCAAGAGTTTAGAGTCACTAGAAGCAGCATGTAGTATACATATAAGGAGTTCTATTTTATTGGCTTCACGTACAGCCTTTCTATATGATTTGTTGCTGACTTAGCTGACAAACTGCCCAAAATAACTCCTTAGTCTCACTGTACCAGTCCAAAAAAACAGAAATAAGCTCCAAGATGCATTCTGAAATTGTAATTTAGGACTCACTTTTTAGTATTATAATGTATTTTATATTTATACTAAGATATAAGAACAAATTCATCTTCTTTTTTCTAGTGAAAATAGACTATATTGCATATATATTTTTTAAAAGACCATACTCTAGTATCCTATGGGAATGTGTAGATAGAACAATTTGCTTATTTCCTCTTTATTTTTCTATTTTATGATGAAAACAATTCCTTTTCAGAAGTACATTCCCGGGCTGGTTGATTGGTAAGCTTTCATCTGCTGAGAAGATTCAGAAATCTTTTCCGATTTCAGGCTGAAATTAGAACCAATTTCTTGTCTTCCAGCTCTTATTGTGGGCCTTTATTCTGCAAAGAAGGCTGCAGTGCCAGCGGAGCTGACTGCCAGTGCCAAGTGTGTGACTGACATAACGTATGGAGGTAATCCACACGTGTAGCTCAGGAAGGCTATTAATAAGAGGTGCTATTTATGCTGGTTTCCTGGGGACTATACCTAAACTGAAAAGGCCAGTTCAGTACTTTTTGTATTTATCAACCTGCTCTTCCTTCATGTCAACTGATTCATTCAGTCCTTGCAAAGGCCCTGGGGAAACATCTATTGCAGAGGAAAACCTCAGGGAAGAAAGAAAATAGGAAAAGAGAAGCTTTCACCTCCAAAGAGTGAGCTACACCTATTTAGAAAGACACATATTCACAAATGAGGCAAGATTTGAAATATACTGCACTACAGGGACTTGCCTTAGTCACAAAGTTATGGGAACCTTGAGTTTCTCCATGTTATATGTGTATTTGCCCTTTTCACAATTTCAGAATAGATCCCGGAGCTTATTTCGGTTTATTGGACTGGTGCAGAGTGAGGAAAAGGAGTCATTTTGGGCAATTTGTCAGCTAGACAGCAATGGAAACCATACATATGGCTCTCTTGAGGCATAAATGTATTTATTAGCCTCTTCCATTATTGTCTCTTGGTGTCCCTTGCAAGTAAATGTTCATCCCCATACTCTCTGTTTCTTTAACTTCTGGCATAATATTGAATGTTGGGGGTGGGGAGAAAAAAGTTTAATTCTCTTTCTATGGTGCTTTGTCCAAGTCACAAGCAGGTGAACACTTAGAAAAACTACTTGATGAGAAGGAAAGGGATTAGTCAGAAAGTCTGGTTTGTATAGATTTTGATCATTGCAAGGATTGTATTCATTTCCAGAGCAGAAAGAGATAGAGCCCTTTTATTAAATGTCTTTTAAAACAAAACATTAAAAAACACAATTCAAACACTTGATTTTATTAAAAACAAAACCAAAAACACACTGAACTCTTATGATTTTGTTGTTGTTGTTGTTGTTTTGTTTTTGTTGTTTAGACAGTGTCTTGTTCTGTCACCCAGGCTGGAGTGCGGTGGTGTGATCTCAGCTCACTGCCACCTCTGCCTCCCAGGTTCAAGTGATTCTCCTGCCTCAGCTTCCTGAGTAGCTGGGATTGCAGGCATGCACCACCACACCGGGCTTATTTTTGTATTTTTAGTAGAGACAGGGTTTAGCCATGTTGGCCAGGCTGGTCTCTAACTCCTGACCTCAAGTGATCTACCCACCTCAGCCTCCCAAAGTGCTGGGATTACAGGTGTGGGCCACTGTGCCCACCCGTTTGTTTGTTTTTGAGACAGGGTCTTTCTCTGTTGCCCAGCCTGGAGTATAATGGCATGATCACGGCTTATCTCACAGCCTCAACCTGGGGGCTCAAATGATCCTCCCACCTCAGCCTCCTGAGTAGCTGGGACTAAAGGACTGTACCACCACATCTGGCTAATTTTAAAATTTTTTGTAGAGATGAGGTCTCCCTGTGTTGCTCCAGCTGGCCAAACTCTTGATTTTTGTCTTCACTACTTGTTTAATCTAAGGAATTAACAAAATTTAGTAATTGTTTAACACATTCCTGATAATTAAACAGGGAATTGAAAGCTTTTAAAAATTATTATATAACAATGCTAAGTGGCTGAAAAGGCTCCTAAAGGCAACTTTCCTACTGGTAATCCTATTATAAACATGCCTTGTTGAATGGCACAGAGAAAAGCATCATCTTATTACTGTACAACTACACTATACTACCCCAGATACTCTCAGTGTACACTAGGAGTGTTTACTATCAAATTTCAGCCACGTTGCTTTAACAATGGAATCTTGACTCATTCCTCATGTTTATATCAACATCTTCCATGTGACTGAACTCAAAACCCAAATTTGCTTGTTGTCACAGCATCTATTCTGTGACACAGATCTGATTCTAGGACCTGTTTCGCCTAATATGTATTTTTCCTATGCTTACCTGTTAAAGTATATATAATGCCACAATTCCAGTGATCTCCTAATTAAGACAGAGTAATAAAATGGCCAATAAGTATTTGTTCAACCACTACGGCACCGTAAGATATGTAAAAGACCTTCTGTTCATTTGGCTTAAAGAGCATAATGGCTGGCATACCTGGGTATGTCACTGGCATCAGAGTAGTTGGATATATGCCAGATATGCCAGAAACACCAAGTAATATTGCTCCCTGGCTGAAGTCAAAGAAAAAGAATAACCCCCAAGCAGACATTTAATGGAACAAGTCCTTACTGTATTTATCTTTACATGTCTCAGATCTTCATCCTAATCCTGGTCCCCACTGTGATATTTGGTTTTATTGCAAAATGAGAAAAAGACTCAGGTAGAAACAGAATGGCTAATGAAAGTGACTGCCTATCATTAGCTACAACCTTTGGTTCTTAATTTTTCCATTTTCTTCTAAGGACTGAGTAGAATTCTATGATGAAAAACAGACGATAAAGCAAAGCCTTCAATTTTCTACACTTCAGTATAATTGTTTTTCTGATCTCAATGAGACAAAAATGTAATTTGACCTTTAAAATGTGTAGTGAGAGGGTTTACGTTTCAGGCACTATGGAAAAAATATTTCCTGCTGCACTGTTATGAAATGAGAAGACAAATATAGTGTTTCTTTGGGTATGTGATTGGAAAGTCCCTCTTTCATATCTCCAGTGGTGGCTTAGGAGGGCAACTGGGGGCAAGATGATCAGGGATGTTTCAAAGGGAAGAGTCTCCATCCTTCCCTCAAGGTGCTCCAGCAGAACCGAGGTGGCAGGACAAATGAGGCACTCTTCTCTCATTTTCCTCTCACCCAGGCTTTCCCAGCACTACAGACATTTTGGGCCAGGTAATTCATTCTTACAGGAGAGGTGGGAGAGACGGTTAGCAGCATCCCTAGCCTCTACCTAACGGATGCCAGCGGCACTCTCTCCCTGTGGCTGTGACAACCAAAAATATTTCCAAATCAATGGTCTCCTGGGGGCAAAATTGTCCCATTGAGAACCACTGCTGTGGCCCTAGACATATCACTCCCTTTGCAAGACTCTCAACCAGCAGTTTTCAACCACAGATGTCAAGAGAATTATCTGTTTTTGGTTCTTATTGAGACAGGGTCTCACTCTGTCACCTAGGCTGGAGTGCAGTGACACGAACATGGCTCACAGCAGTCTTGAATTCCTGGGCTTAAGCGATCCTCCCACCTCAGCCTCCTGAGTGGCTGGGACCACAGGCACACACCACTATGCCCAGCTAATCAAAAAATTGTAGAGATGGGGTCTCTCCATGTTGTCTAGGCTGGTCTCGAACTCCTGGGCTCAAGCAATCCTCCTGCCTCGGCCTTCCAAGGTGTTGGGATTACAGGCGTGAGCCACTGTGCCTGGCCTGTTGTTTTTAAAAGCGTGGTACAATCAGTATCTCTGGGGGCGGCACTTAGGCAAGGGAGGACTATAAAGCTCTAAGAGTTTTTATTTATAGTGTACACACATATACTTTGGTATGGAAAGAAGTAGATATTAATATATAGGCATCATCTTTTAATGTGAAGTTGTTCACAAAGAGAACACATAAAAAACCCAAAGGACACACAGAAAAGCCAGGGTTTATCATTGTTTGGAAAGCCAGGAATCACACGAAAGCAGCTAAAATTTGGAGAATATGGGTAGGGAAAAAAAAAACCAATCAACATGGCAAGAATCAGCTCTGAAAAATCTGCAAAAGTGATGGTCTTACTTGGACTCAAACTAAAGGGGCTTCAAGGATATATGTTTCAACAATTTAAAATTATCTGGATATCCAAGGAGAGCAAACTGGGAATATGGGACATACAGTTACATATACGTGGTTCTGATGCTCAGCAGTGCCACTGGCAACTTCCCATATGGGAGACCTCAAGATCACATCCTAGGAAAAGTGCACAATATTTAAAGTGTCAATGGTGACATCTGGTTTGTATGTGGGGCCACCTGTTGACCACATTGATAATCTGTGTGTGATTTTCCTTGGCTATCAACAGGGCTTCAGTAGCAGATGAGAAGGATTTGAGGGATGAGAAAGATAAAACTTATTTCAAAATAGCTTTTTCTTCTGCCTAAAAGTCCCACTTTTATTTTATTATTAATTATTTTTTGAGGCAGGGTCTCACTCTGCTGCCCAAGCTGGAGTGCAGTGGCACGACCTCGGCTCACCACAGCCTCGACTTCCTAGACTCCAGTGATCCTCCCCACTCTCAGCCTCCCGAGTAGCTGGAACTACAGACGAACCATCACACCTAGCTGATTTTTTTTTTCTTTTTGTAGAGACAAGGTCTCGCTGTGTTGCCCAGATTGGTTTCAAACTCCTGCCTCAGCCTCCCAAAGTGCTAGGATTACAGGTGTGTTCCACCTTGCCCTGCCACATTCTCACTTTTAGAGTAGTCTTTTGGCTGGGGGAGAGAGTCTCAACAGAGCATTTGTTAGTATGCAAATATGTCACTTTGAGAGGGAGGATACATGGTTATCATAGGGATGAGTTTAGTAAGTTACATAAGATAACTGAGTTTCCATAGTTAAAAAAAAAGAGAAAAGGGATATGGAGACACCACTATAAACACCTATCTTGATTGAGGTGAGGAGCCCTAGCCTGTATGGGGCAGCAGGAGGTTCACCCTGTCTGTTGGGAAGGAGGAAACTCTAAGACGCAGGAAAATTGGCAGAGGAAGGGGAAGTGGGCCAGGGCTCAGGGTGCGGGGAGCTGAGACTCCTGACCTACTTTCAAATTCTGCTTGGGCCAGACTTGGCATTGCTTCGGGAAAAAAGAAACACAAAGTATAGGAACATTTCTGGCCCACTGGTACAGAATACATGCTTTCACAGATTTCCCTTTCCTCTTGGAAAACAAAGCTGCCTAAAAGGACTGCTCCCTCCAGCCCCCATTCTCTAGAGCCTCTTTATGCCTCCCCATGCCCAGCACACACGCTACCCCATTGGCTCATTACCGTCTTCCATTTTCTTAGGGTGCTTTTAATTAGATGTTAAATTGACAATAGCACCTAACAGAATTTTTACAGCTCTATTTTGGAATACTTTTCCCCCCAGCATATGGCGGAACTATCAAGTATTATTCTCCTTCCTCAATGTTTTTTTGAATTTAATGTTTTATTGCTCATTTTAAGTCTTCACAATCAACTTGGACACACAGACACAGATTTGTGATGAGAAGCTAGACTAGTCTGCATATAAAGCAATTAAATCTGGCAGCTATGATTCCAAAGGATGAATATTTTCCAGTTGTGGTAGGAGGCCAATCATACAGAAAAGAAACCAGCTGTTTCATGTTAGTTCCTGATGTGACTTTTCACACAGATGCTCATGTCGCAAAATTTATTTTCTGTTAAGATGCATTGTGAGAGCATTGTATCATCTTTATTCCCCTCGCAAATCCCTAATTCTTTCTGGGAAAATGAGAATGCTCTGTTATGGTCATGCAGCCTACGTAACTGTATCCTGCTTAAATGCCAACTTTGATTTTACATTTTAGCTACTTAGTGGTTTTCTTCAATAACTGTACTGAACAAAGTATTCTTCACAGCCCGGTTGGAAGAGAGATCATTTCGTTCATTTTACCTTGATGTGTGCTTGCTTGGTATTGAGGATATGCAAACAACAGCTTGCTCCCAGCCTCTCAAAATCATCATTCTCGTGAATTCCAGCAGTACTTTTCAGGGAGTTTAGTCAAGCAGGACTCAGGTCCTTATGCTGGCACTTTTTGGTAGCAAAGTGAATATTTAGAATTTCTGACCTGAGTTTCTAGTTCTCAACTACACGAAATGCTTGTTGAGTACTTTGTGGTTAGGATAACTGGGTGGCCCAAAGCAAGGAGAGGAGAAGAGGAACTGGAAACGGAAGGTATACATCTATGTCGCTTGTGCACCACATGCGGTGACATCTCTCTCAGAACTGGCATTCTTTCTGGAAATCTCCACAGGACTTATCCCATGTCCTCCAAATCTAGATATGCCTCATGATGTAATCCTGAGGCTACAACTGCATTAAAATGAGTACATTCTAACACACCTATAGTTCACTCAAAGTTTTCTCTAATGCTTAGAATGCAGGATTTCACCATCAATAGGAAAATTTCATTAACAAAAATTTCCAAGCTGCCATCTTCAATTTTGTGACCTGATATTTCAAGAGCACCATAATCCCTAAAATTCATTTTCTTCCTCTTAGAAAACAAGAGGGAGGCTTTATTCAAGTATGTCACCATGTTTGCTGGGCTGCAAGCTCATTTGGAACAGAGGCAAGGTTTTTCTGTTTGGCAGGCATGCATAGTTGATTTTAAAGAGCACTTTGGTTTTATTTTTAAGTTAACATTTATGCAATTATTGTGGGATCACTTTTATTAAGGATTAGATCAGAAAATAAGTGGTGCTGTTTACTCATTTTATAGCAATGGCATACCAAAATGGTTGATCTAAATGTCTTCTTTGGTTTGCAGAAAAAGTGCCATTTTGTTAAGTAGGTGGCTTTTAAACAGCAGTACTACTTGGCAGCGCTCATTCAGAAGTGATTCTTTCCATCAGTTTAAAACACAACATGAATTACAAGCAGAGAAAAAATATACTATTTCCTTGGGTGTTGACTTTCCTGGCCCCACGCTTTCAGCTCTTGAGGAGTAAAACTCTCACAGAATCTGTTATAAATCTCAAGATGTCTCATGACCCATGTGATGTTCATTTTACTAAGAAATAAAATAAAATAAGAAGTACTCAGAGCAGCTGGAGAAGAGAGAGGTAATTTGAGGGCATTGCTACACTTTGTCAATTAGTATATGAGTCACTCAGATGGAAGGTATCACACAGAGGGCTCAGAGGAAGAGTTTATTCTAAAAGGCCACACTAAAGAGTAAGACAGAGTGGTCTTCTCTGAACAGCTAACTAATGCCTCTAGACAGGGGTTGACAAACAATGACCCTCATGAGCCAAATCTGGCCCACAGCCTTTTTGATTATCTAGGGCTGCCTTTGAGCAGCAACAGCAGAGCTGGGTAGCTGCATAGAGACCTTAAGGCCATAATGCTTAGGATAGTTACTAGTTGGCCCCATAAAGTCTGCAGACCCTGGCTCTAGAGAACAGCCCTGGAAGCTGGGTGTACTTCTAAGTGTTAAGGTAACTTACCTAAAGACAGATTGGAAAGTTATAAAACTATAAAATAATAGTAATAACAATTTTCATTTGTATAGCATCTTTAATTTCTCTAGGTACTCAAACATATTCTTGGAGTTGCTTTCAACAATTGGTTAGGTTATAATATGATCAAACAGAGAAGACTTTCGTTGACATCCAGATGCCATGACTGGGGTTGGGGGGAGGTAGATGAATCCTCCCCTCAGAGGGCCTCTGAGAGGCTGAATGATAACTGAAGGAGAAAGTTTTCTTTTAAGTTCCTAGTGTCTTCTGCACCCTTAGGATCTTATATGATACATAGCAGATGGTTTAAAATTCATGCATTTTAGATTAGTGTTAAGCTTAATTCTTAGTTTTACACACAGTTTCTGCTAAAAAGCACATCAATGTCAAAGCAAGGACCTGGAATAGGAAAAGCATGCAGAAGAAGTGATCAAATTCTAGAATCACGGGAGGCCAATGAGATATAGAGAATATGTTAATGAGCTTGGGCATGGTGGATATGTGCCAGCCTTTGGACTTTTGCTATTTCAGATGAAGCCCTCTCTCAGATCATCAGAGGGCTAAGGATTATGTAATCTGGCAGCTGTGAGGGGGTCATCTTTGCTACCACAAAGAGAGATGGTGCCTAAGAAAAAAGCCAAGAATGGACAGAGCTAGGAGACTGTGGGAGACACCAGGAGAGAGGAAGGAGAGAGGGTGAGACAGACTGAGTCCTGATAACATAATGAGGATTTACAGTCAAATTTGTCTGAAGGAAACTTCTGTAATTTTCATGTATATCAGCCAATAAATTCTCTTTTGTCTTTAACTTCTGTGACTTGATTTCTGCCACTCCAAACTGAAAGAGACCTAACTGATACGCTGAGAACATTTTTCTACTGTTAATAACTAAACCTTTATTAACAGATATATCATTTCAATTGTAGACATGAGCAAATATACAGGGTTCAAACATTTTCCATCAAAATCAGTAGCAGGGAAGGGCAAGGCAGGACCAAAACCATATTGATGCACCATGTTTAAATTCTAGTCTTAAAGATACCCAAGAATGGGACTCTGTTGCTAAGCTTATGTGAGATGTTTCTGAATTTCGTTAAGGGAATTCTTCTTATTTTATAATTATAGTGCTGGAAAATATTTTGTTTTCCTAGTAGTATTCATGATATTAGCCTTCCAGGGATTTGTCAAAAATACTATTTTTTGAGGTTTTATTCTTTGTTGAGGTTTTGTTTTACATCATTCATAGTTTTGGGCCAACTTCAAACTCCAGTGAATTATGTCTATCAGGTTTCTTTTTATTCAAATACTTTATCTTCTTTTTTATTCCCAAGATACATGCTACTGCCTGCAGGGCTTAACAAAATTTGCTGGAGAGTTATTCTGTGATGTTTATGTATTAAATAAACAACGTTTTCCATCTGATACTTTTACCTGTTGGAACAGCTCAAGCATCACAAATTTAT
This sequence comes from Homo sapiens, assembly GCF_000001405.40. Classification (NCBI taxonomy): domain Eukaryota; kingdom Metazoa; phylum Chordata; class Mammalia; order Primates; family Hominidae; genus Homo; species Homo sapiens. Next base: position 200,440,807 of record NC_000002.12, on the reverse strand, counting down.
GGTTCCTACGTTGAATCACTCACCAGTTGTGTAATTCAGCAAAGGCAGCTTTGATCTTCTTCACGGAACTATCCACTTCTTCCTTAATCATGACGCGATATCTAGTTAGAGAAACGGTGCAGCGTTGCAAATCCTTCACTGATTTCTCAATATTTGGGCCTAAAATTGATGTCAAAAAATATTATTAACTTGAGCATTTAATCCTTTGTTTGTAAGCTAAACAACAAAACAAAGCAATTAGCCCACCAGAAAAAGGGACTCATCTTTTGTCTAGTAAAAGTTCCATCAGGAGAATGTTTGTAACCCAGTGTGGGTGGCTTGTGTGGCACCTGAGGCTGTTATGATTTCACCAGTGGGGTCTCTGACTGGGCCATCTGGGGTACGCTTGTCTCCTGCACTCTTTGGAAGGAGGCTGTCATCATTATATTCTATCACAAACTGCAGTGCCTTAGAATCTGATACGTCTAAAGACCATTTGTGCTGCTGGCTCTCTCTATAAACACCACTTTGCGTGGTTAAAAGCCAGCAGGGCTTTTGGAAGAGGAAAATGACACAGAGACTGGGAGAGGTACAAATGAGATAGAGAGAGGATGGGGCATCAATGCCAGGTACGCTGGCACTGGCCCCATCATCCGAAGCCAGGCCTGTAATTAGAGCAGCAGCATTGAAAGCAGCTCTATGGGTGCCCATCTCGCCTGATTTCCTGCAACTGTCACCAGGGTCTACAGATAGTACATCACAAACAGGCAGATTGTACTTATCACAATCAGGCCATGTTTGGTAGAAGAAAGAAATCCCCCTCAAGAAAAATGAGAAAGTAGATCAAACCAAAGCCAAGGAAATCAGATACAACTGAGGCTGAATGAAAAGAATAGTATTTAATCTTCTGGGAATCAGAAAGGAAGTGATTTTCATTTTTAATACCAGTTACGTATCAAGTATATCCAAGCTCAGAAAAATCATAAAAATCCAGCGTGTCAAATATAAAACCCTCTTTCAATGTTACATTGTGTGTAAATTCTAACACAGAACTGAATTTACATTGGGAAGACCATATCTGAAGAACATATACCAGCCTCCAGACTCATCTTTGTTCAATGCAAGTCAAGCAATTGTGTATCAGGGAAACATGAGTCCCTTTTAGCAGTTACATTTTTAAAAGAGCTCCTGAATGAGCACTTGCTTTATAAGATATTAGGATAGAAGGTACTTGTGGTGTAAGTTTATCCATGCCTACAACAAGAATGGTCTCAGAGGGGCAGAGAAAGGAGATGTAATTCTATTTAAATATTCAAGACCTTTGATTACATGGGAGGAATCACCTCTGCCTTTCCATCTATGTGGGTCACAGAAAAAAAAATGCAATTTCATGTGCATCTCTCTTCACTAAGCAGCATCTTTTGGAAAGTTCTGTCACTCTGGCACTTTTCTGTATGTGCAAAATATGTTGAATCATTTGTGCAAAAGAAATCACTTTACCTCTTTTCTTTGCCAACTCATCTGGCTTTATTTCAAGATGAGCTGCAGGGGTATTGGACTTAACAGGAGATGTTTTTGCCTTAGGCTTGCTTGGGTTACAAGGCTGCTCAGCTGACCACTGTAGGCCATCTGACCTCTCTGTTGTTCCATGTATAGGTTTGGGGTTCCCATCTAAGGATAGTTTCTGTTGCAGTAGTCTGTTGCCTTCTGTAAGAAAACACCAAATAATGACTGTGAAGTGATAAACTAAAAACACTGACGATAAAGTGATGGAGGATGCCAAGATTTTTGTTTTTGTTTACATATTGGCAATAATGCCTTTCATTGCAAACAGTCAAGAAACTGTTTTAAAAGAATCCCCAGAAGATTAGAGGGTGTACTAGAAGAGCCTTGTATTTTGAGTAGAAAGACCTGGGCATGTTTTGGCTCTGGTAATTACTTGCAGAGTGACCCTGGGCATCTCTGAGCCCTAGTTTCCTCATCCATAACTATCCAGGAAGGTTATTAAGAGGCTTATAGAAGATGAGCAGTGCCTTTTCCCCCCTGCTATTCCAGTAAAGGCTTATGAGTCTTTTAAGTACAATTTCATATTGAGGCTATAAAAATGTAGCCCTCCTATCTCCAAGTGCTACATTAATGTCTTGTGATATTTCATTCCGAATTAATGAAGGCAGAAGCGTGACTGGAGATAGAGCAAAAATGAAGTGACAACAGATACTATAATCATTGCATCTAATTTATGGAGGGCTTAAATCAGAAAACATCATCATAATATCTCAACTATATTTAAAATCTAGGGAGTCAGATTCTCTCTGGAGATTTAATAGATGTGGCAATCAATTAGCAGGATGTTGCTTTTGGCATCTTTTAAAGGTAGGTTCCCATTTAGTTATTGCTGGAATGAATTAAATAGCATGTTAGTGGCCTGAAACGGAAATGTATCACTCTTAACATCTTACTACCAGAGAAAGTTTTGGGTGTGAGAAAAGGGAAGCCAGTGTGCTCTTGAAGGCCAGGTTCTTGTAGAAAGCTTGATGAGTGCAGTTTTGATCTAGGAGAACCAAGTTCTGGTATTCCTTATGTCCTGGGTGACCTTGTGGGAATGTCTTCACTTGTCTGGCTGACTGGCTTGCACTCAAACAGAACACAGTCATCTTTGTAAAACCCAGCCTTTTCAGATAGTCACCCTTGCCCTGCTTCTCTCTACTCCCATGGTACCTTGCTTTACTTAAAACCATGGTACCACGGTTTTATATTTTAACACAAGGCTTCCATATCTGCCCCTCACCCCTGCCTTGCAGAGGCTGCAATCTTCCCAAGGGCAAACACTGAGTTCAATTCTGTTTTGAAGCCCTAGTACTTGTGTCTGGCTCGATGGCTTTCTGTAGAATTATGATCTAATTAAAGTACATTTGAAACAATTTCATAGAAAAAAATAAAAAACAATGAATATCTTACCTGACACAGTCAGAGACTACACTTGAAAAAATACAAAGGAATATGATCTAGGTCCTAGTCAATTTGATTTTAGACATTAGTCCATTCATGATCAATATAATTAGACTTCAGTTGAATCCATCATTCATAACTTACATATCAAGAAAGCACAACATACTTTCTATGAGCTGAATGAATACCCTTAAAAATTTACTCACAGTACACAAAATGTTCAGCAAAGGTAGTAAACAAAGTACATAAGTACTGAAAACAGCATTTCCTCCAGTAATAAAACAGATTCAAATGGTAGTATGCAATTTTATCCTTAGTGATATTAAGGTAGAACTTCACTATAAGGCACTGGCTGTCAAACTTCAGTGTGAAATGAGTTTCCCTTGGTACTTATTACACATGCAACTTCCCGAACACCATTTCTAGAGATTCCAGTTCAGCTGTGGGCCCAGGCTTCTCCTCCCCAGGTGATTCTGTTGGAGTGGAGATGGGTGGTACCAGCCACCCAGAGAAACCCTACTGTAAAAGATTAAAAAACTAATTTTATGTTGAGTCTATAAACATTTGTGTTAAAACAATGACACGTCCAAACTGGTTCCAAGTCACTACCTCTCTAAATTCCAGTTGAGAGGCAGTCTGGATGAGATACTATAAATTGAGAATTCTGGGTTAGGCTGTTTTTGCATTGCTGTAAGGGAATACTTGAGCCTGGGTAATTTTTAAAGAAAAGAAGTTTATTTGGTTCATGGTTCTGTACGCTGTACAAGAAGCATGATGCCAACATCTGCTCAGCTTCTGGTGAGGGCCTCAGGAAGCTTACAATCATGGCAGAAGATGACTGGGAGCCAGCATACCACATGGTGAGAATGGGAGCAAGAGAGTGAGGGGAGAGGTGCCACATACTTTTAAACAAGCAGATCTCACATGAAGTAACTGAGCAAGAACTCGCTTATCACCAAGGGGATGGTGTTAAACCATTCATGAGGGATCTGCCCCCATGATCCAATCACCTCCCACTGGGCCTTACCTTTGACATTGGGAATCACATTTCAACATGAGATCTGGAGGGGACAAACATTCAAACCATATCAAATTTAAAACACAGATCTTCGTGTATAGTGTCGTAAAGAGATCATATTCTTGAAAATAAGGGGATTTATACTATAACTTAATGGAAACAATGACCTTAGAGCAGAGGGAAAAAATTATTGTAATGAAATGCAAAAGAATTTTAAATGGAAGCCAAGCATGCAAATGAGCATAGGCTCATTAACCTAGAGCTGAAAACATTTTATTTGTGTATCAGAGAACTGATATATGGTCTACTGGTTCGTTTCAACATTCCCCATCAGATATCAATTGAGAAATGTGAGTAGAGATTTTTTTTAGGTCCTCAAAAGCTGTCTCATTACTAGTGAAATCACTGAACATTAAAATCTTCAAGACCACTTGTACATATTTGCATATATGCATGTATGTCTGACATGCATGTATGTCTTGTTCATCATTACTGCATGTGTTTGATATCTTGCAGATACATAATAAATAATGAATGTATCAGTGTTACTTTAGTATAGATCTGTCTTCAAATATAGTAAAACTCTGGGACTCTTGCAGATGAAAACTGGTGGAGCGTTATAGAGCTATAACAGAAAGTCACTGTATCCAGTGACTTTCCTCTAACATTATAGTCCAGAAATACCATCAGCTCTCCATTTATCGGGAGTCCACTTGTAAACTTCAACAGGTTGTAGCTCAATGGGGGCTGATTCACACATAAGCCTCCAGTGTCCAGTAAGGTAGCCACTGGCCACATGTGGCTGTTGAACACTGGAAATGTGGCTTGTCCAAATTGAGATGTGCTATAAGTGTAATGTATATGCTGAAATGTGAAGGTTTAGTACAAAATAAAAAATTTAAAATATTACTTTAATAATTTAAAAAAGATTGACTACATGTTGAAATGATATTTTTGATACATTAAGTTAAATAAAATATATTACCCAATTTAATTCACCTGTTTACACTTTTTAAATGTGGCTACCAGAAAATATAAAATTATATACATACTATGTGTTAAATTTCTGTTGGATAACACTAATAGGATACACAAGGAGTGTGAGAGTTTTGATCTTCAGTGTGTAATCACTACTAATTTATATTCTAGAAAAGGGTATTTGTTTTAGTGAAGCCTTAAAATATCCTCTGCAATTTCTACATGAGAAAAGTGGTGACAGGGTGATGTATGTCTTGTTCATCATTACTGTATGTGCTTGGTATCTCGTAGATACATAATAAATACTGAATGAATGAATCAGTGTTACTTCAGTGCTATGCATGCCTACGGCCCTTCCAGTTGTAGGGAGCCTCGTTTGATATGAGTCTCTGGCTGTGTCTTTATCTAATATTCATCAAATATTAGATTCCACAGTAGCCGTATCTTGGAAAGAAAAGTTATCTCTGGAAACACACCATCTGCCTAGATTTCAATAAAAATTGTATACATTTTAATTTAATCCTTGTCCATGTATCTAAAAATGGCTCCTAGAAGTTTGTGTCTTTGAATTTAACTATTACGTGAGCATTCCTTTTATTGAAAACACTTACCAAATCCCAATTTTGTATATACACACAAATGGTATATAATGTCCTGAGTATCACGTTGGTTTCTGATTCAAGGATTCAACAGACACATATGGAGAGTGCACAGTGTATCAGCTCTGGTTTATTAATAGGCAATAAATGAGAAATAGACTGACCTTAATAACTAGTATGTAAAATGTGAAAAAATAATGGAAGAGGATACCAGAGTAAATCTGAATTGAACTTTCCCATTGAATTGTCTTGGTACCTCTGATAAACATTAACTGACTATATGCGTGACTATTTCTGGACTGTATTCTATTCCACCGATCTAGCTGCCAGTTCTCACACCACCATTACACTGTCCTAGTTACTGTAACTGCTTTACTCCTCTTTTTCAAGATTGTTTTGACTATCTTAGGTCCTTTGCATTTTAATATAAATTTAAGAATCAATTTGCCTATTTCAACAAAAAATATGATGAGATTTTCATTGGACTTGTGTTGAATCTATAAAGCAATTTGGGGATATGCGGTATCTTAACAATACTGAGTCTTTTGACCCTCGACATGACATACTATGCCATTTATTTCAATTCTAATTTGCTTTAGCATCATTTTATAGTTCTTAGAGTCTTGTGCATCTACAGTCAAATTTATTCCTAGGTGTTTTAGAATTTTTATGTTATTGTTTATAGCATTTTTAAAAATTTCAATTCCAAAATGTCAGGAATACAAATGCTTTTTAATATATTGAACTTATATCTAGCGACCTGGCTAATGTCCTTATTAGTTCTGGCAGCTTTATTTTTTTTTGTAGATTTCTTAAGATTTTCTTTCTACAAACACAATGATGACAGTGGTAATGAAGTCTAACTTCTTCTTTTCCAATCGTTCCTTGTCTTATTAATCCTAGCTACAAAGCAGAATGAGCATCCCTGCATTGTTCTGGGTCTTAGGGAAACTGCATTCAGTATTTTATCAAGTATTACACAGCTGTAGAGTTTCCATGTATTTATTAGACTCTAAAAATTCTCTTGTATTCCTTCTTTGCTGACAGTTTTTGTCAAGTGAATTTTTTATTTTACACACTGAGATGATCATATTATTGTTCTCCTTTATTTTATTAATAATATTATGTTGATTTTTTTAAATGTTAAACTGATGTTGAGTTCCTGAAATTATTAACCACACCCACTTGGTCATGCAGTATTATCCTTTTATATATTGTTTACTTCACTTGTTAATGTTTTGTTGAGGATTTTTGCTTCTTTATTCATTAACAATATTGTTCTGTAATTTTCTTTTCTTGTAATGACTTTGTCAGGTTTTGATACGAGTTATGCTGGCCTCATAAAATGAGTTAGGAAGTATTCCTTCTTTCTATTTTCTGAAACTGTTTAAGATTGCAATTACATTTATTCCTCAAATGTTCATGGGAATTCACTAAGGAAGTCATCTGGGCCTGGAAATTTTAATTATGAATTTCCTTGGTAAGCATAGTGTTATTCAGATTTTCTATTTCTTCTTGTCTGTTTTGGTAAGTTGTGTTTTTAAAGAATTTGTCCATTTCATTTAAGTTGTTGGATTTATTGGCATAAAGTTGTTTATAACATCCTGTTAGCTTTTAAATAAATGAAGTCAGGGTTAATTTTATCCCTGATATTGGAAATTGGTTTATTATATTTTCATTATGATTCAGTTCAAAATTTTTCTCATATCTCTTGTGAAATTTTCTTTTTGGCTAATGGATTGTTTAGAAGATTGATTAATTTTTAAATGTTCAGAGATTTTCTAGTTATCTTATTGCTATTGTTAATTCAATTCTACTGTGTTCAGACACCATACTCTTAAGATGGTGTTTTAAAATTTGAAACTAATTTTATGGTCCAGCAACTGGCCTATTTTAATGTAAATGCCATGTTCTCTTGAAATTGTTGGGTGTGTTGTCCTTTAAATATCAATTGGCTCAAGTTGGTTGATAGTATTGTTCAAATCGTCTATGTTCTTACTGATTTTTAATCTATATGTTCTATCAGTTACTAAGAACCTGATATTAAGATCTACACTGCTGTGGATTTGGATTTGTCGCTTTCTTTAGTTCTATATATTGCTGCTTCATGGATCTGGAATCATTAGATGCACATACATTTAGAGGTGTTATATCTTTTTGATCAATCAAACAACATATTACTATGAAATGACCCTTGGATATGAGGCTTGTTGTTTTTCATCAAATTTGGATAAACTGTGTCCATTATTTCTTCATAGCTTCCTCCTTCTCCCTGCCAAATTTCCTCTTTGCTCTCCTTCTGAGACTCTAATTACACCTATGTGAGACTGCCTGATACTGTTCCTTAAGTCACTGAGGCTCTGGCTTTGTTTTATTCTTTTACTTTTTTTCTCTCTGTTCTTCAGTTGGCATAGTTTCTTTTGACTTGTCTTTAAGTTCACTCATCCTTTCTTCTTCATCGTCTGAACTGTTGCTAAGCACACCTGATGACTTAAATTTTCTTTTTCTTCATCCATTATATATCCATCTTCTTTTTCCATAAAATTCTTAACATATTTTTAATTAGCAATCCTTGTCTGCTAATTCCAACTTCTGTGTTGTTAATGGGTCTGTTTTTAATGACTAATCTTTCTCTTCATTATAGGTCACATTTTCCTGCTCCTTCCCATGTCTAGTAATTTTTAAAATTGGACACTGACCATTTTGGATGATGCATTGAGAAACTCTAGATCTTCTTCTTTTCCTTTAAAGGGTTTTGACTTTTGTTCTAACGGGTGACTAATGTACTTGCAGATCACTGCCCACTCTCTTCCTCCCTTTTTGCCTTGAGGATAAATGTTAGGCAGCTAAAAGAACAAGTTGGGGGATGGAAGAGATGATAAGGGGATAGTGCACTGTTCCTTAAAATACCTTCATTTAATTCCTCTGCTTTATACTCCTCTTCTTGAGCTTGCCTTCCATCCCATGTGCTGACTCTGAACCCAGGGCTCCCCCAGTTTCTGCAGGGCAATCATCTTCCTCCCCACCAAAGCTCCTCCCTCTGTATTCTATGCTGCAGCATCTGATTCATCAATAAAGCCCCTTCCATCTACTTCCTTTCTTGTAGAAACTGATACCCTTTTCTCATTTTTTTCAGTATTGTGGATTTCTACATTTAAAAATTTCTTTACTATAATTTAAGGGAATTTGTTATGAAGTCAATACAAATTCATGCCTTTCTTTCTCTTGAAAAGTTCTTGATATGCTTTGCCAAATTATTTTTCAGTCAAGTTGTACCATTTACACTCAGCTGCAGTGCCTGCAATTGTTTTCATATTTAACTCTTGCCAACAGTGAAAACTATCAACTTACTGGTTACTAAATCTTAGTATCAACTTATATACTTTACTTGTGCTTAATTTATTTTATACAATAAATGAATTGTGCTGGTTGTTTTTGTTAGCAGTGCCAAAGAAAACAAACCCTCCTCTTGGGGGAAATATATAAACTTGGATTCAAAAGTTTTCATTATGTATGTACAGCCATGTGTGTATTCAAATTTGAAAGTTTCTGAAAAAGATTGTTTTCTCTTTAGTTTTTACTTTTTAGTGAAAGCTTGATATACTTATAAGTAGACTGAAGAAAGAATTCAAATCTAACTTTAAGAATTCAAATCTAACTGTAAGGAATGTATTAAACATAGAATAGTTCTAAAATAATTATTTTAACCCTTTGAGTTAAGATGGTTTCATTGTCTTCTATACACAGGTAATTGCAGCAAAGCACATCATCTGATCTTGAGTAAGTATTGTAAAGTAGTTGTATTTGGAAGAAACTGATAAAGAAACAAAGCATAACTTTGTTGTTGTAAAATTATGTCTAAAATTGCTAATGTCTATGTTACTTAAAGCAAGTTACCATTCTTTAAAAAGTACTTATGTGAATGTGATGGTGTTTTATGATACTTGATACCTGATAATACAATTGGTAGTTCTTTGGTAATTGATCTTTGTGTTCTTAAATATTTACAAAAGAAAAAATACAAATGGAAAAGAAACTTCTTAAAAAGTTCCATCCCTCTACCAATCAGTTTTAAAAGTAAAAACAATGAGATTAGTACAACCTTTCCGGACAGTAATATATTAATAACTTAAAAACTATTCATACCCTTTGAACCCAATAATTCTACTTCTAAGAATATATGCTAAGGAAATAATCATGGTTGTTCACACAAATCTATATACAAGAGATGTTCACTATAATATTCTTTATAAAACCAAACAATGGAGGCCGGGTGCGATGGTTCATGCCTGTAATCCCAGCACTTTGGGAAGCCAAGGTGGGCAGATCACCTGAGGTCAGGAGTTCCAGACCAGCCTGGCCAAAATGGCGAAACTCCATCTCTACTAAAAATACAAAAATTGGCTGGAAGTGGTGGCAGGCGCCTGTAATCCCAGCTACTTGGGAAGCTGAGGCACGAGAATCACTTGAACCTGTGAGGCAGAGGTTGTGGTGAGCCAAGATCATGTCACTGCACTCTAGCCTGGGTGACAGAGCAAGACTCTGTCTCAAAAAAAAAAAAAAAAAAAAGGAAACAATTCACACGGACAACAGTTTGGGAACAATTAAAAGAAATATGGCACATTCATAAACATGCAATGCAGATATTTAAATCACGTTTTTAAAGAACATTTAATGATATGAAGTAATGTTCATAATCTCACGTTAAGTAAAAAACAGAATACAAAGGTTCACAGGCCGTTTAATATCATTTAAAAAAAATCTACATATCTGTGCATTTTAAAAATTCTGAAATAAAATTTAACGGTGGTTGTTTCTGGGGGGCAGGATTGTTTCCTTTTTTTTTTCCTCAAACCTTACTGAATTTTCAAATTTCCTCAATTAGTGTAAAGTCTTTTTAAACCCAGAAACACAAAATCCATGATTATCTTTAAAAAGCAACATAGCAACTTACAAAAATTTAATTATCTTTAAAAAGCAACATAGCAACTTACAAAAATTTAATTAACCTACACTTCTCCATGTATTTTATCATTAATAATTCAATAGAGATAATGAGAAAGGATTGTGTGAGTGCCCATCTTTGTTCCAGGCCCCAGAAATACAATGGTAATGAAAGACAGATGTGGTCTCTGTCGTCACAGAACTTGCACTTTAATAGGAAGGTGTGTAAATCAAACCACCATACAAACAAATGAAAGATTGCAACTGTGGTGTTAAGAAAGAAAAGCATATAGTGTTCTGAAATCTGTAACTGGCATATTTGACCTGGGGATATCAAGAAAGAATTCCCCAAGGAAGTAAACCTAAGGTGAGATCTGAATGATCTCATCTGAAATCACATGAAATAACTAGTTGAAAAGAGTGGGAAATTGTACTCCAAGCAGTGACTACATTTGTAGGGGAGAAAGCATTGTGTGCCAGTTATCAAGTTATAGTGTCTCTTGGCTCCAGATCTACTCTTCTTGCCCTACTTTGTGATACTGGAGCTGGACCCTGTAAGCAATTCTCTTTTGCCAGCTAGTAGAATGTTAACTTTTGATGTCAGCAGATGGCAATAAAGTGACCCTGCAAGGCCATAAGAACAGGAGTATATCTCTCTTTGGGGTTCTGGATCTCTATTATTATTAATTATTATTATTCACAGGAACCCAGCAGCCATTCAGAGGAGCTCCAACCTACATCCTCGTGCCATTCCCCACCTCCCGCCACTGTCAGTGGCTTTGAGCAGCTCCAATCCATCTACACCCTCTGGCAATGGCAGCCTCTTAACAGAAGAGCTCAGTCTGTGCCCTTTGACAAGTTTCTTCACCACCACAAGGCTGCACGTTCCTCTGGTAGCCACACACCTTCTTCGATCAGGTCAGAATCTCAGTCTTGGCTTGGGGGCCTCCCCTAGGCCTTAGTTCCTTTATTGTCTCATTTTCTTCAGTACAGATATAGTAACTGCTCTCATGCTAAATGTGGACACCTTATGGTCCTCTTTTACCCCTTCTAGTAGTTAGTAACCTCCTACTGTTTTAATTAACAATGCTTTACATTACATTTCTCCTATTCAAATAACCAGTATGGTTCTTATCTCCTGACTTGATCTTGACTGATACACATGGCCAGTATGAGGGCCCAAACAGAGACCAGCATAGCTAAAGTAGAGAGGGCAAGAACGAATGTGCCATGCAAGGAGGGTGGAGTGGGACACAGGGGCCAGACTATGCTGGGCTTGCAGGACAGGGTAAGTCTTCTTGTCTTTATCGTAAGAGGTCAGATTTGTGTTTTGAAAAGATTACAGGATAGAGAATGATTTACAAAGGAACAAGGGTAAGTGCTAGGAGATTAATGAGTGGACTATTGCTGCAGTGCAGGCAAGTGAGGATGGTAGTTTTGGTGGGAAGGCAGGGGAAGAGACAGCAATGAATGAATTCTAGAAATACATGGAAATGAAAACCAACAGGAAATGGGGATAGACTGGAAATGGGGAGTGAGAAAGAGGGAGATGTCATGACTGATGACTAGATTTCTGGTTTGCACAATTGGATAGGTGGTGCACTAGGATCGGGAACACTAAAAGAGAGCCACGACTGGGAAGGGAGATGATGAGTTTGTTTTGAGCATGTTGTTGAAGTGCTTTGAAATATCAAGGTGAAAAAGTCAAAGAAGAGTCTGGAGTTCAGAGTGTAGCCAGAACTAGGAAGATGAGTTTGTGAGTCATCTTACATAATTAAAGCTAGAGTATGGCTGAAATAATCTAAGGACAGTGTGTAGCTTTATATGATGAAGGACCTGAGATCAAACAAGCCCTAGGGAGCTTCAGCAATTTAACAGCCAGGTAAGGAAGAATGACCTCCAAAGGGAACAGAGAGGAAGCAGTAAAGACAGAGGGACACAATCAGGAGAGTGTCATGTCATAGAAACCACAGGGAAACGATAGAGTTAAGGATAGGGTGGTTAACAATGCTGAATACTGCTAAAGGGAAAAAATAAAGATTAAAAAACAATGGCTAGATTCAATAATATGGAGGCCATTGCTAAACTTACCTATAACAGCTTACCTAGAGCAGTTTATTTGGAGAGATGGGGCTGAAAGCCGTAACAATGAGGTGATGAGTGAGAGGGAGGTGAAGAGTGGAGACAGGGAGTAAAGGTAACTCTCTGAAGATGTTACAGAATAATGGTCTAGTGATGAAGCCTCAAGAAAACTCCTTTTTTTTTTTGTTTTTGAGACACGGTCTCGCTGTCACCCAGGCTGGAGTGCAATGGTGTGATCACGGCTCACTGTGGCCTCGACCCCCAGCTCAAGTGATCCTCCCACCTCAGCCTCCCAAGCAGCTGGGACTACAGGCATTTGCTACCCTGCTCAGCTAATTTTTGTATTTTTTGTAGAGATGGGGTTTGCCATGTTGCCCAGGCTAAGAAAACCATTCTCTCATAATTATTATATACTTTGATTTGCAAGTTTCATCATTCTTCTATCTTTACATGACAGGGTAATAAACAAAAATTTGGGGAAACAATAACTTTGGAACAGAGACCAAAATAGACAGGTTTATGCAGCAGACACAATGTCAGTTCTGCCTTCTCATAATGTCTTTATCAAATACAGATATACTTTATTATTTCATTCAAATCCTATGAAGCTTGATGAGCTCAGAGGGCATAAAGGTGGTAACTTTCTGACTGGAATAACATCTTTAGTTTTATTTACATTCACTGTCTTTACAAGATCTTATATGTCATTAATACCTTAATAGGTTTAATATATATGTATATTATTATATATAATAATACATGTATATTTTATATATGTATATGCATGTTATATATGTATATGTATGTAATATATATGTATATGTATAACTTGATTTTTTCCACTGTCTTATTTCTCTGCAAAACAGGTTTAATTCTTATTGCATTAAAAAAAAGTTTTTAATTTTTAATTTTTGTGGGTACATAGTAGGTTTATATATTTATGGGGTGCTTGAGATATTTTGATATAGGTATACAATGCATAATAATCACATCAGAGGAAACAGAGTTTCCATCTTATTGCATTTTAATAGAAACAGTTAAATCTTTGTTCAAAAATCTTAAGAAAAATTTTTGAAAGCCTTTTGATCTTTGTAAGTGGTACATTCCATTTAATTAAGTCCATTTGTAACTGAAATCACCATAACAAGGAGTGGGTGGGAAGTTATAAAGGTATCAGCTATTCAGAGATGAGTAGTTTTGTGTTTTTGCTGTACAGTTGCAGCAAAAACACTCTTGAATGAGAAAGAGAAGAGAGCCCAGGTGACCGAAAAATACCTGAGGGGTTTTATGTTTCCTGTGCCCTCCTATCACTACATCCTGTGTCTGTCTCTTTCTGCTTTATCATACATAAAGAAAGGAAGCAGAGCTCTAAGTCACTGCAAATGCAATCTAAGATACCAAGTTACTTGAAGCTGAGGTTGAGACTGAGAAAAACACAACTGTAAATGGGAATTAATACCAAGTATTTAAATTAAAGATGAATGAGAATAGTAATTATGTGCTTTAAAATATAAACTTTATTTTTATTTTTTGAGGCGGGGTCTTGCTTCATTGCGCAGGCTGGGGTACAGTGGTGTGATCATGGCTTACTGCAGCCTTGACCTCCTGGGCTCAAGTGATCCTCTCACCTCAGCCCCACAAGTAGCTGGGAGTATAGGCATGGGCCACCACACCCTGCTAATTTTTAAGTTTTTTTAGAGCCAACTCTCACAATGTTGCCCAGCCTGGTCTTGAATTCCTGGGCTCAAGTGATCCTCCTGCCTTGGCCTCCCAAAGTGCTGGGATTATAGGCATGAGCCACTGTGCCTGACCAAAATATAAACTTCAAAAATGCATGCTCATATGATAGTACTTAACATCAGTTATATATATGTTAATAGAGTATTAGATCTTTAATAACAAAAAATAGTAAAGGCCGAGGTGGGCAGATCACAAGGTCAGGAGATTGAGACCATCCTGGCTAACACAGTGAAACCCCATCTCTACTCAAAGCACAAAATATTAGCTGGGTATGGTGGCATGCGCCTGTAGTCCCAGCTACTTGGGAGGCTGAGGCAGGAGAATCGCTTGAACCCAGGAGATGGAGGTTGCAGTGAGCTGAGATCGCGCCACTGCACTCCAGCCTGGGTAACACAGTGAGACTCCATCTCAAAAAAAAAAAAAAAAAAAAAAAAAAGTAAAAACCTATGGTTATAATTCTATAAGGGCTTCAGCTAAGGTACTTAATAAAAGTTTAGATAAAACACTGGCTGTTCAGACCACTGTAAGTTGGCATGAGAGAGCCTGAATTGAAGCACTGGGATCTTAGCTTCAATGTCTCCAGACACTTACGTCACAGTGGGACCTTCTATGGAATTGCTGCATACACGCACTCTCCAGCTGCCCTTCTACATGCTGCCTTTATAACATTTATTACACTCTAGAATTATGTTGGTAACTCAGTTGTATTCTGGTTTATTATCTACCTCTTCTCCCCATCCCCCGCGACCCCAAAGAACGTAAACTCCCCAAGAGCAAAACCTTTGTTGTCTTGTCCGCTTCCTGTAGAAGAATTCCTGACACATGTTGGATGATTAAAAATATTTACTCAATGGATAAATGAATGATAAGAGGGTTTACCCGATTCCAGATGCTGAGCTAATCACTTTATATATCTCATTTACTGCTCACCACAATATTGTAAAGTGGACGAATGTTCTTTATTTTGCAGATGAGGAAAGTGAGATGCAGAGTGGTTAACCTGTCCAGGGTCACACACCTCATAAGTGATGAGGCCAAGATTTGAAACCAAACATGTCTAACGCTAAAGCCCGGGTTCTTAGCTGTGATATTGTATTGCTTCCATTTGAGAGCTGGCACCGCTGAAATCCTAGATACACACATTTGACTTTTACTATTAAAGTTCTAAGCTGGCTGCTTTCTTTTTGTTGATCTTTGCTAATCCTCTGTCCAATATAGGGCTTAGAGAAGCAGGGGAGGTAATCTTGAGGCCAGGACCAACAGCAACATAAAAAAATCTGCTTGAACAACCTGTGGGGAACCGCCTACCACAATGATACTGTGAAATGGTGGTGAGGTGTTTTTGTTGTTGTTTGTTACAGGAAGCACAAATGGCGGGGGGGGGGGGGGGCGGGGGGAACTAACATTCTAAAGGCACAGGAGCCTTTCTCTCACATTTGGTTCAGTTCACTTGAGGATGAGAAAGCAGCTCTGCGCAGGTGCTGCGCCCAAGCACAGAATCTGCATTGCTAAGGTAAAAACGACAGGGCTGTTCCTGCTTTGTGGTACAGGGCAGGCTGTACAGTCCAGCTCGTGAAGGTCAGCAAGCATGGCATGGAGCCTTCTGTTCCAAGGAACAGGGACCGAAGACTTGGTTTCCCAGGATGCTTTACACGAGGAGGCAACATAAAGGCCGGCTGCTGGGTCAGCAACAGGAGCTCAAGAGAGGGAAAGCCCTGCCCCAGTTTATCTCTGGGAAGCTGCTGATGGCCCACAGTCCTGCTCCTGGAATTCCTATTCAATGGGAATTGTGTCCAGTGGGGTAAAGACAAGAGAGGAATCTGAATTCCTATTCTGGCCTAAGTGGAGACAAGTAAATGCTATACATTTTAGCTTATGAGCCTCAGGAAGCATAGGGCAGGAGGAACATTTGGGAAAATTAGACCCTAAGGTCAACATGTGCTTTAGACATTTAGATAGGGTCTTAGAAAAAAGTATTATCCTTGGCACTACTTTTAGTAAAATAATTTTGTTTGTTTGTTTTTGTTTTTGTGATAGGGATTTGCCCTGTACCCCAGGCTAGAGTGCAGTGGCACAATCATAGCTCACTGCAGCCTCAAACTCCTGGGCTCAAAGGATTTTCCCACCTCAACCTCCCAAGCAGCTGGGACTACAGGTATGAGCCACCGTACCAAGCTAATTTTTCTTTTTTTTTTAAAGAGATAAGAGCTCGCTATGTTGCCCAGGCTGGTCTCAAACTCCTGGCCTCAAGTAATCTTCCCACCTCAGCCTCTGAAAGTGCTGGGATTACAGGTGTGAGCCACTGTGCCCGCTCGGCAAAAATAAATCTTGATCTACTCTTTGCCTGATTTTGTATTTGAGCCCAGGATGATTTTGATTGGATTATGTAAAAGATCCAATTTGAGCTGTTATTAAAAATTCTGAGATACAGAAAAAAACTACTCTCAGGCTTAAAACATACTCCTAAACTTCTAAACGATCTGCTGACACACAGCATTGTCCCACTTGACAGTGCTATATTTACAGCCTGAAATGATGATGCTTTTGGTGGTGATTTTTCATGTAGGAAGTCACACTAACACCCCTGAGCCACCTGCATATATCTTAAAGCTAACTTTTCCCCTACCAAAAAATGATTCTGTTTAAGACTTTTAAAAAGAGAGATCCTGAATGTCAAGGTGTTATAAAAAGATAAAACACGCATCCCACATGTTCACAGCCTCCTGCCCAGTGGGGCATTCAGGGCAGGCTTTGTTGAGCTAGTTTCATTATTGGAGGGCTTGATAAATGCTCCACTATAGTAGCCTGGCGATTTCTTTTAGGCTTATGCTGTGAACTCACTCAAGCACAGAATATCATTATGTGGCTTTGTTATTGTGACTTTTTTCTAATTTTTCAATTACACATTTTTTTTTAGGAGTTAGGTAACCCATGGTTTTAGCAGTAACTCTCCATTACCTGATAAAATTACATGGATTTGAGTCAGCCTTTTGCAAACTACAGAGAGTTCAAGAGGGTTATCCTCTGAACTTCTCAATCCAGGAGCCTTGGTTTCTTCAGTTATAAAGTGGGGAGCCAGGATTAAAGTTTCACTCTCATCCTCTCTAGTTCCAACATTCTACTCAAAATGGGGTACAGAGTGTCTACAGCTTAACACTCATCTGCAGAATACCTGTTAGAGCTCTTGCGATTGCCAGTAGATTGAGCAAGCATTTTAAAGCCATTAGATAGTTTTGCCATCAACTTTCTGATGAACCTTCATAATTTGAAGGCAGGAAAATCTAACTACAATAGTCCTCCCATATTCACAGTTTCAGTAACCCATGGTCAACTGCGGTCCAAACATAGCAAACAGAAAATTCCAGAAATAAACAACTCATTAAGTTTTCAGTTTCATACTGTTCTGAGTAATGTGATGAAATCTTGTGCCATCTCACTCTGTCCTACCCAGGATGTGGTCATGCCTTCGTCCAGAGTATCCATGCCATATACGATACCTGCCCACTCGTCACTTTAGTGGCTGTCTTGGTGATCAGAGTGAGTGTCATCGCATCTCATCATGCAGGCATTTTATCATCTCACATCATCACAGTAAGGATGTTTATAGTGCAATAAGATATTTTGAGAGAGAGAGAGCAAGAAAGAGGCCAGTATATTGCTATAATTGTTCTATTTATTATTGGTTATTTTTAATCTCTTATTGTGCCTAATTTATAAATTAAACTTTAGCATAGTATAGTATAGTACAGGAAAAAAACAGTGTACGTGATTTCAGGCATCCACTAGGGGTCCTGGAACCTATCTTCCAAGGAAAAGGGCAGATTACTATAGCTAAAAACTCATTTTAAAATTTATAATCATAACAAATGGGCTGCTAACGAAATTAAGGGCCAATAAGGAGAATTTGCTTCCTTTTGCAAGAACATCTACTAACCTTCCATTACCATCATTTCTTCTTCCTCCCCCTTTTTTTTTTTTTTTGAGGAGTCTTACTCACTCTGCTGTCCAGGCTGGAGTGCAGTGGCACGATCACAGTTCACTGAAGCCTCAACCTCCTGGGCTCAGGTGATTCTCCCACCTCAGCCTCCCAGGTAGCTGGGAGTACAGGCATGCACCACCAGGCCCAGCTAATTTTTGTATTATTTGTAGAGATGGGGTTTTGCCATGTTGCCCAGGCTGGTCTTGGACTGCTGGGCTCAAACAATCCTCCCGCCTCAGCCTCCCAAAGCGCTGGGATGACAAGTGTGAGTCACCAAGCCTGGCTCATTTACTCTTTAACAGAAAAATTTATTGCACAGACATTTGTAATGAATCAGTAACATTAACAAATAATACCAACACACCTCAATGCCTTCATGCTATACTTAAAAAACAGAAGGGAGAATGGGATCACTGTGCAAGAAATAATTCTTCACAGAAAGTTTCATGTGAGGGTTTCCAAAAGCCCCCTTGTACCCATTCCCCTGGTGGGTACTTAACTTTCAAGGCAGCTGTCCACTGGGAAGGGAGGCACTTCTATATTGCATTTGCTTTAATGTCATATACTTGACAGAGTTACTGACATTGTTTTATAAAGAAGGTATAAATTATAAGTAAATGAAAAAATATATATGCTAAGCTTTTAGTCTATGATTGATATCAAAATGGCAACTTGAGTAATTGGATTTTGAAAGTAATTCATGTGAAAGCAATAACAAGTTGGGAATCTGCCACTCGATTATTTAATTTCTTTCTCTTGCTCTGACTATAAATCAAAACAGTCTCAAAATTGTAGGCACAGTGAAAATTGAATTAAAAAAATTTCTGGAGAATTCAGATTCAAAATGAAATAGGTTATTTTTGTTGTTGTCATTGTTCGGTTTTAGGAAACCATCATGAAGTGAGTAAGGATGACATGAGTTTCAGCACTATTAGTGGAGTTGTTAGGAAATGTGTTTCTGGAAGAAAATTTGTGCTTTGTGAGCAATTTAAGAACTTACTAGTGTATTACAGAGTGTGCCAGTTATTTAATGCCTTCTCACTGCCACCCTGATTTGGTACATGTCACCATTTGCTTTTCTGTTTGCACCTCCATCTCTTCTGGTAGTCTAAACTTTTCTTAGGCATGGATGTGTCTTACTCATCTTTGGTTTGTCAGAGAATAGCAGTGTGTCATATATAGCAGGTGTGCAATACCTGAGGGCACTCAGTAAAGTTCTCTTTACTTCTCTCTAACCCTCCAAATCCTTTTTACCACCTCAGTTCTATTGGTCCTTCAATACCCAATGCTCCCAGGAAATCTCCCAGGAGCACTCAGTCGGATACTGCACCTCTCTTCCCCAAACCTTAAACTCACCAGTGAACCTATAGCCTTCTCTTCAAGGATATCAGAATGTGATTCCATCAGGGCCTAGACCATATCATATCCTTCTCTGAATCTACTGTGGCATCTAGCACAGTGCTCTGAATATAACGGGAGTTTAAAACGCCACTGATTCTACAAACTCATGATTTTATAACTAGAAGGACTTTGGGGGTCAACTAGTGTAGTGATTCTCATCAAAGGATCTACCACCTTTTAGGAGGCATTCTGAAAAACTGAGCGGGCATTTTTAAAAATTAGCAAAATGATTGTGTGTGTGTGTGTTGGCGGTGGGGTTGGGGGGCAGGATGCTAGATGACTTGCAATCCTGGGAATGTCATACACAACAAAGAATTAATCTGTGTCCTGAACTTTCTCATGTTCCCCTGGACATTCATGATTTTAAAAAAATATATATATAATTATGTGAGTCTAGACAGTTTTACTACGGATTTACAACATTTGTTTGGATTTCCAAGATTCAACTATTGCATAAATTAAAGGAAGATGGTACTTTATGATGTTTAGAACTTGACTAAGAATTTTTGGCCATGTGGAAAACCACATCAGCAGCCATGATATTAGAGCTGACACCCATTACCCTAAATTGGACTGCATTTGTAGCAGGTGCATTCACAGTGATTCCATGTTATATACAAATATACGTATTGAGCTCTTACTGTACATGTCAAATGTAAAACAGTATCCACAATATCCAGCTGACTACTGCCTTACTTCATTTAATTGCAAAGTGATTCATTATAAGTGGGTGTAAAAATCTGGCCTCTTTATTGAGCCTTCTATTTTAGTTTTTCCTGAATGTCTTATATTTTTATTTATTGAAATTCTGTTTCTAGGTAGGTTATATTATGCATGAGATTTATTTTAACATTTGTTCTAAAAATGGGGCATTGGGTCAGATAGTATTGAGAAGCACTGATCTAGTAGATTCCAATGCAGTTTCCTTATTTTTCAGAAAGGAAATGGGACCCTAGAGTAGATGATGTGCCCAAAGTCAAACAGTGGATTAGGAAGTGGCCTTTTGAAGAGTAATAAATATATAGCTATAGCACAAATAATTAATGTTCCAGATTCTAACACCCTGGAAGATTATGTTCTGTCACATCATATAAAAAATACCAGCAGTTAAAATAATTTGGTCTGCCCTTTCTAAAGAAAACATTGAATAACATTTCTTTTTGTCATCAACTATTCCTTCATTACCCCAGGTGAATTCTAGCAAATGTGTCTATATAGAATATTTCTTTAAACTGGAATTTCCATTAAAAAAGACCTCTGACTGGCTAAGTGTGGTGGCTCATGTCTGTAATCCCAGCACTTTGGGATGCCAAGGCAGGATTGCTTGAGTCCAGGAGTTCAAGACTGCAGCTGCAGTGAGCTATGACCACACCACTGCACTCTAGCCTTGCACAGCAAGACCCAGACTCAAAAAAAAAAAAAAAAAAATCCTCTGACTTGGTGTAGAGCTAGATTGAGCATTTATTCTCTGCCCTGTTACATTCCCCTTCACCCCCAATCCTGGCTTCAGGAAGGCTGAATCGTACACACTGCAGAAAAACAACCTTCCATTTTCAACAACATCAACAGCAGCCCCAATGAGCTCCCTTTGTGCTCTTTTCATCTATGCCTTCCTAAGCAATTTTACTTAAGCATTACTGACCTGTGACCCCACGAAGTGCCTTTGAAGGTTCCTCAAGTATCGAGATCTTTTTCTCACGAGGGATAAGGGCTGGTTTTTCGTTAGCAGAATCTGTGGACGAGCTGTCCTTCTCGCAGCCATTCATGGGGCCGTTTTGAATCTGTGGTGGCTGCGGCTGCAGGGGCCCTGCCTCAGGCCTCTCCACCTTGTCTTTAGCATCTTTGTTGCCTTGATGCTGCTTGGACTTGCTTCTTTTTCTTTTATTGTTCTAGAATGAGAAACAAATGAGAACATAATATTCAACTCAGACTCTTGAAATATAAGGTGAATCTGAGAGATGAAAATAAGATATGCTATCTTTTTTGGTTCCTGGCTCTTCTTATAGACTGGATGAAGAATATTTACATCTTTATTAACCACCCAAGTTAATTTAAGTATCTTCTTTCTTATAGTAAGTTGTATAAACTTTCACCTCATAAACACAATAAAAAAGGTTCCAATAAAAGGAAGAAAAAAACAACAAGGAATGGCTTAAATAGCTGACATATTATTTGAGCAACTTGAGGTTCTATAGTAAAATCTGGTGATAACCATCCTGAAAAAATTTGATTTCAGTTATCCTGCCACTGGGGAGTAGCTCTCATCTCAAAGTGGTGAATGCTGGGGAGGCAAGGAGGCCACTAAGGTTCCCATCTGCTCGGCAGAAGGAGAGGTAAAGGGGAGGACTACTAGGGAAAAGGCAGGCAACTTCTTCTTGTAAAATGAGGACACAGAAGGTAGGTCCTTAAAATTCAGGTTGGGTCTCTGAAATAGAAACCAGTCAACAAGGAGATTCCTGGAATTGCTGTCATTGTCTAGGAAGTCCCAGGTAGCCACAGGATCCATAATCATCCCCATGATTATTTATTTATTTATTTATTTATTTATTTATTTATTATTTAATAAGGTCTCACTCTGGCTCTGTCGCCCAGGCTGGAATGCAGTTGTGTGATCACAGCTCACTGCAGCTTCAACCCCCTGGGCATAAGCGATCCTCCCACCTCAGCCTTCTGAGTAGCTGTTACTACAGGCATGCACCACCACATGCAGCTATTTTTTAAAATGTTTTGTAGATACAGGGTCTCCCTATGTTGCTCAAGCTGGTCTCAAACTTCTGGGCTCAAGTGATTCTCTTGCCTCTGCCTCCCAAAGTGCTGAGATTACAGGCACAAGCCACTGCGCCCTGCCATCCCATGAATATTTCAGCTGGAGCAGACAACAGCTTCAAGGTAATGCCAAAGTGATATAAGTCCCCCTTTTCCGGTGAGAAAGCCCCTGGACCTCTCGGCTGCTAGCTGAACAGCATTACAAGGCTTCATTTTATTTCCTTTGAAATAAAACCACCCTGCATTTTATACAATTGAAATTGTTTAGACCCCCCAATATCACAAGAGTCTAAAATGCGGAGTTTTACTATATCTCTCTTAAAATGCTCTAATGGTGAATACATGAGAATATCAAGAAAATTAAGAAGCTGTTGTTCCTAATTATGTTATATGTTTGACTTGATGTTGCTTTGTACCCAGTTGATACTCAGTGTACTCAACAAGCAGTATGGTACCAGCCCCGGCCAATCAGAACAGACGCCGACCCATAAGAAAGACCCTGTCCCACCTGCTGAATGAGTGCGTGCCAGCTGAACATCAGCGTGGCTTCGTTCTTCAACACATTTACAAAAGAAGTAAAAATAAACAGTTTTTTCTTCTCAATTCTCCTCCCTGCTTTTTTCCTTTGGAACCACAATCATGCCCCAGTAAGTGCTTTCCTAGGTGAGAGGTGTGTGTCCCAGGTTGAAGGCAAGGCCAGTGGCACTTATTCCCACAAAACACCCACAGCAGCTTCTGGCTCTCAAGCCTCACATCTACTTGGCTGGGAGACCATTTTCCTTTTCAACCTCCAGGAGGAAGACTCAGTAATGAGTTGGGTCTGCAGCTGCTGTCTGCTCTTTTTTTCACATCAGAAAAATCTAATACCCAAACCACACATTTGAAATTTTTCTATGTAAGTCTAAATACTGCCTTTCAATCACTTGCAAATCATGTTCATCTCACACAGAGGCCTGGGAAGCTATGATTAAAGACAAGCAGAGATTGTCAAAGATGGTGGCATACAAAGGTTAAAAAAAAAACTCATAATTTTCCTACTCTACATGAAACTAGGAGGAGAAAAACGGAAAGGATGATTCCTGTAATTTCAGTAATCTTCGGGTTTTATGAAAGTAATACTGTGTTATTGTTTGTTCAGAACCTGTTTTGCAGGCCTGTGATCTTCCCCCACTGGGAAGGGTAGACTGGCGTACTATATCCTGGGAAATCCGAAACACAAGGCCTTGCTGTGTCATAGCAGGAATGAGTGGAACAGTTACTTTGAAAGGAGCGGCACACTTTTGCTAGTGTGTATGCACAGACGCATCTCACGAGCTCCCAGAAATCCCAGGCCCTTTGTGACTCGACAAGAAAGCAAACCAGTTTGAATGGGACACAGTAAAATCCCCTTCCCTTTGTTCTCAAAGAGCAGTACGCCAGTGTTCAAGAAAGCCCCTTACTTACTATGGTTCTAAGGCATTTTCTTTTCTTCTTCTTTTATTAATGATCTACCTTAGAATTCGGCCAAAAAGCATCTCAGGGCAGCCTTGGACAGATTCTTTCAGGTGGAAAAACATGTGAAAATATATTTAGAAGTTTTCAAGTATCTTTAAAATACTCCTTAATTTTTTTCTTTGTGCTACAGGATACGTTCAGGCAAGTTAATGTTTTGAATCCTTTGAATTCTCCAGCTGGGCTCCCCTTTATACTTAAAAAAGAGAACAACTCTGGGACTTCTTAAGCACACCTGGTTGTTAAAAACACTGAGTAGAAAATAAGGGCATTACTAGTGAGAGTATCTGAGAGTATCTGCTAATTTCCGAGAGTCATGAATTTGGAAGCTTTCTGGGTGTATATATTAACATACTTGAAAGAAGCAAAAAATTGGCAGCCTTGTTAAAATGATAACAACCATGAAGGTTTTGATTGAAGATGTTACCAATTTACAATCAATATTAATCTTACCTTCTTTTTTCCTGTCATATTCCATTCTTTTAGAACTTGAATTGCACTGCCTAGATAAAGACAAAGAATCTTCAACAAATATTCACATCATAAAACACCACACAAAATTCATCTCTGTCTTTCCATCTTGGTAGCAGCTTTTTTTTTTTTTTTTTGGCTTTTTCATTTGTTTTGATACATCCTATCTTAATAAAAATGCCAGTTTCATTTTTTATTTCCCAGATTTTCATTTAATTCACTGTATGATCTTGGTTTTATCAAAATATTAAGCCTCACTACATGAAGCTTACTTTTTTATCATTATATTGTCGTACGGAAAATGAAATATATCTTGAGAATTTTCTAGCAGCTTTGTTGCCATAAGTAGAATTAAAATTATTCTGTTTGATATATGAATAAAAATACCTATAATCTTCTGAACCAAATATGGGATTCTGAATATTATTAACAATGTGAATCACAGCTTTCTGTTTGGCCATTCTTTCTCTTTCTCTGTCCCTATTCATATGTTCACATCTTGCAGGGGGATGAGGAAGACATATTACAATGATATTAGTTTCTCTAGAGTTAGCATGGATAGAGATGGGATGTGGTCTACAAGGCTTCTACCTTGAAACCAAAAAAAGTTCATTAAGTGAAAAGTTGGGCCCCAGGTTCTGTCCATCCCATTCACATATATCGGTAGAACTGCACTGACTCAGAGAAGATACCTAATTAAATTATATTCAAATTATATTAAATTATATATAAATTAAATGCCTAATTAAATTACAAGACATTAAAAAAATGTTTTATCGCTGGCCAGCTGCAATCCATGTTTCTCCATAGTCTAACAAAGTTCATTCATTCATTCCCACTGTGCTGAAGGTGGTTTCAATAACAAGTTATTGGTAATGAGGATATCAGTTGTTTTCAAATAAATAGGCACAGTATTTCTAAAAGAGAGTAGCTCTTTTAAGTATATTCTTTTAACAATTTTAAAAATTCTCATACAATCTAAATATACTAATAGCTCTCTAAAAGGAGTATGTTGGCCAAACAAAGATAAATTTCAGGCTGGTCTTTATAATAAATTTCAAATTAGTAGGGTCCTAATTATTGAGTCTACTGTCACTGTTAGATAAGCAGAAGGCCATATGGCTTTGACTAATGTTTAGACAGGCTAATAATTCCTATCTATTTAAAGTTTCCAACTCAACGCCCCTCTTAGACTTGTCTGAGTTGCATGTACTTGAAATAATAAGACTGCACCTAAAAGTAAGCTATAATTCAGACTTTTTATTAACTGGGTTGGTCTTTCTCTAATTTGTCCAGAGAATTAATGTTTCACAGCATTTTCCTTTAGAAGAAATTTAGAAAGTCCCTTTTGTTAAGTTTCTTGGTAAGTCTTGGTTAATAATAATTAGGGCAGTACTTACTTATAGCTACGCTTCAGTTTTCTAAATAAAACTAAAACTTAAAAATGCTAAATACTGTTCATTTTAATCAGAAAGTGGTGGTGAGTTGCTTATTGCTTTCACAACTGCCATATTCAATTAGTCCTCTAATTTTCATGTTTTGATATACATTCTATTTGTAATTTGGACAATGAGCTTTAGGGACTAATTTTGAAGAAGAAATACCCATATTTACAGAGGATTTTGAAACTGTTATTATTAAATTTTAATTATACTGAAACGGCTTGGAGTTTTTCAGCCACTCAGAGCGCTTTCTGTATGCCTCATAAATGACTCCTAACAAATATTTTTGACTGTCAGTTGTTTGGCTTTTTTTATGGTTTTGGTTTTTTTTTCTTTTTGGAGACGGGGTCTCACACTGTTGCCCAGGCTGGAGTGCAGTGGTGCAAACATGGCTCACTGCAGCCTCGACTTCCTGGGTCCAATCAATCCTCCTGCCTCAGCCTCCAGAGTAGCTGGGACTACAGGCATGTGTCACCACTCTAGACTAATTAAAAACAAAAAATTGTAGAGACAGTGTCTCGCCATGTTGTCCAGGCTGGTCTCAAACTCCTGGCAATCCTTCTGCCTTGACCTCCCAGTATGCTGGGGTTACAGGTATGAGGAACCTGCCTGGCACCCAGTATTTTTAAATCAAGTTTTCCTACTGCTCCCCAACCAAAATGACTTCTCATGAGGCTTCTCAGCAATCAATGAGCTTTATTAATGAGATCTCAACACTGACAAGGTGAAAATTTCAAGAAGGACAAGCAAGGTGCTCTGTTTAAGTACAAACAGATTTGATGACAGTCCATCAGTTACTGTGCATCTGATCAAGATCACTCTGCAATAAAAACTTTCATGATGAGGAACGTGGGGGGCCTCAATCCAAGTGGGGGTAGGGAGGAATGGGGATAATAGCCTTTACCCTTTCCTAAAGCTTTTTTTCCATGCAGGTGATGTTGGCAAGTAAAACCTGAAAAGAGACTGTATCTGATCCAGGATATGCTTATTTCCAAATATTTTTTGAGACAAACTGCACCTAATGCTGCAAAGTTAGATTAATACTGCATTCTCTACTATTTGCTTCTTGTGACTAAAAATTATGTATCTCTTAGTATATGAAGCAGGAAAAAACAGTGAGAAAAGTTATGCACCATGGATTTGCTTATAGGTCTACTGAATGATAATCATTTGCTAATTCAATTAGGACCCTAAACCTTGACTGCTGATATCAGAATGTGAGCATATTGCTTAGTTCCAAGACCTTGCCCTGAAATGCAATTATACTTTTAGAAACTCAAGAAGGTTATTCTACTCCTAGGAAAATAAGTAAATCAAACTGTCCTTGACAAACTGTAAATAGGATACAACTGAGAAATGTGCTGGCAGGTCTTCCTTGACCTTATTTGACAGATTATGTGTAGCTTGCCCATATTTACAAAATAGAAACTAATGCCAGGACAGAAGACATATGATAACTGAGGACAAGTAAGAGATCTTTGTTCAAAACTGGAACTTGTTTAATTTGATTAGAAGAGGATAATTTCCCAAAATTTACAGGAAATCCAAAGCATTACGTTGTAAATTATAGGATAAACGTATTCCTGAGACTTTAGATTTTATAACATCTCTGGCAATGGACTACCTAAACAACAAAATTTTTAAAATAAAGCAAAAAGATTTTAGAGATAGATAAGATAAACTGATATTCTGATTAATTTGGCAATCTAAAAATCATAAACTAAAGATATTAAAGAATAAACCAGTCCTCTTAGACTACATAAGCATCAGGTTTAAGAATTCCAGTCATAAAGCCAAGTAGGATTATGCTGGTTGGAGAAGTGAGAAGACTTTCCAGATAAGGACCAAAATACATTATCCTCCATTCATAAGAATGGTATCAAATAAAGGACACATTTATTTATTTATCTATTGAGACAGGGTCTCAGTCTGTCATCTAGGCTGGAGTGCAATGGTGCGATCTCAGCTCAGTGCAACCTCTGCCTCAGGGGCTCAAGCCATCCTCCCACCTCAGCCTCCAAGAAGCTGGGACTACAGGCGTGCATTACTATGCCTGGCTAATTTATATATATATTTTTTTATAGAGACGGGGTTTCACCATGTTTCCCAGGCTGGTCTCGAACTCCTGGCCTCAAGTGATCTGCCCACCTTCGCCTTCCGAAGTGCTGGGACTACAGGCGTGAGTCACTGCTGGCCAAGGACACATTTAATATTAAATTGGAATGACTGGTAGGCAAGGAAATTAGTAGCACTATTATCAATATCCTTTGAAAACTATCTAGAGTCTTTTTTTCCTTAAATGAGAGATAAAGAACTTCCAAATTCTATTCTTATTGAGTGTGTCTATTTTTTTTTTTTTTTTTGAGATGGGGTCTCACTCTGTCACCTAGGCTAGAGTGCAGTAGCGCAATCATGTGAAACCTCGCACATTTCTATGAGACCTAAAGTACACATAATGAATTGATATTCAGTTCATTTAAGGAAAAAATATGGAATATCTGGAATATTTAAGTCTAACATCTTCAGCTGCAGGGTACAGGTATACCTACCATCCACAAAGGCTTGCACGGCTTTATCCACATTAAAATCAAACTGTTGGAGCACCAGGACTATTTCATTATTGCTTTTGTTGGGAACAACTGATCTAACTGCATAGATCTGTAAAGGAAAAAAAAAAAAAGAAATAGAAATGTGAACACTTTAAATATTTTTCATCTATGAATTGCCCACTGGATAGAATTACAACTATTAGAAAGGCCTTGAAAAGCCAACTAATCTACCTTCTTGTCATCAAGCATACTCAAGGCATTCCAGACCAGTGAAAATTCATCCTGGTAATCACCTTGACACCCACTTTATTTGTGTACACATTTTTACAAAGACCTCCTTGTAGGAGTGTAGGAGCATGTGTGAAAAGCCAACTCTGGTTTTGCAATCTACCCTCCCCCAAGACTACAGATGCATACAAGATGTGTTCTCAGTGAGGACACCAAGTCTTTTTCTGTCTCAGGCTTCCTTTCCACTGGCTCAGGGGGTATCTTTAGAAAATGTACAGAAATAGCCTCATGCCTCAGCTTCTCTATCTGCACAGTGGAAACAGTCATCTTGAGGGTCAACAGAAGTGTGCTGTGAAATTCCATTAATGTTTAAAGATACAAAAATGTGGAGCATTGTATTTTTGAAATGGTAATCTTAGCTATAGTCCAAAAAATGTTTGTGAACACACTTCTGAAAATCAAACATTGAAAATAGTAAATACATATATCCACTAAGGATTTCAATAGGTTAAAGCTTATATTCAACGTTTAATGACATATATGCATTTCCTAGTCAAATTTAGCATATATTCTTTCTTCTTGACTATTAGAATTAATTGACCTTTATCTCACAGTACTTGCAATAACTACAGAATGTTCTATTGATTTTAGTAAAACCTGGTTCACCCAGTTTTCTATCACAGGGATTACTGCAGCTGCTACTGAGAATACTAGAGTACTGCATGGTGCAAAGGTAAGTGATCATTAAAGCACTGTACGGTCTTCAAATGTTTTCATCAGCATTTAAATTATGATCAGTGGGTTTTAGAGTTAAATGCAGTTTAGTATAATTGGATTCACAGAATATGGATTAAATGGGTATGGTATGTGTAATGTGATGCTATTGACCAGAACATTTCATTGAACAAGATGGCCTATTTCCTGATTATGTTAGAAAACAGATCACCTATTCCATACAGATCTGCATGTAAGAGTATTTAGGTTGTAATGAGACAACAGCACAAGCTACTGTCATGTACCCACCCAGCACAAGCCATGGGTGGGTATATGACTTGTAAAGGTGCTGACACTATAGATTAGAAAGGTGGTTTTGAATCTTGACATTTTATAAGTGCTAAATATTTGAGTTTTACTGAGGACTCTAATATTATATATATATGTATATATATATATATATGTATGTGTGTGAGTCACACACATACAAATTGATTTTCTATTCTCACATTTCATTGTTCTTAGTTTTTCTGGCATCCATTAAAACAAATTAACGTCTTCAAATCTAAGTTCTTTCTTACTTCTCTGTGTCATCTTTAAAAATCCAATTCTGTGAATATTTTTTGAATACCTATTATCTGACAAGCAATCAAACTTCCTGGAACTTAGAGACCAGAGGAGGATTTACACATTGACCAAATGATTGCACAAATATATGCTTATACATTCCACTTAAGTGGTATAAAATCATATGACAGGGAGACTTGACTTATATGACTTTATCCACTGAGACCTGGATGGAGGATGAGTGAGAAGAGATGGGTGGGAGGGGAAGGGGAAAAGCATTTTGGGCATAGAGAACAGCATGAGTGAGGGGCAAGGCATGGATGAGAAGGGAGGAGTTGGACATGATTAGGGAGGGAGGCAGAGGGTAGGCTTCTAGAGTACAAGAGGAAGCCAGAACTGGGCAGGGACCAGATCGTACAGGGCCTACAAGGCTGTGCAAAGGATTTTGATCCTGTGAGCAACCCTCAACTATCCTTTTGATGAGCTGGGTTTTTTTTTGTTGTTTTGTTTTGTTTTGTTTTTGAGAGAGGTTAAGATGGGGAGGAAGAAAAACACAAAAAAATCCCTCCATCCAGCCCAGGAAGGTCATTAACAGAATGTGTTCAACAATACACATTATTTGCCTCATTGTTACCAGTGCACTGGAATTATACCTAAAGATTATGTTACCCTTCCAATATAGCTCTTTTAAATCTAGCATTTATTTCAAGCCACTATGGGTTCATATTACATAAAATTTCTTAATCATCACCATCATTATTACCACATCAGGCACACCTAAATAATATAATTAATATAATATTAATTATACTAAGTACATTATAGTTATATTAGACAAAGGTTTTCAATCCACCTACACAGCTGTGTGAACTGCAAAGACCCAGAATTATGGAATAAACATAAAATAATGGCTTTCTCTGCCTCCAGTCTCTCCCCTGCAAAACACAATGTTGTATTATGTTAAGGCAAAACACAAAATAAACCACTACTTGTGGAGATACTTCCTTTTTAGATGTTTATACTACTCTTGCCTATCCTTCTTCAAAAGAAAAAAACACATGGTAAGATGTGCACAGAAAACATTTTCTATCCTTGTCATTTTGTATATCCTAGCACTGACTGTATCCTTAGAAAATTGTCAATAACTGAGTTTTGATATCAAATCTAACTGAATATCAGATACAATTCCTGGAGGAAGACATTTAATTAGGACAGGTATTCCAAGTTTTACAGAAAAAGGGGAAAAAAATAGTTTCTGCTTATACTTGGATATTACATAGTAATGTTGAATTCTAGTAAATTTCTGGGCCAACCTCTGTTTCTGCTTTAATCACTTGGCTTGGCGAATGTGGAGACAGCGGCATTGTTTCTCAGCCTGTTATTTATAAATTCACTATGTTTATTTTCCTATGGAAATGTCTTTGAGAAAGATGGAGAAATTGTGTGAACTCACATGTGCACATAAAAATAAAGGAACCTCACTGTGTCACTCCTCATAATTCAGTGGTATCAAAAAGGGTTTAAGCATCTTAATCTAAAAAAAAAAGCCCTCATTATGCAGAGCTTTAAATATAAGGCATGGATGACCAAGGAAGAGTTATAGTGAGGTTGTGCTGAAAGGCTTGCCTTTGCAGTTGGAAACCAAGCTTCTGAGGACGGATGCTCCTGGAAGGAATGGATCAATCAATGCGTGACTAATAGTAGTTTGCATACGGAGAACTCATAAAATTCACGCCCGCAGCGGCTGTTTTGCAGAGGCTGTTTCTGGCGCAGCTTCACACAGCCTTTTACTTCATTGCCACAGCCCAGGCTAACACCTAAGCCACCGTTTGAAGCTGCACTTGACTGCCCCGCTAAAGGACTCTCATGCCATAAACAAAGTGGTCCCACCAGGCGGCCGCTGTTGGGTGACAGTCAAGATGGCTAGTTAGCGGTTCATTTAGCAACTGCTTTACCTTCCCAAAATTATGTTCCCGTATTTTGCTTCTGCTAATTTCACTCTGGTTTGGCAAAGTCCATGTGCTATCTAGAAACAGCATGATGTTTTGATGCCCCCTCTTGAGTGTTTTAGTCATGATCCTCTCCTCTCTCTGGGGCTTCCCTATCTGACTCCGCAGGCTCTGCCCCATGGCGCCTCAGGCCCGCCCTGCTGGCCTTTTGCTTGCACTAACTGGGCAGTGAGGCAGTGTGACTTTCATGGACGTTGTTTGGTTTCAGTTTCCCAAACTAACTTGCCTTCTCTGCACCTGAGCTGTCTGGTTAAGAGCCGTTAACAGATTTCCTCATTCATACTGTGCATCTTTTGAGCCTGTCTGTGATGACCCTTAGAAATTCTTCTTGGCTTCCTGATGAGTCACTTAAACTATGTCTGAGTTTCCAAAGTGGCTCTGACCAAAGTTTTCAATCCACCCACACAGCTGTGTGATCAGCAAAGACCCGGCATTATCAAATAAACATAAAATAACTGTTCTCTCTGCTTCCAGTCTCTCCCCTGCAATTCAGTCCCAGGCAGCTGCTCTTCCTGGAGTATATTCGTGACCATTTTACCCTCTTCCTTAAGAACTTAAGAATAAAGTTCATTATCTGCAACCTGGCATTCAACGCCAGCAACAATTGGGCTCCAACTTGCTTTCTAAATGTCTCTGACTTTACCCCTTCACAGACAAGCTCCCCATGCCCAGTTTTGAACCCCCACCCCCAGGCCGGGCTTTTCCAAGATATGTCTGAATTGCACATTCCAGGTGAAATGCCATGTGTTCCATGAAATCCTTCTCCATACCCCCTGCCAGAGGTCACCTTTGCCTCAACTCCTGCAGCCCTTGGTCAGCAAGTGTCTTAGCCCCTTTTCCTTTATAGCTCCAGTATTTGTGTGTGTGTCGTGTCTCCCAGATGGTAGGCAACGTGAGGGCAGAATCCTCATCTTGGCCATTTTTGGATAATCACCATGCCCATTCACAAGCGACTAATACGGTGCATGTAGTAGGTATTTAATACATATTTGTTGAGTGAGAGAATGCCAACTTATAGCTACACCAGGCGGCTGCTCTGAGTCAAAGGAAGACTCCACCATCTTGTGTGGACCATCCCAGCACTCTGCATCTACCACTCATGATAACAGTGGGCAGGTCTCACTTGATTGATGTCATTAAGCATAATATGGGTAGGGAGAACATATATATGTTCTTTAAATTTCAATAACAGAGACTGGAGGAATATTTATGAGATTTTTACATTCTTACAATTTTAATTCTGTAGAATAAGGTACTCATGGTATTTTGTGGAGTTTTAAAAATATGAAAAAGCACAGTAACTGCCTGTCTATCCTTCCAAGGCTCAGCTTAGCAGACAGACATTGGTTGAGCCCCCATTAAATGACAGGAGCTGAGGATACAAAGAAAAACTAGATACAGTTCTGCTGTAAGGAGGCACAGTTTAGCAGTGGAGCCAGAAATGTCTACAATAAAAGTAGGTAGTAAGTGTTGTACTGTCCTTATGAACAGGGTACTGTGGTGCTACAGAGAAGGAATTAACTTTGCTGAGTAAGGGTGAGTACTTTATAGAGAGCCAAATGTCATGGAAGGAGCGCTGGAGTTAGACAGACCTATGTTCTAATCTTGCTTCTGCTACATGCTAGCTCTATGACCTTGGGTGAACCACTTAAATTTTTGAAACTTGGTTCTGTAGCTGTAAAATGAGGATATTATCTTCTAGAGCCTATGTAAAAATGGAAAGGGATGATGCCTGTAAAGTGTTTCATATAGAATTTGGCATATATTAGCTACTCAATAGATTTTAAAAAGAAAAAAGTGGGAGCATTTGCATTAAGGGGTCCTTCCAGGTGTGGCTTTGAAGTGGAAAGACCATGTGGCTTGAATGTTGGTCAAGACGTATTTGGGGGAGACTACCTTGTCTACCCTTCTTCTTAGAGAACCTCCTACCTCCACAGACTTGCTAAGGGGTCAGTGGACCCAAGACTCTGTCCCCACTTTTCCCTTCTCTATGGTGTAACTGGTACAATGAGAAAGTCTATCTTTAGGGTGGTTAACATGGTTTTACCCCCTCTTCTTCTTTCATTTAATTATTTACTAAATGTCTACTATGATCAGGCACTGCACTAGAGGCTGGATACAGCAGTAACAAAACAGATATGGTCACTGCCAAAACTAGAGAGGGAAACGGATATAAACACAGAAATTAAAATATATCACTGCAACTTGTGCTAAGTGAGTGCTATGAAGGAAGCAATCAGAACACAGTGACAATGAATTACAGTGGTCAGGAAGTGGCCTGGCTAGAAAAGACAAAGTGAAACAATTAGACCCTCTGCCTTGAAGGTCTGAGCTATTCAACACAAAGGGAGAGAAGCTGGAGTGCAGATGAAGAGAGGCTGGACTTGCAACTGCCTCACTTTCTCTCCTTCCTGCTCCTTTAACTTTTCCTGAAGTCTCATGAGACGCTGCCAGACCTTTATAATAATAACCTCTTTTTTTTTTTTTTTTTTAAACTTGTGCTAGTTTGAGAGGGTTTCATTTTCTAGAGCAAGTATGGTGTGCCTGGAGGCAACATTAATAGCCGGGGCTGGAAATAAAAATAATAAAGCTAAATAATCCCGATTGGCAAAGGTGAGAAAAGGAAGATTTTAAATATAAGTCCCATTAGAATGTACATGACAGCTGGGAGAAGAGAGGCCTGAGACCTTTGCTCACACACTTCTTCCAGCATTGACATTGCCACCATTATTTACTTATGTGACTTCCTGCTCTACTGACAGGGAGCATATCTTTATATCCACAGGGTCTAGAACAATGGGTGGCATTCAGTAGATGATTCATAAATGTTTGTAAAAGGGATGACTCACTGAATGAGTAAAAGGAAGCAGGGAGTCTAGTAAGATGGTTACTGACATATTCTAGTTTTATTTATCCATTTTTAAGTGCATCTCTAATTAAGAATTAAGTATTACACACTATTAAAAAGCTTAATGGATTCAAGCCCAAAATGTATGGAGTGCCTCCTGGGTGCCAGGCAGAGCATATGGCTGGCTCTTTCCTTGAGAAGCTTGCAATCTTGGAGGTGAGCTTAACCTTATCCCCTATGATAAGGACAGCAATCAAGCAGCCAGCAACCTCCTCCTCACACCAATGGGAACTGGAGTTATTTATGGGTTTGCCGTTCCTGCAACTTTGAAAGGAGTTTTATAATCAGCTTTGGTCACATTTCTCAAATGCTGAGCCATTCAGAGATGCCTTAAAAACAGCTCATCTGTGTATGCTTTGCTTCACTTGCTGGGCCACTAATATTATCTACACAGTAATGGAGGTAGTTTTCCTATGAATTTTCTTGGGGAAGAAAATACTCTTTGCAGACCAGTACCTTCACATCATGGATAATTCCATAATTTAATTGCCTTTTCTAACATCTACTTCCTGCCAGCAAAAAATATGCATGAGGTGCTGTCATGTTCTACTTGGCTGACTTTTGGGGAATTAACACCAGGGGTACAAATCAAAACTAACTTTTTTTTTTTTTGGCAGGAAACCAGGAAGAGAAAGAATAATGCAGATTTGAAGATGGAAAAAAATGCAGTTTTTATAGAATTATGGGAAGTAAAAGTGGAGAGGATCTTAGAAACATTCTAGTTGTGGCTTCTCAAACTTTAAAATATATTCTGATCACCTGGGGATCTGATTGGGATGAAGATTCTGATTCAGAGGCTTGGGGTGGGTCCTGAATTCTACATTTCTAATCAGCTCCCAGCTGATGTAAATGCTGCTTGTCCAGGGATGTGGTGGGCAGAATAATGGCCCCTCAAAGACGTCCATGGCCTTATCCCCTGGAACCTGTTAACATGTTAGGTTACATGGCAAACTGAATTTGCAGATGGAATTGAGGTTGCTAATTAGCTGACCTTCAAATGGGGAGATCATCCCGGATTATCTCAGTGGGTCCAGTATAATCACAAGGGTCCTTATAATTTGATGGAGATGGAAGAGAGTCAATGGGACAGTGATGCAATGAGAGAAAGGCTTGGCCAGCCTCTCCGGGTTTGAAGATGAAAGGGGGCCACGAACCAAGGAATGCAGGCAGCTTCTAACAGCTAGAAAATGCAAGGAAGAGTATTCTCCCCAGGGCTCCAGAACCAGTACCTTGAGTTCAGCCCAATGAGACCCATTC
Organism: Homo sapiens; assembly: GCF_000001405.40. Taxonomy (NCBI): domain Eukaryota; kingdom Metazoa; phylum Chordata; class Mammalia; order Primates; family Hominidae; genus Homo; species Homo sapiens. Next base: position 200,404,736 of record NC_000002.12, on the reverse strand, counting down.
GGACTTCTGACCTCCAGAACTAGAAGATAATCAATGTGTGTTGTTTTAAGCTGCTGAAGTTGTGGCAGTTTGTTACAGCAGCAACTGGAAATGAATGCAATGGACCACACTTTGAGAAACAAAGGCCTACACTTCTCTTCCTCCCTCCTTATAAGGAGATGTCTTTCCCTATCCCACCAACTATTACCTTTTAAAAAAATATACCTTCCAGATGGCAACCCTCTCCACAAAGGTTTGGGGGAATTCTAGCCATTCACTCATTCAAGCCACATTTTGTGAGGGAAAGTGAAATGAATCTCACACAATCTTTGCATCCAACGAGCTGACAAAAGAGTAAGGAAAATAAGGCAAAGTCATAAATAACTAGCACATCATTCTGGTAACAACGTTCTCTCTGAATCTTACCTGCTCCCTATTCTTTCTTTCATTAACCCAGACAGGTTCCCCTATCTTTCACCTGGACTCTGGAAAAGGCCTCCTAATGGGATTCTCTGGCTTGGTTTCTCCTCTCTCCAATCTGTCTTAAAACAGTCATTGCACAATTAATCTCCCCAAAGTGCTGAGCGTGTTCACTGATAGAGGGAAGGAGATGGCAGTGAGAAAGAATTAGAAGAGGGGAAGAGAGGAGATAAATTATGAAACAAGCTTCCACTGGAAATAAGAGAAACGTCATCAAAACCCATGTGGAATGGAAGGGAGGTTCTTCTGTTTTTCTAAGAATTCAGAGAAAGGAGAAAAGGAGAAGTGAGAGTGAAGACATAATAAAAATTTCAGATTGTGAAGGGGAAAATTTATGGAAACCATTCCTCTGCGTGAGAGTTTTAGAATTCGCTTTGGGGCTTAAAAAGTGGAGAAAGGTTTAGAGCTGCCCTTATGGAAATGAGATAGGAAATGACCTTGATGAATGATGGAATGCTGAGCAGGCCTGTGGGTCCATGGTGCTGGACTGCACAGATCTGTTACGGTGCCGATCGGCATGGCTTTCCCCAGCAATTCTCAACAAGCCAGAAGCAGGAGCAAAGCAATCATCCATAGTTACAAACTGAACTGTAAGAAATGTAGTGGTAGATTTTAGGGCTCAGAAACATAGGGGCTGAGTATCACTAAGGTGTCTGATGAAGGCATCTGTGGTCTATGAAGGGGGAGGATGAATTGGAACACTAGAGAAAGGCTAAGGGACAAGAAAGAACAGATGTTAAAGAGAATTAGAAGATGAGAGAGGTCAATGATAAGGACATGCTCAGAGAAGGGATGTTAGACATTGCCAGTATGTGGTCCCAGTGCTGCTTGCTGGTGTGTAAGTATAACCCCTTTTCTGCAGTCCAGCCCTTTGCTTTTTAAAAAGAACTAAAGTGTTCTCCACAATTCCATCTTTATAGAGTAAACGTGCTCTTCTGCAATTTTTCATAAGCTGTGCCTCCTAAGTTTTTACTATCTGATCAAGCTCACCTGAGCATATCCTGTTAAAATATGTTGCTATAAGAGAAGCACATTGCTCCAGAAGTGGTTGGATTAGAGCAGAGGACTGTGAGACCTGCACCTGCCTTGGTTGGGCCCCGTTTATCCATTAAGGGAGTCTAAGGTGGCATCAGCAATTTTAGGAGCCACATTAATTAATCACTAGGTCAAATGCAGGTTACTTGCTACTGACTCTCCTTCCGTTGAGTTTGAGACAAGTGTCCCCGGGCCTTTACTTGTGCAATGACTAGAACACAAAGGTAGGATTTTATATTCATCTTTCTTAAATTTCAATATGTAAGTTCTGACATATCACTCCAGCCAACTGTTATGTTTTAGAACCTTGCATTTTGCCCCATGATAAACAGGAATGTTTCAGCCATTCCTTCCAATTTTGTATCATTTTAAAAATCAGTTGACATCCTCTATATCTTAGATTTGTTATTTGAATTTTGTGTAGGCCATGGCCAAGTACAGAGGCTAGAGTATTACCATAAAAACTTCCCTCAAAGTTGAAATTAATCTTTTAATACCTGGTTCATTCATTTCTTCAGTCAGTCACAATGCACAGACTCAGAAGCTGGACTGCAGCAGTGACAGATGCATTGGGGTTTATAGTCTAGGAAGGCAAATGTTTGATGAATGTTATAGAAGAAGCAGTAAGGATGCTCTGGCATCTATAACAGGGGACCTGTCCTAGTCTAGAGAGTAAGGGAAGCCCCCTCCAAGGACTGAAGTTAGCTTAAACCGAGAATGATGGGTTAGTAGCACTATAGTTAGGCCAGGGGAATGGGAGGGAAGGTGGAACATTCCAGGAAGAGGGCACAACGTCTATGAAGAGATAGGACTGAGTGACTGGAAGAACATGCTCAAAGGAATGAAGGTCAAAGATTGCTGGAGCATTAAGTATGAAAAGGAGGGGGACTGTGGGTGATGCTGGAGAAGAAAGGCACAAAGCAAAAGTGGGCAAGGCCCTGGAAGACTTATAATTTTGAGGCTTATTCTAAGGGCAAGCCATTGAAGAGCTTTACTCAGGGGAGGAACATGATGCTTGTATATTAAAGGTCATTCCAGTTTCTTTGTGAATGTGTTGGAGGAGATCAAATGGATTCCTGTTAGGATTCTAATACTGTCCAGGGGAGAGAAAATGGACCAAGATGGGGCAGTGTAGAAAAAGACTCACAAATTTCTTGGGAGGAAGCAATTGATTTGCATTTAACTAGATGCAGGGAATGGGGAAGATGAAGGCACATGGGTGATTCCTTGGTTTCTGGCTTGATTGTCTATGTGGCTGGTGGGGTCATTTCCTGAGAAGGGACCAGTGGTGGTAGCTTTACTCTTTTGGGAGCCTGTGAGACATCCATGTCCAGATATCTAAGAGGCAGCTGAATCTGTAAATCTGGAGCTCCAGAAAAGAACTGAGCCAGGGATAGAGATTTTGGCACCATCAGCATCAAACTGAGTCTCAACCCTGGCTGCAAACTGGAATTACTTGGTGAATTTTCAAAACATAGCTAAACCTGAGCCCCACTCCAGATATCAAATCTGGGACTTGGCATTCCTTAAAAAAAAAATTTCCCAGGGACTCTAATATCCATCCAGAATTGAGAACCGTGAGTGAGAAATCATGAAAGTCATAGATAGGTAAGGGACAGTGGATGAGGCAAAGGAGAGAAGGTGGCACAGGACAGATCTCTTTTTAAGTGTAACTGCTCACCTGTCAACTCATTTACCTGAGTGTACTCACTACGCACCCACCCCTTTCCATTATTTATGTAATATTATAATTTCAAAAATACCAGTTCTAGTTTAGAACAGTTTTACTTTCTGTAAAGCAAAACTCTTCGAGAGGGCACGCTCTCTCTCTGTAAGAGGGTATCCATCCCAGGTATCCACTGCTGCATAACAAGTGTCCAAAATTTTGTGGCTCAGAACAACAATCTATTTTTCACTATTTCTGTGGCTTAGGAATTAGGGAGGAATTTGGTGGAGCAGTCTGCCTCAGGGTCTCTCATGGAGATGGATGGTGGGTGGGGAGGGATGCTGCTGCAGATGGGGTGTGTCTGAGCCTCTCTCTCCTTGTGCAGTCTCAAGGTTTCTCCAAGTGGTCTGTGTTGATGGGCTAGTCTGGGCTTCCTTGAAGCATGGTGGAACAGTCAGACTGTTTACATGGCAGCCCAGAGAGCCACTGCAATATCCCACCTGGTGAAGAAGTAGCAGAATCACCTGGCTTTGGAAGTCTTTTCCTTCCTACTATACTGATCAACCAGCTACAAAAGTCTGCCCAGTTTTAAGGGGAGAGGCAGGCTCCATCTTTTAATGGGGGAAGATACTATTGTTGTCTCTTTGAAAAATACAGTTGGCTTCAAATAGTTAAAGATAATGAAATCAACAACCCAGATTTCTTTTTACCAATTCTTCGTCTATACTTTGTCAAGTCACTGAACATTTGGAAAAAAAGCAAATTTATTTAACAGTTACAATAATACTAAATGAAAATTGATAGTTTCTGTTAAATACAACTTCTTTAATTCCTAGAAATGAGCTGATGACTTATAGAGTAAGAGATATTCAAATGGACTTCTCTCCTATCTAAAAAAAATAGTAAAATTGGAGACTGATTTGAGTAATAATAAAACTTCAGTCTCCCACACACAAAAAAGTAAAATTAAAATGAACTAAAGTATTTTAAATCTTTAAATTTAGTCCATGATCAACTTTTTATATCAGAATTTTGATTTTTAATCTGACACTGGGAAGTTTAAATATATACATATAACTCTCAAATCATTGTTAGCAACAGTCTCTTTGATCTACGTTTAAACAAGCAATGAGCTTAATACATATCTCATTTCATCCATTTAGTTAGCATATATTCAGTATATACCTACATGTTTTCTATAATTGCTCTTGATTCTTCTCATATTTTCCCAGAACTACCAGTTAGACTTGCACATAATTTTAGGGTACACTGAGTCCTTGAGTCCACTGGAGGTCTGTTTTCAGCCAGCTGGTTATACCTACATGGTATTAGGACTTAGGTAAATATTCTGTCTAGCCACTATCACTGATGAATTCTATACTTTAATTTATTACTGAGGACAAAAAAATGTTATCTTCATTCAAGGCATTTTGTTTTTGGCATTTTGTTTTTGGTATTTTAATCAGAGTAGAATACTAAGACACTTTAATCTTCTGCTTCTAACTTAGAATATTCAGTAAAATCTTTCTTCTCATTTTCTTTGCAATTTAAAGTCTCCACTTGGAGGGGGGAAATGGTAATTATTGACATTCACTCTCCCTGAGGGATTTTTTTTTCCTGCTCATTCACAGAACTTTTCAGATAAAGAGTACCATAAAGGTATAAGTCACTATTACCCTTTAACCAATACCAGAATAAAGGAGTTAATTATTTTTTAGTCAATACCAGAATAAGGGAGTTGGGTTAATCTCTAAATTATATTAACCTTGGATATTTCTTCACTGTGGTGTAGAGGAAGCCGATGATTTAAACACCATGGAAACTAGAAGCACACTCTCTCTCTTTGAGGGGAGTTTATTTGTTCACCTACATATCATTTTTCATTTTAACAGGTTTGATCAATTAAAAAAGAGCATGATGATTTGAACACCAGTCAAAATTATCATCTGATTGGCCAGATCTTGTTTTCCCAATGATTTTATGAGTTTATTTGTTTGCTTTTCCTCTAAAGGCAGTAAAAAAGAATTAAAACTAGTCAGCATTTGCCAAATTCCTGAAATTACAATTTGAGCCACTAAAAATTTTAAAAACTACAATTGTCCATCGGAAGATGAGTGGATAAAGAATGTGGTATATATACACAGTGGAATATTATTTAGCCTTACAAAAGGAAACCCTGCAATGTGCAACAACATGACAACACTGATGAATCTTGAGGATGCTATGCTAAGTGGAATCAGCCCAGCACAGGACAAATACTACACGACTCCCCTCATATGAAGCATGTAAAATAGTCAAACTCATAGAAGCAGGGAGTAGGATGGTGGTTTCCAGGGCCTGGAAGGAGGAGGAAATGGAGAACTGCTGTTCAATGGGTATGAAATTTCAGTTATGCAAGATGAGTAAGCTCTAGAGGCACTGTCCCTATGACTAACAACATTGTATTGTACATTTAAAAACACAATAAGAGGGTAAATTTCATGTTAAATGTGCTTAGCATAATGTTTTTAAAAAGAAAGAAAAACATTAAGTTATATAATTGATCCTAAATCATCATTTCAATATATTTTTGATAATTACCTTCAAGGATTGAGAAGCAGAGTTCCGAAGCATCCCTAAGACAGGAGGGCATCAGAAATGTTATGCCAGTGAACCACACATGGACCTTTAAGATGGTTCGATCAGGTTCCGTTATTTTATAAGAAACTGACATACTGAGAGGTTACGTGCTAAGTTCAACCTGAGGCATCCAGTTTGTATCAGGACTCAGGTTGGTGCCCATGTTCTCTGATCCGCAGCACAGTCTCCCTTTTGGTCTTTCACAGTGCCAGTGCGTAGGAGGTGGGAAAGACCACAGGTTCATCCAATGATAGAGCTGCAAAGGATTTTGGAGTTCATCTACATGAACTCCCATCGTTTGGCAGATTAAAACATTGAAGCCAAGTGAATAAATACAATGTATACACATTGTACACAAAGGACAGTTTTTCAGTATAATGATGTCCCTTTGTTACTTTATAATGTGGTTTGAAACAAAGTATACTTTTAATGGAGAATAAGATTACTGAATCATTGTTCACCCTAGAAGTTGAGAAGACTTCCCATACTAGTGACAGTATGACTTGGTTTGCTAAAGGATGGGAAATTCTAGAGTTTGCATTTTAATTTACTATTTACTTTAGAATGATGGCTCCCAAACTTTTAATTTATTCTTTTCAATAAACATAAAAATCTCAAGCTTTTCTCATATAGTTGAATTCCAAAATAGGTATTCCAATTTCCTTTTTAAATATATACATATGTATTTTGTTACACTCTGAGGTATTGTGGCAGCTACGGAAATCAACACAGTTGACTGACAGCCTAGCTGCCACTCCTCTTGGGTCCCCCAGTGCATTTGCACCCCAGCCACACTCCCCCCAGGAGGTTGCTAGTTAACAGCTGAGGAGGCTGGGGACTCGTGAAAGCTCATTTCTGAACATTCCCCCAGTGGGCAACGTTGGCCTAAACACTCCTCATCAGCCTGCCGAAATTCAATACTGCATTGTAAGTTTGAGACATTCTCTGCTCGATTTTCCTTTCTTCTCCCTCTTCTTTCAAGCTATCAGATTTGCATGGAAGTCTAAAGCCTCTCCCTGCCTGCTCTGGCTGCCTACCCTCTTCCCCATCTCTTTTAATCCCATCTCATCTTGGCATCTGTCTCTTGGATGACTCAAAAGAAAACAAATATGTGGGTTTTTTTTTCTAATTATACCTATCTTTTCCCCCACTGACATTCTAATACTTGCCCTAGACCCAGGAAGCATGTCCCACTTCCTTCTTCCTCCCTATGAGTTGAGAATTACCATTAGACAATAGTGGCTAAATTATTTAACACTGATTAATTAGCCAATATTTGGGGGGCACAAAGTCTATGATATTATTATTATATAATAATATATTACTATAGGATAAGTACACAAATAAATCAAAAGTCCACTAGGAGCTTATAATCAAGTTAAGGAGCAATGATTTACAGAGAAAATGTGGTTTTAATAATAATACAAACAATAACAATTTTAAGGTCTGAGTTTATGCATCTATCTGTTTGTCTGTCTACCTGTCTGTCTAATCTATCCGAACAGATTTCCAGTGTACAAGGTTAGGAGAGAAGGAACCATTGTTACAGCCTTCCAACATTGTCATTTTCTTCTCCGTAAAAACTGAATAATTTAATACGAAGGATCATGGTGAGAAATAACTAGAATGTTGGTAAACTACCTATAAATCCCAAGGGATTGTGAATAGAAGTTACTTCTTCCTGCTGCCACAGGGTTTCATTTTCGACATGCTCTTGTATTCTTTAGCATTAACCATCTATCTTATATATACCTCTCAGCTGCAGTGCACAGGGGCTACCAGGAAAGACTGGAAGGAGTGGGGGTGGAGAGGCAGGAGAAGCAGGAGAGAAACACTGTGAATTCCGATCATGTAGCCTGGAAAAAGCAATGCGATGCTAATCCTACAATAGTAAATTTCTTCTTATCCCCTGAAACTGAGGCTGACATTTCCATTTATTCATTCAGTTCCTTTAGACTCCTTGTCAAATCTCTTCTAGTTGCCAAGCAACAGTAACAGCAGTTCTGTACATAAGCATTAGGCAACAACTATTGTCAATGTTTCTCCTTTCTGTTAATGGGAAATTTAATGACCCTTTCCTATGAGAAAATGATGACAAGAACCTGTTTCATGGTGAAATCTGAAAGCTGTGTGGCTTGTGTTCTTGTTTGAATCCAAGGGTTGGACTAAATTGACTTCTACACTCCTGCAAATTTTTCCCCAAAGCTTCCATGGTTTGCACTTTCAAAACAACTACTTAGCATTAAAACTTGTGTCAAATCCCATGAAGCGAGTTATCTATTAAATGGAGTTAATGTTTTAAAGATGCATAATGATGGGTTTCTTCTGTACTCTCTCTAATCAAATGCTTGGATTTTTCTGACCATACTCCACCCCACATAAAGATTTGAACTATATGTCACTACTCTGTAAAATGCAGATCAAGAGAGTTACAAGAAAAAATAATAAAATAGTACATATTTATTCAAAAATAATTAAAAATCTGCTCATCCGTTGGGGACAGACACCACGACACACAGACATGAACACCTTCTATCTCCATCATCTGCAGAGACATTGAATATGTCACCTCTCTGGACAAGAGACTTTTCTCCTTTTTACTATTCCTTGTTTTTTATTTGAATGATTCTACACAATTATTGTTTATAAACCAATTTACCTCTATAACTGTAACAGTTCTAAAAGCTATTCACAGTGAGTGGCGCAGCTCAGCGATGACATTATAGACTGAGCTGTTCCCCATTTCCATATCATCGTATTGTCTAGTCTCACTTATTTTTTGTAGGCTCAGCAATAGCTATAAACGTTTGAAAAAGTCAAGTTCGCTTTTATGTTCTTTTTCTCATTTGGTCTTTTTACTTTTTCTTTCCAATCTTGGTTCTATGGGAAAATATATATATATATATATATATATATATATATATTTTTTTTTTTTTTTTTTTTTTTCCAGATCGAGTCTCACTCTTTTGCCCAGGCTGGAGTGAAGTAGCATGCTCTCCACTCACTGCAACATCTGCTCCCTGGGTTCAAGAGATTCTCCTGCCTCAGCCTCCCAAGGAGTTGGGATTATAGGTGTCCACCACCACTCCCAGCTAATTTTTGTATTTTTAGTAGAGACGGGGTTTCGCCATGTTGGCCAGGCTGGTCTCGATCTCCTAACCTCAGGTGATCTGCCTGCCTTGGCCTCCCAAAGTGCAGGTGTGAGCCACCATGCCAGGCCTCAAACAAAAATGTTAATTAACTAGAGCTCTTTTTCCATTTTTTAATTGTGAAATAAACAGATAAGCTCCCCCAGATTCTTTCTAGTTTATATCGTTAAGAGCTCATAAAGCAGCTCTACATTTATTATTGTACTTGATGACTTTGTGAGGCAGATTTTATTATCATGTCCAATTTACAGATTAGGAAATTGAGGCCCAGAAAAGTTAAGTGGCTTATTTCAGGGTGCTCAACTAATAATCTCTGACTTCTGTCTCCAAACTCCACACTCTTTCCACAGCCTTACCTTGTTGGAGATCACTTCCCAAGTGTACTGGGTCCTCTAAAGTGGCTTAGAGGTCACTCATTGGAATTAGTTATCAGTGCATAATTGGACACTTTGCAACTATTAACCCCATTTACAAAGATCTTCTTTACTTTCCATCACCAAGTTTTACTGCTGAATTGTATTCTATTTAAACTGATTTATGGGAATGCATTAAAAATATCTGACTAAAATTTCTATTTTGTCTATACCAGTTCTAATAATCCTTTCTTATTCAGTTAAAATTATTTAAACATTTATAAATCTAATTTACCTTGGTACCCACATATTTTACACAGAAATAATCTAACAGTGACTATTAAGCTGTACACTGAAATCATCTATAAATTTCTAGTATTCAATTTCTTTAAAAATACATTATTTAGAAAAGAAGCTATTAAAAAATGAGTATGCCCTAAATATAAGATCAGATTAGCCCAAAGATTTTGTTCTGATAGCTCACCTTCACAGAGTGACATTTGGGGAATTTTTTTCTCCCTTTATTTTTTTATTTCATGCAGCAGGATATGACCGGTTACTCAGCAAAGGACCTCATTTGGTATTGTGAAGCCTACCTGAGACCACCTGTATTTGATGATTATGTAAACATACTACTTTTCTGAAGAACCACAGGTGGTCAACGTAAGTAACCCAAGTTTCTGTTTTTAGAAGCAATTTAAAATATGCTTTATTTAATAGCAAAAAGAGTACTAAAATGAGATGACATTTCCATTAACCTACATTTCATTTTTCAAGAAGACTTGAGATTTTGCAAAACATCGTAAATGGGAAATGAAGTCTCTAAAGAACTTAACAATTCAAGCAGGCGTGTCCATTCATTCATTATTCATTCATTTATCTAACTCTATCTGGGGGTCAACTATGTATCAAACCCAAGAATAGTAATAGTAAGACCCATTCTCTGCCTCCAAGAAGCACAGTCTCACATGGGGAGACAGAGCCACAACTAACAATTACACTCCGTGGAATAACAGCTGCAGTGGAGAATGCAGAGAAGCCCACAGAAGTACAAGGTGAATGACAGAGGAAGGGCGAATCATTCAGGCAGGGTAGGAGAAAGAAGAGAGTTGAGTCCCTGAGGAGGACATCCCAGACAGAGGAAACAGCCTTTGCAAAGGAGGCAGACACATTCAAGGTCAGGGTGGCGAATGAGAGATGCGTGGAGATGCGGCAGTGGATAAGGGTGTAAAAGGTGGACGGGGTCCACTCATGCAGGGGATGTATGTTATGCCGAAGAGACCAGACTCTGATTGCAACCATATTTTCAATTTAAATCCTTATCGTTATAATCCAACAAGGTAGAGATATTTTAAAATGAAACAGTTAAAATGATTGTCAATTTTAAGTTTCAGTTGTCTTGAATATTAAACCTGAAATCATTAGCTACCTGCTTCTTTGGACTAAAAGCTGCATGAAGGCAGGAATCATTTCCTCACCAAAGCACCTACTCGAATTCATCCAATAGAGGACCCACTAGAGACAGCTGATGAACTCATTGGATTCCAACACTTCTTATGAAGTAATTAATTTCCCACAGTGCTCGACTAGATACTGCATCACCAACACTAAATAGATGTTTTATCTGATCTCTACAAGCTTGTAATCTAAGACATAACAGTTGTTATTCTTAATTTTGAGAATTAAAATGTCATTGCTCTGTGTGACAGATTGAGAAACAAACTAATCATAAAAATTTTTAGGCCATAAAAGCTAATAACTAAAGACAGTAAGTATACTAAAATAAATCAATGTCAAATTATAAACGTTCAGAATTTTCAGTTGTTTATTATGATTTATTTCATTGAGTTGAGAAATCTATTAACCTTTTGACATGGGAAGATGGAATTCACTAAATAAGTTAGAGAAGCACTACTTCCATTGTCATCACCCTCTTTCAAAATAGTGCCAACATTTTTATAAGTTACGGAAATGCAGTGGGAAAACACTACTGTTAATTGTCAGGTAGACATCTGACACTGCTCATGAGGAGTGGGATGACTGTGGCTCTTAAGCCTATGCATGGAGCATTTACACTGAACCTCTGTGATCTGTGTGCTAACAGATCAGCCTATTTTCCCTCATTGGCATGATGCCACCTCTGTTTTGAATAAGACACTCTAATGTCGGCTGCTCTGCCTACCATATTGGTCTGTCCACCAGCCATGTTTTGCAGGGATCAATTGCTATGAGTCTGATTCTTTAAAGTGCTTTTCCTTTCCATGGTCCAACTTTAGGAGCTGTTCTATCTCAACAGATATTAGGAAAGGGGCTGCCAATCCTCGATCAGCACCATGGCGCCCAACCCAGATTCTCAAATTGGGGAATACATATTCTCACTTGAATATATGACTGTGAGTTCAGACATTATATGAAGAAGCCATGACATAAAAGGGACATCTTGCTGCTATTTTTTACTCAATGGCCAATAAGTTTGTAAAGATATAGGAAAAAACAAACTCCGCTTCTCCTACTATGCTCTCACAATGCAGAATACTTCTGGGGACCTCTGGTCACCCAAATGTGTGGGGGACTTCTCTCCACCAAGTAATCGTTCAGCAGTGGATTCTTCAGCAGACATCAGCTGGGTGTTCTCCCACTTAGTTCTCCCAGTGTTAATTCTGACACTGTCTACCTGGAGATAGCATCAGATCCCACAGATTGAGAGCTCAGTTCCACAAGACCACCCCCCACTTCAGATACCAGCACAAGTACAATTGGCCCTCCATATCCACAGGTTCCATATCTGTGGATTCAACCAACCACAGAACCAAAATATTTGGGAAAAAAACAGTAAAAAATATCAGGAGTGTACTGAGTACCTATGGCTTTTGGAACATCATAAAATCAAAAAATCTTAAATCAAACCACCATAAATAAGGGACGGTCTATAATTTGCTAGAGTGGCTCACAGAACTCAGGGAACACATTTACTCGTTTATTACAAAGGATATTATTAAGGTTACTGATGAACACAAGAGAGAAGAGATACACAGGGCAAGGTATGTGGAAAGGGGTTCAAAGCTAACATGCCCTCTCTGGGTTCACCACCCCAAACCTCCAAGTATTTAGCTCAGTCCTTTTGGGTTTTTCCAGAGGCTTCGTTACATAGGCATGACTGCTTACATCATTGGCCACTGGTGATCAACTTAAACGTCAGCTCCTCTCTCCTCCTGCCAGTTTGGTGGGTAGGACTGAAAATTCCAACCCTCTAATCACCTGGTTGGTTCCCTGGGCAACCAGCCCCTATTGGACGATATCCAAGAGCCCTCAGCCAAAGATCAGCTCATCAGCATACAAAAAGACACTTATCATTTTGAAGATACCAAGGATTTTAGGAATGGTATATATATTTCATAATAAGTATCACAAAGTTACAGTGGTTTTATACTGAAATAATGTGTGGAATATATTATTAAATACAATGGATAAAAATTTTGCATCGATTTTTAAGACAACATGTAATAATACCCCAAGGAAATTGTATGTTGTCAGAAGTTAGTTTTGACCATGTGCCCAGAGACTTGGGGTAACACATTAGTCCTTCTGTGTCTTGGGGTCATTTTGATGGAAAACCCTGAGAAGCAGTAATATGTGGAAAGGGTACAGGCTTTAGAACCAAACACAGCTGAGTTTGAAGCCCTGTTCCTCCACATTTCTTGAGAGTTTGACTTTGACCAAGACAAGTCTGACCTCAAGCCTCAGTGTCCTCATCAAACAGAAAGGTTATTTAACATGAAGATTTATAAAATATGTAGCACAGTCGCTAATGGAGCCAGGTGATATTTTTAAAACATGTAAGATCAAGTCATATTCCAGCTTAAAACCTTCCAACAGCTTCTTTTTGCTCTCTGAATAATGCCCTACATGGCAGTATTATGGGTTCCAAACCTTTCAGTACATGGACCTCCTTTGGCAGTCTGGTGAAGCCTTTGGGGTCTTTCTCAAAATAATGTTTTAAAATTTATGAAATAAACTACATGTGATTACAAAGGAAACTACTTATATTGAAATATACTTAGAATATTAATAAAAAACAAACATGCTGCAGTAATATATGTACTTCTCTATTAACACATCAAATAACATTATATAGTAACAAGGTTCTTCAACTACAGTAAGTTTGAAGTAATGACGGACAACCATTTCAGGATATCTGCAACAAATGTAATTGGATATGAAAATATCTGTGATTTTTAATTGTGAAAGTCACGGGTACTGCTGCTCTACTGTGGGTTTTTTGTTTGTTTGTTTTTTGAGACAAAGTCTTGCTCTGTCACCCAGCCTGGAGTGCAGTGGCGCGATCTTGGCTCACCCCAACCTCTGCCTCCCAGGTATAAGCGAATCTCCTGCCTCAGCCTCCTGAGTAGCTGGGATTACGTGTGTCTGGCACCATACCTAGATAATTTTGTATTTTTAGTAGAGACAGGGTTTCTCCAGGTTGGTCAGGCTGTCTTGAACTCCCGACCTCAGGCGATCTGCCCGCCTCAGCCTCCTAAAGTGCTGGGATTACAGGTGTGAGCCACCACACCTGGCCCTACTCTGGCCTTTTTTTTTTTTTTGCCTTTGCCTACATTCATGACTGGAGGAAACGGTAAATTTCATTTAGATGTTAGTGAAGATAAAAATGTATTTGTTCTCATCTACATTCATGGACCCATGGATTCTAACCGCGATCCCTTGGAGATCCACGGACCTGGGTAGACAGCCAGGATTCTAAGTGGTATTCTTGGACTTCATCTCCCATCACCAATCACCTTTGTCTACCACACCTGGACCACACTGACCACCTGCTCATCAAACACATTCAACTTAGTCAACCTTAGGCATCTGCTTTGCTTTTCTCTCTGTCTGGAATTCTCTGTCCTCAGATCTTTGTATGGTTGTTTCTTTCCCCATCTTTATCTCAATCAAATGTCACCTCCTCCAAAGGGCTTCCCTGACCACTCCACACAGAGGAGCCACCTCCCCTTGCCTTCATCACACCGCCCTGCTGTTTTCTCCACAGTTGTTATCACCGCCTGGAACAACTGTGTTCATTTAGATATTCTTGTGTTTATTCTCTGCTTCCCTGCCCTAAAATGTGAGCTCCATGGGAGCAGGAACTTCATCTACATGTTCAGGGCCATACCCCAGGCATCTAGAGTGGTGTTTGGGTCTATTACCCTGTTGCTAAGTGAAAGAAAAAATAGTAATGGCTTCACAAATGTCACTTCTCTCATCCTTCACTCTATTTTTGGTATGGTGAGGATACAAAGAGATGAAAGACAAACTCCTGCCTTCACATGGTTTACAGTCCAGAGAAGGCTGTGGGGTGATGCTGTGGAAGGTGCACCAGCACTGTGGTGGCTTGGGCTCCTGTCCAGGCTCTCCCACTTGCCTATACAACCACTAGCAAACCAGTGCTAGGGCCTCAGTTCCTATGGTGTCAGACAAATGGGTTGGACAAATTTATCTTCATGGTCTATGGTTTATGATCCTTAAGAGCTAACATTACAAGGCAGCATATGTGGCAAGTGAGGGATTCTGACCCTCAGTGGAGGACGCAGCATAGACTTGGAAAGAGCTCTGAAGTGGAATCAGTCTCCAACAAATCATGAGAAGTGGGGATTTTCAGAGTCATGAACTCTCAGCGTTGAAAGAAACTTCAAAGGCTGCCCAGCGTGACCACCAGGTGATAGACTGGATGTCTCTCTCTGAGTCCATTTCTGAAGAGGTAATATAATACCCTTGCTCTTAGATGTAACCCAGCCTGGGGGTGAAGAGTATGAACGGTGGAATGGCACACTGCATGGGTTCAAATCCCAGCTCTGCTGTTTACCAGCTACGTTAACTTAGCCAAATTACTTCTCTGTTTCTCAATTTCCACCTCTGTAAAATGGAAATAACAACAGTATCTTCTTTATGGGGTTATGGTCAAGAGTAAATGAAAAAATGAGTGTCATATGCTTAACATGCTTTCAGTAAATGTTACTTATGATTCTTTCTGCTGAACAGTTTACTGTTGTGGCAAACTTACTACGTATCCCCCAAAACCACTTTCCCTTTCTCCACTGTAATTGAGTTTTTACCTGCTAGGAACTGCATTACCTAGTTTGGAGTTTCTGTGAGCCAACGTATAACTTGATCTTACCTTTTCCTTGACATTCACATGAGTATTGAGTTCAGCCATCTTGCTTCTAGTGGAATAGGCCCTATAAAGAAGGAAAACAAGATTAAGTTTTAAAATTGATTTCTCAATGTGTTATTTTTACACTCTCTTCCAACACAGTAAACAACTTCATTCGGTCATAATCATAAATATCATTTTAGAATGTAAAAATACTTTCAAGCTAAGCATCTGACTTAGACATGTTCTAAAAGCATGTTACAATAACTCTAGAAAACAAAGTAAAATCTTTTATTCATACTGTATTGACATGAAAAACGACAAAGACAGATGGGAATTTATCTAAATTGTGTTTCTTCCTATTATGTAAAAGAAAGGTGGTCAAAAATAGAGAGAAGGGAAACCGTACCTATTTTAACTAAGTATTGTCATCACAGTCCTCACTGTCTCAAAGCTTTTATCAGCTCCTTGGTAATCTAACAAACATTTATTGAATATATCTCTCCTATATGTACATAACAATACCAAGCACTATGGAAAAAAACAGGAGAAAACTATCCCAGGTTTAAACATAAGAATCCACCCCACAACTTCTTTTCTTTTTTTTTTTTCAACTTTTCTATCTGGAATGCTCTAATTTCAGATCTTTGCAGGGTTGTTCCTTTCCTGTAGTCTTTTTCTGGGTGGGGGGGGGGCATCTCAAAACCTTTTTTTTTGAGCTTGTCTCAAAACAAACCTAAAGGAAAACCTACCTGTTGCCCAGGCTGGAATGCAGTGGCGTGATCGCAGTTCACTGCAGCCTCCATCTCCTCAACTCAAGCGATCCTGCCACCTCAGCCTCCCAAGTAGGTGGAACTGCAGGTATGCACCACCACACTCAGCTAATTTTTGTATTTTTTGTAGAGACAAGGGTCTCACTTTGTTGCCCAGGCTGGTCTCAAACTCCTGGGCTCAAGCGATCCTACCACTTCGGCCTCCCAAAGCACTGGGATTATAGGTGTGAGCCATGCACCTGTCCTCTGCAGTCTTTATCTTAGCTTGAGTTATCACCTCCTCCAAGAGGAGGTGACCACCATATCTAAAGCTGCCACCTCTCCTGCCTTACTCTCCAACAGAATATAACAGTTTTAAATTTGTTTTTTCACTTACCAACATATCATGAGCAACATTCCAGATTGATACATATGTATCTTCATTGTAATTTTTATTGTCCATAATTTCATAATCTCCATTTTCAAATGGACCCTTAAAACTGCCCATAATCCTTCTGTTTCTTCAAAATCTTTAGGTTTTCTGCCTTTGGTGTCCAATCTCTTTGTAAAGTGGCCCCCTCTGAGAAGATCTGTGTTCCCAAAATCAAGCTGTTGTGTTTTCTTTTCCCTTATCTGGTCAAAATCTTTCACCATTATAATGGAAGACAGATCTTAAGACTTTAATAGATTCAATCTTTTTGAAATAGAGAATAAATGACTTAAATGCACAAACAGATTGATTCAGAAATTAGCAGCCAGTCAGGCCAAGATATCAACATATACCACCTATTTGCATGTTGAATGCTTTTTGTCAATCAAGAACCACTGAAACACTTTCTTATATTCCTTTTCTTTTCTTATAAAGAGTGTACCCACCTCCAGAGTAGACACATGCTAGGGATAACTTGCAAAAATTCTCTGATTCTTCCCCACTATTTTCTTTTACACTTACGTCTTAAATAAAGCATAAATTCAGATCCATTATCTATTGCTGATTTTAGGATGAAAGCTTGGTAATACGCAATGTTAACTCTATTACTACTCAAATTATTCTCAACTAGGAATCCAGAGAGACAAATTATCAAATATTAGAAACAGTAACATTTTATTTTTATAAGTTCCCAAATAATACTGCCACTGACACAAGCATTTGGACATGCTAGCAGGAGAGACCCTGCATACTTGCTTCCAGTAAAGCAGCGCTTTCCCAAATGCTCCATAAAAGTGCCCCATCTATTGAAAACACCCTCCAAATGGTAAGTTCTATATCCCTGGACTTGGCATATAGGAGAGTCAGTTGGTGCAAAAGTAATTGTGATTTTTGCCATTGAAAGTAAGGCTAAGGCCCCAAATACTTTTGTACCAACCTAATAGCTGGCAAATAACACTCGAATTTTATTTTCACTTATTCCTGACCCTGAAAGTTACTCGTTTGTAAAGAAGAGGATTCTTTTCTGATTATTTCTAATAGTGAACATGAATGATGTGTGAAGTACAAGAACAAATAATTAGGTGTTTTTGTTTACAAGCCAGGGGTGGAAAGTAAAGCCTTTGGTCGGTCATTACAAGCCTGCAAGACAGTCTGCAATCATTATATTGGAAGACTTCTGGATGGCTGATTTTCTTATTCAAATGAAAGTTTCGGCATCATGTAAACATACATTGTATATACATGAATTTTTCAGTGTGTGATAGTATATGAATGTGTGTATGAGAGGGGGATGGAGGGGGAGGAGAGAGAGAGGTATACCTAAGAACTATGAAGAACTGAATGGTGACAGCTGAATTTGGTGCCATTAAGAATGAATCTGTGAGCCACAATGACTTTCATTAGACCAGATCAGCTGATTCTTCTGGACACATCTAATTTTGCCATTACAGATATGTGAAATCTAACAGAAAAAGCTTTTGTTTTGTTTTTGCATTTGGGCTTTGATGTCTAGGATTTGGATGTGCAGCATTCTCTAAAGCTGAAATGTTATAATCCACAGAGGAATCAGGGAGGAATTCCATTGAAGAGAGAAAATTTATGAGATCTGAAGACGTGGTGACAATGGATGGTAAGCTATATTCGTAAGAAAACATACACGCACACACGCTCACATCTCCTTGGCAATTCTTTTTCTCTTTGACCTCAAGTCTAACTCAAGGAAGACTCTTCTTTGGGACTGATGCTAGTAAAATTAATTACAATTTTATTCAAATCATAATTTTATTTTTTTGTGGAAGAAAAATGCTGGCTGTGAGGGTAGAATGGGGCTATTTTCTCAGATGGGAAAATAAGATAAAAATAATTACAGGGACCCATTCCTTGCCCATTTTACTCTCAATTATTTTTCCCAGGTGGAAGGCTGCCTCTACAGGCTCTGGAAGGCTGCCTCTACAGGCTCCATCTTCCAGGTGGGTTCCAATACCCTCTCCACATCACAGTAAAATAAAATCTTACTGTTTCTAATATCACAGCTTTCTGCTAGCTGGTGCATAACAGAGGCAATGGGGAACTAGTTAAAAGGTTCTAATTTAAACAGACCATAAATTTGGTTTGCCTTAAAGAATTGTAAGTTGGCCGGGTGCGGTGGCTCACGCCTGTGGTCCAGCACTTTGGGAGGCCAAGGTGGGCGGATCACGAGGTCAGGAGATCGAGACCATCCTGGCTAACACAGTGAAACCCTGTCTCCACTAAAAATACAAAAAAATTAGCTGGGTGTGGTGGCGGGCGCCTGTAGTCCCAGCTACTCGGGAGGCTGAGGCAGGAGAATGGCGTGAACCCAGGAGGCAGAGCTTGCAGTGAGCCAAGATCGCACCACTGCACTCCAGCCTGGGCGACAGAGCGAGACTCCATCTAAAAAAAAAAAAAATTTTAAGTTTAAGTGACTAGATAGTCAAATTGGGTTCTACTGCTAAGGACAAACACTGGGGAAACTGTGGGACAGGTGAGGTTATTTTCGGTGTGTCCTGAAGGTCCTCGTTGAGTGTCTGCACCCTCCAATCAGCACTAGTCCCTCCAGAATGTCCGGAAGCCCACCTTGCCCCTGCATAACATCATGTACTCATTACCTTTCCTGAGCTGACCCTCCCTGCTATGAAAATGAAACAGTGCTGTGTCCCTATTTTGAGATTCTCTTTTCTGCTATGAACTATATCTGCCCAGTCAGCTCAATTTCATCTAAATCTTAATTGTTTAAAGTAGTCAAGGAACTTTTCAATATATTTTCACCTGATTTCACATGACAGGCCCAGGGTTTAGCAACGTGAAGCCTCAGCCCTCTAAGGTGCAGACTTCTAGGTAAGCCCAAGAAGCCTCTAATGCTGTGATTTTTAGGACCTACAGTGAGTAACAGATGTCTGGGGACAACAGACCTTCTCCCTGACATCTTGGTCATCATGCTTGGTAGTGTATCACTGCCAAACATGACTGAATACTCATACCTTAATATGTATCGACCACAGGAGCTTTTAAATCTATAAGAAAGGTACAGGGATCTTTGACTTCTTGAGAAGAACCTGGTTTCTCCTTGTTATTATCATTTAAAATTGTTATTGGAACAGACCAATTACTGCGGGCTAACTATTCAAGTCCACGAATACATGTTCCATACATACCAATCAATCAACACAAAATTAAGATACTCAGAAATATAAGTCCTGATATTGGTGCAACATTTCAATAGCTTAGACATTTTTTAAAACTTTTTTCCTAAAAATTGCAATTTAGATTTCAGTAATACCATTATAAACATATGTAGATATAATCATCTAATTTTTACATATGTCCTAAAGAAAAATAGAGATCAAGGAAACTGTTAAAACTTATTAGGGAAACATATTAGTCATAAAGGAAAGATTTTCACCATTTTAATACATCATCTATATATACTTTTCTAGTATAAAATTTATGAACCACAGCTGGGCGCGGTGGCTCACGTCTGTAATCCCAGCACTTTGGGAGGCCGAGGTGGGTGGATCACGAGGTCAGGAGATCAAGACCATCCTGGCTAACACGGTGAAACCCTGTCTCTACTAAAAATACAGAAAATTAGCCGGCATGGCGGCATGCGCCTGTAGTCCCAGCTGCTGGGGAGGCTGAGGCAGGAGAATGGCATGAATCCGGGAGGCAGAGCTTGCAGTGAGCTGAGATTGCGCCACTGCACTCCAGCCTGGGCGACAGAGCAAGACTCCATCTCAAATAAATAAATAAATAAATAAATAAATAAATAAAATTTATGAACCACAAATATGGTTACCACCAATCACTTCAAACACAAAATTATATTGAACTGATCACTGAGCAAAAATCTTACAGAATATGCATTAACAGTAGCCAGAAAATCTATTAGCTTAGAACAAAGATAAACATGTTTTATGAAAAATAAACCCAAATAATAGACATTCTGGCAAATATGTCTGTCTCTGTATTTCCAATTGATATAATTCAACAAATTTTAATATGTATGAGTTATCTGTAAAGTTTTAAAAATATATATTTATGTTTCTAATGCAATCACATAAAACATGCAAAGTTCTATCAATGTACTGACCTATCAAATCGCTTTCTGACTTGCTTGTCTCCTTTCTCCCTCCTGTTTGATTGTGTAGGCAGTAATAAAGTTTCACTTTCGTTTCTCTGAAACCCATTAATGCTCTTAGGTTTACTTTCCTGTTCTTGGGTATTACATCACTTTGCTTGAACTGGATTTAAGAAACCATAGGAAATATATAAGAAAACATTTTAAGTAATGATTTTAACAAAATTTTCAAGGTTATTAATGCAAAATTTCCCATGATTTGTAAAAACATAGAAATCATACTGCATATTTGGGGCCGTTAATAGGGTATTTCATAAATTATCATAATGTAAGCTGGAGTGGGTAAATGCCAAATGTCATGACGTATGACTTAGAGAGGGAAAATGACCAAGTTGGTAGAGACTGGATCGACTTGACTTTCTGGCTAATCAACAGACTTAACCAGGGAGCTCTGAAAAACTGAGATTTCTGGGCCCCAAGGTCAGTTGGTGTGGGGAAGTTGTGATGGAAAACAGTGACTCCCAGGTCATTTTCATGCAAAGCCAGATTTGAATGTGGCTAGTCTAAAGTGAAATGTGCTGGAAGGGTTTAATAGAGGCCGAGTTTCAAAGACTGAGTACAAAAAAAGGAATATAAGCTGTCTCATTAATACTTTTTATATCGACTATATGTTGAAATGATAGCATTTGATAGATTGGATTAAATAAAATACAGTATTAAAATTAATTTCATCCACTTCTTTTCACTTTTTTAATGTGACTGCTAGAAAATGTATGATTTTATGTGTGGCTTACATTATATTTCCACTGGAAAGTACTGTCCTAGAGCAGGGGTTCTTAAAGTGTGGTTCCCAGATGAGTGGCCTCAGCATCACCTGGGAACTTGTTAAAGATGCAAATACTCTGCCCCTCACCAGACAGAAAGAGAAGCTCTGGAGGGCAGGGGCAGCACAGCAGTCAGTGCTTAACAAGCCCCGCAGGGTATTCGGACGTGCACTAGCAAAACCGTGAGAACTACTAGTGTCTCCATCCTGGAACATAAAGAAAGAGCCTCTTCCTTAATCCCAAACACTACACACAAGAAATAGATTCTCATGGAAGCCTAGAGAGATAAGGGGAAAGCCAGTTTCCTACAAATTACGTCGTTAAGGAATAATCTTTTCAAAAATATATTATTAATAATAATTAGCACACTTCTGGAGAACTTATAACGTACCAGACACTCTGCTAAGTGCTTGACATACATTTTTTTTCATTTTACCGTCACAACCCTACGAATAGAAATTAAGATTATCCCCATTTTTACATACGTGGAAACTGAAGCACAAAGAGATCTAGTAACTGCTCAAGGTCCCACAGTTAAGTGGCAGGGCCAGGACTCAAACCTAAGGCAGTCCAACTCAGCAAGCCCACGGCCATTGGGCTAACAGCACCTCAAAACCATCATAAACAAGTCACAGGGCTCACTGTCTATGAAATGCAGTAAGAACTCCACCAGGGGAATAAAACCGTTCCACGGGACCTGCCTTCTCAGGCCAGACAGGCCCACAGTATATGCCTTGCGCATTTGCAGGATGCACAAACTGCAGTGCGAAACCACTCCACTCACACAGGAATGGGCATAAATGAACTTGTTTCAAAGAAATGGCTATTTTTGGCTGGGTGAGATGGCTCACTCCTATAATCCCAGCATTTTGGGAGGCCGAGGCGGGTGGATCACCTAAGGTCAGGAGTTCGAGACCAGCCTGATCAGTATGACAAAACCTCGTCTCTACTAAAAATACAAAAATTAGCTGGGCATGATGGCGTGTGTTTGTAGTCCCAGGTACTGGGGAGGGGGATGGGGTGGGGCTGAGACAGGAGAATTGCTTGAACCCGGTAGGTGGGGCGGAAGTTGCAGTGAGCTAAGATCATGTCACTGCACTCCAGCCTGGGTGACAGAGTGACTCCATTCACCACAACCCCGACCCCACCAAAAAACGGCTGTTTTCCTGCAGCTTCCTACCTCAGGTGAAGGTGCAAAGAGTTGCAGTTAGTGGGCCCTCAGCCAACAAATTGTTTCTTGCGAGCTGTGATGCAGCCCAGTGGCTCTGTGACATTCTGGGGTCTAAAGGCATAACTAACTGAATTACTAACTTAATTACTAAGAGTAATTAAAGTGTCTGTGTACCTGACTTTGGTATAGCCTAGACAATGCTATTCAAAAATCCTGCATCACTATGATCACGTAGATCCTAAGACATTTTCTCATGGCTGCCTCAGAGGGGAAGAATCAGCACTGATTTTGTGCGTAGGAAGTCAATTATGCCATGTGATTTGAGAAGCAGCAAAAATCTCTCAGGCAAAACAGCATCCAACAGTATCTCTGAGTATGGCTTCTCAAGAGACATATGCATTTCTACTTAGTTGAAGGCATGCAATATATTACCTCTGGAAGAAGGCGCACTATCACAGACTAATTTATTTCATTCTCCTACTGCCGTCAATTGGCCCTTAGCAGACAGCAGTGCTCTGACAGGATGGGAAACAAGACAGGTACCCTTCGATAGGGAGAGTTGGAAGAACTTCACATCTGTCTATAAAGGGCATCATTCATCCTGACAGGCCACACTGTGGCACGAGGGCCTCAGATCTCCAGGTTGGAGGAAATGAACTCTGTGGTCTCTTTTGGCTCTCAGGTACTACAGGTTTGTACAGGCACTGGGAGTTGATGGAAACACTTATAAAAGGCGTGGGTGCTGTCTCCAATGATGTACAGTAGTAGGCTATTTCTCTGTACAGGTCACTTTTAAACCAGAGACTAACCATCCAGGGCCCTAAGCACAATCAGGGGCACTTGCATGCCAGCTGAAGAGGGAAACAAATGCTCCTTCTTCAAAACTGAGATTTGGTCTAAACTTAGTACTAGGTATGTTTTCTGTGGCCTAACTGTTAAATTGCCTAATTTCTCTTCCGTTTTGTCCCCTCCTCCTTTTCCCTCCATCCTTTGCTACTCCTTATCTGGCATGGTAATGACTCAGGTCTCTTATATTTCAAGTGTTTTTGCTCTTTGTTTCTGTGGTTTAATTTCCATAGTTTAATAAAAGTTCTTGTTCCTTAGAGGAAAGTCGCTTTAATTATTAGGACTGAGAAACATAAACAATGAAACAGGGTGGTGACTGAAATATGAATTTCATATGAATATACTTAGATTGGCATTTTTTGTTTAATTTGGAGAAAAAAACTCAAGGTTGCATTTTCATTCAAAGACATTTCAATGTACTCAACCCACTGTTAGAACAACTTCACTGAAAAGCATTTTAAGGGCAAATGTCAGAAAAAAATTTCACATTTAAAAGCTCTGGCTTGGCCTCTTTTGAAAAGCAGGGTTAGCCTTTGGTTTAGAAATGTCACTGCCTACTAAGTTCTTTGTGGGGGGAAGAAAGAAAATTGAATGTTTTATTTAAACAGGTCATTAACAGTCAATACTTATTTGAAAAGGCCTGCTTTCAGAGGCAGATAAAAGCTTCCAATCACTTAGAATATCACTTGAGCAGATCTAGGGCAAGATGTGCTCATGCAAGTTTGAGACCTTCATGGGAGAACCTCTTCACTCAACAGCCCCGAGTGCTGAGTGCTTGTATGGCAGGCAGAGTCATCTGCGTGGCGCACACTGTTGTATATGCTGCACGTACACGGCAGAGCAGAACACAAAACACACTTTATGGCAGTCCCAGCTTTGAATTTTCCATTTTAGTACTGGCAAATGCTTATGAATGAAGATTAACCATTTTTGCATAAAGTGCCAAACCACCTCCTCACAGCAGCAGAATGCAAATGGGCACAAAAGAGCAAAGGACAGCTAAAATAAATGCAGCGGATCTGAGGCAGTGCAAGCACAGGGGGAGGAGGACGCACGGCAGGCTTTATTAGCATTCACCTACGGCATGGTTTTTCTATTTAATTTGAAATTATTTCATTTCATAGGTCTCTGCTGGCTTGAGAATATAAATAAATGCCTTTTTCTAAAAGTGACCCAATGCTGGCTCCTATAAGGATCTGCTTCTGATTGCTGGGCTTTAAAGCAAACATGTGTTTCCATAGAGATGTGGGTGACCCGGACCTGGTGCAAGTACCCACTTGTATCAGCAACTCAATTATACTCGGTTCTTTCAAGATGCGATGATGTAAGCTCAAGTCTTTAAAATATGCCCATCCTCAGAGACATCTCAGGAAAGGTGAAGTGGCCAACGTTATGTGAAGCAGAGAAGAGGTTCAGCAGAATAAATGTCACCCTCTCCAAGCATACTGTAATTGGTTCTCTCCCTGCAGATCACACTGCTTTCCTCCCCCATCCCCCCCACCACCCGCTGGCAAATCCCAAATCCCAGAGGGGTTTGGACAAAAGATCAAACATAGTTCTTTATACTCCAGAGCCCCAAGTACTTTACCACAAACTCCCCAATGTTGAAAAAGAAATATGTGTTCCCTTTCTTCCTTTCCTTCCCCCATCTCTTTAGCTATGGGCAATTCCTACAGAAAGGGCAATGTTTTTTCTTATAATTTGACAAACATTCATTAAACACCGACAATGCACCAGGGTCTGTGGGGAATGCTGGCAGTGGTTAAAGCTACACTTACTGAACTCTTACCGTATACCCAGCAATGCTCTAAGCACGTTCCATGTATTAACTCCTTTTGTTCTCAGAATTGCCCTAAGCAGTGTGTACTTCTATTTTCGTTATCACCATTTTATAGAAAAATAAACATGAGCACAGAGAGGTAAGCTACTCACTAAGTCACAAAGTTATTCAGTACCTGGTTGAGCTAAGATTCGAACTTATATCTCCTGGCTCCAGAGCTCTTGGCCCCAAAGGAGCTTAAAGATCAATGATGAAGACAGATATGTACACAAAAACAAAGGAGAACGCCAGGCAAGGAAGTGGGGAAGGAAATGAGATTAAGAACTGGAAGAATTAGAGTTGGAATTCAGCTGGCTCAAGGTTTTGGGCACAGCAACACTGGGGCTGTGGTCTGTCCAGCTCAAAAGTCCCATCCCAGAGAGTCAGGCGCAAAGGTATTAGAGGCACGCTTGCTGTTAGCGGGGCTGGGGATGGGGCTGTATGCTTTTTAAACTTTTAATGGGATCTTTATAAGGACAACACTGCATATTCACGTCCAAAGAAAACATGGATTGTGGTTCTGCAATATAACTCTGAACCAGCAAAAAGAACCCCTAACTAAACCTGGCAAACAAAAGCTCTGTGTTTATAGCTAACTCTGGGAAGCTGGCTCGGTTGTCATGGAATAAAAATGTGGAAAAGGAACCCATCATCTCTTCACAGCACATTCTGGTTTCAAAAATCTCTGTTCCAACAAACTCACAGTATCCTAGTTCATTGAGTCAGAACACTCCTAGTAAACATTTAATAATTTTCTCAAAGTGGCAGAGAAAGTCAGTTTTCTTCCTAGTTCCTTGAAATGTCACTGGCACTGGCGGAACAAAAACAGTATATGATGTACTGCCTTAAACGCACTGGCACTTGGTGGGAAAGAAATACTGGGGAGTGAAGGCAGGGCTTGGACTTCCAGTTGGAGAGTACCCCCAGGCAGCCAGCCCCCTTTCCCACCCCATTACTGTTCTTCCTATGGCTTCCCAGCAAATGCAACCTCAACTCACTTTTTAAGGTTTCCTCGTGCTCCAAATCAGGGCTCTCAGTCCAGTTTCCAGCGACTGGCTTTCTCAGGAGGCACATAAGCTCTGTTCCCCCACTGGCCACCTTTATCAACTTGCTTTTACTGTGACCAGTAAGTCATCTCAATAGTGACGAATGTGGAGCCAGAAACCAGGGTAGTAGCAGGATCTTGGGCGTGGCTGAGTAATCAGCAGGGGGTTGGTGGCCTTGGTCACCTGAGCAACAGAAAGACTCACCTTCAGAGAGACTACTTGTTCCCTTTTTGTGAAACTGCCCAGTGTTTTTGCCTTCAGGGTCCTGTTAGTGAATGCCAGCTCTTCATCCTTCTTATCTTAGGGAAGGTATAGCTCTAAGACTGAACTTGCAACCTTTACACTCACTGCCCCTGAGGCTGAGAAGGTATAGGCTGGGACTGTAGTCATCATTCCAAAGGTCAGTTTCTGGGCATGATTGTCTGCTAAGGGCTTCTTATCTTCCAGGCGACACCAGGACAGGCATATCAATCAATTAGTACACATTCTTACACTGCACCCTGAAACCAGTTCCTGGTTCTACACCTAATTGAAAACATCTGTTAGCTAATTTTGCATTAAATGGAAAATGTAAAAACCATGTCTAGGGGTATACATTTTATTAAGGGGCATGTGCTCACACAAGGAAGTGAAGTTCTTGCCTGATCTTTATTCAGTTTAACGGCAAAAAGCCAGGGTGAGAAGCATGTGATAGAGTACATTTGGGGCAGAGTGGAGAGGGTTTTCTTACCTGTCAGACCTGCTCCATCTACACACACATTAGTCCTATATATGTTACCTGTTCACTGGTTTGAGTTTTAGAAATCTAACACATACATTCTACATGTTCTTAGAAAGGCTCACTTCCCTCTCAGATCAGGCCCCACCATCAGAGCCCATCTAGCTGACCACACACAAGCAGTTGGCCTAGAAAGCTGCTACCACCAGCCCTGTGCCTCTGTCACCAAGCACAGGATCTTGGGCCCTTAAGTAATCTCGCAGAGTAAACACTGCCTATTTTCTGCAATACAGATTCTTCCTTATGTTCTTATGACCGAAAACAAGCAATTACGATTCACCAAGATTGAATCCCAGCTCTACCTCTTACTAGTTTTGGGATTTGGGCAAGTACTTTGATCTAGGCCGTGTTTCCTCATCAGTAAAATAGGGATAATAATAGTAACTACGGCATAGCGTGGTAAGAAGGATGAAATGAGTTCATGTTTGTAAAGTGATTACAACAGTGCCTGGCACACAGCAAGTGCTATAAAAGTGCTATAAAAGAATATAAATAGATGCTCTCATAGCTCATGTGGTAGCTTTCCCACTGTCCTCATTTTACAGGTGAGAATCTAAGGATTATGAGGTTACCAACATGCATCCAGCCAGTAACGGAGCCGGCCCTTGAAACCTGACCTTCTGACCACAAGTTGTCCTGGTGTGGCTACACCCGTCCCTTTTCCAACTCATACTGTCACCTGATGGGAGAGGTGGGGTGACTCCAGAGAGGAGAGGGTGGCGGCCCGAAGCTAGGGGCCTGACTGCAGCCCTGCTAAGGAAATACGAACTCTCAGGGCTCTGTCTGTGTCCACAGGGTCATTTGTGTTCCATGCTTTTAAAACAGCTGCACTGGCAGAAGCAAATCCATTACTACAATACCACTTCTGCATAGAATGGATCGGAAACCAATGTCAGGTCACGATTTCCTGCCTTGTAGCTATCAGATGTGCTCAGTGCTTTCGTGACCAAATTCACAGCTTAAGGTACTTGTCTTCAAAGGACAACAAACAGTCATAACATAGAAAGAGCAAAGTTCAAATAAAGCCTTGGAGCTAATAAGGGAACAATCTAAAAATTACTAAACCTCTTTCCATACATGATTTCAGGTAATTGTATCAACATGAATAAAAGAAAGAATTCATATGATTTTAATTCCCTTTAGTTTATTCTAATGCAGTCACAGATAATAAAAACTCATTTTGATCATTTATTATATGCTCAGGATTCTAGGGGGTCATATTTACTATCTTAGTGAACTTTCCATTTCCAGCTGTAATACAAAATAGAAATTTGTCACCTGAAATATGCTGTAATGGGAAATTAATAAATAGTTTTAAAGTGCTTCAAATATACATGACTTTAACAGATTTAATACGTTACAAAAAGAATTCCTTCCTTTTAAAAAGACTGCTTCTGATAAATTCCACTTTGCCTTTCTCTCTTCCAAAGTTCCAAATACAATGCCTTTGACAAGCTAAGTGTTCAATGAAGACACATGGAAAGAAAGGAATAAATGTCCTCTCATTTTATTCTTCCTGTCTTGCTTGCAATGAATTTTTAATAATTTTTTCTCCAGTTTTTAACCCCTCATACTAAGTTATCACTTTAAATGCCACCCTTTTAAAACCAGCACTGTCAGGCTGGGCACAGTCACTCATGCCTGTAATCCCAGCACTTTGGGAGGCTGAGGTGGGAGGATCCTTCGAGTCCAGGAGTTCGAGAGCAGCCTGGGCAACACGGTGAAACCCTGTCTCTACTAAAAGTACTAAAATTAGCCAGGTGTGGTTGCATGTGCCTGTAGTCCCAGCTACTAGGGAAGCTGAAGTGGGAGGATCACTTGAGCCCGGGAGGTGGAGGCTGCAGTGAGCTGTGATCATGCCACTGGCACTCCAGCCTGGATGACAGAGTAAGACCCTATCTCAAAAAACAGAAAACCCAGCATTGTCCAATATTGTTCTAGCCACATCATTTCACACACCTTCCAATCCACTCTGCTCTTCCTCCCAGCATACCTCCAACCTTGCAATATCTTTTAGCCATTATCAGAGTCAAGGTCTAATCATAAGCACCCAAACCTTCTATATCATCCTTATTGGGCCTCATGTATCCCCTCTTTAACCTGGTAACTTGCCTACCATCTTTTACTGATTTTATTTCTTCTTACTGTAGAGCCTTATACCCAGGATAAAGTCACTAGACTATAGCTCTCTAGTTCCTCTCGATCAAAGCCTACACTTTTGTCCAAAAAAGAAAGACTGAAGTTAACCTTTTCTATGGAGTATGAAAAAAAAATTCATTTTCACCCAATGCTAAACACATTTAACCATTAGCCTCACTCCTATATACCCACGTAACTCCAGCACAGAGAGGGATTTTCATTGCTGTTGGCACCTACATGCACTTTACGGACGCTTCATAAACCACCTCATGGCCTGCCTTGGCCACACTCTTAGTTTGTAGCATAAAAGGATGGAGTGCAGACACACATCCTCTCTACTTTGCACGGAGCTCTAGCCTGCCCTATGGCTCAACTCACACTGGGGGAAGTTCAGAAAGTACCAGATGCTTCCAATGGTGTACAAGCATTAGCAATACATAGTTTAATCTCTTCCAAATCATTTTTCTAAAGATTGAATGAAACAAAACTTTTTTAGTACAGTGGCTCAAATAATGCACAGGCCTCTCAGCTAAATATAATACCATATATTATTTCCCTTTGGAAGACTTTCATAGTTATTCAATCTACCTAACACCAATTTTGAGGTGTAAATATATTAGGTTTTGATTACTTGTTTGGTGAAATAGGTCCATCTCTCACAGCTTTGGTTCCATTTATACCCATTCTTGGCCGATTCGTAGAGACAAATAATTAGGAATGTCTGTTTTATCTTACTAATGCTAACAATTTCATTATCTAACTGTGGAACATGTCCTTTGAGTGTGCTCCTCCTGGGCCAGACACTACATGTAGAGGGTGCCTGTGTGTGTGTGTCCCTGTGACAACTGAGACCCAATGCCTATTCTTGGTGGGGGTGTATATTGCCATGCACAGGGGGATCAAAACCAAGAGAAATAAGAATGTAACAAAATGGTCAACAAATCATTCTGAAATGACTACAACCATGTACATAAAGTGGCTTCTGGAGGGATGAGATGGCTTTAGTTTAGGTGAGCTTAATCAAAGAGGGCTTCAGAGAGGGAGTGCTCTTTTGCACTACTTTGAGGCAATACTGGCAATGATCGGAATGGCACTGCAGGTATGAGGAAGAGCGAAAGTGAAACTTCGCTTGCAGAAACAGTGACTAATGTGTAAAGCCAGAAATAAAACCTACCTGCTTAGCACACAAAAGTCAGTTAATAAATATTTACTGGGAGGCCACGATTTGTCTCTGCTAGATGCAATGTATTTAGTTAATTATGATGCAGTATAAATTTAAGATTGGCTCCTGCAGGGAGATAAGATTAGCAGGCAGTAAGCAATGAGATGACATCAGAAGGCAGTATTTGAGAAGGTGTCTATATGGTGTGGTTTACATTTGTTCTGTTCGTAATGCAGCTAGAGGTAATATCCTTGTTTCATTTTTCTTTTAGTAAATGGGAAAGTTCCTTCTCATCCTATCCCAGCCCAATTCTCCCTCCCACCCCACTGTCATTTTTGGTTACATGGTTCTGAATCTAGACCTTATGCATTTTCTCTATTATTCTTGAAATACTGAATTGAAAACAGGATCTTTTAAAATAACTTCAAATTGGTGCAAGCTGACTTTCAGTACTTTCAGTTTTGTAAAAATATATGCTTTAATCTAACAAATATTAAAGGACTCCAAAAAAATAAAATTATATAGGCGAGTTACACTTACCTCTAGGAAAGTAACTCATAAATTATATTTAAGATTCCTTTTGGTTTTATTTTTACCTGATTTTACATCCTGTGAGATGACTAACACCAAATATTACATAATTTACCAAACTCAGTCTGGAAAAAGAGATAACCAGACACTGAAAAGACACTCTTGTTTGTTTTACTAAATGCTTCTCTTAAAAATGCGAGGAGGTATTAGAAAAGAAAAATGTCTTCAAAACTTAATCTACATTTGTATCTATTTCTGAATGGCTACCAGCCAGTCTTTAAGTCTTGGTTTCATTTTTTGTTCCAAGCTTTCGAATGATACTTGACTAGACAGAATGCGACCCCTCTAGATGTTTCATACAGAACATAGGGTAAGGATGGAGGAAAGACTCTAATGGTCACAGTATTAGTCAGTTTTGTTCTTTTTTTTTTTTTTTTTTTTTTGTTAAGGCAGTCAAATTTAGCACAGGGGGATTATATGCCAACTTTAGTGACACTAATGTTAATAAGTTCTGGTAACCCACTACCATCAGACCAACGTAGTTAGTTTTTGAAGAATCCTAAAGCCATGCTGTATGGTGGGGAAAAATTAATTTAGCTTATGACAAAGCATTATCCTTCAAGCCTCTGAATAATCAGCCTCTTGCTTTACAAACACTTCTTGTGTCTGACAGCTCTGCCATGCCTTTAGCAATAGCTATCATTTACTGACCACAGTCATTCATTCATTCAGTATTCATTTTAGCACTTAGTGGGCACCTGCTCTGTGCCAGGTACCATCCTAGGTGCTGGGGATACAGCAGTGAACAAACCAAACAAAACCCTCTTTAGGCACCACACTGGATGATTCTATTTCACTGAGACCTCACAATGTATCTGCATGTAGGTATTATTATCTCCATTTTAGAGATGAGGGAACTAAGGCTTATATGTTAAGGCCCAGGTCCCAGAGCTAGTCAACAGCAAGGCTGGGACTGAAACCTCTCAAACTAACTCCGAAGCTGGTCCTCATTCCACTAGTCTGGTGCCATTGTTTTGGTTCAATACAAATTAAGGGAATATGTAGCTTAAAAATTATTTAGAGGGTTCATTCCAGTTGCAACATCTTAGTATTCACAAAAATTAGAATCGTAGATGTAAAGCTGGCTTGGCAAAAATGCCAAAGGGGGAAGGAAAATTATCAATGGGAGGAACAACATTTTCTCAGTGCGTTAAATTTTGCTCCCCACTTCCCAGTGAGGACAAACCACCATGGAATACCCTTTCCTGGGCCACATTCTTTCTTATCCATTCCTTAACTTACTATCTCCTTATGTTCCTTTCCCTTTATTCCTGTTACATTTGGTGTCATTAAAGGGCAGGTGAAGCTGTCCTGGGAGGTAGTGAGACTCCTGTCACAGAATCTGTTCAAGCAGAAGCTGGCTGGCCATTGAATGAGGATAATGGAGAGGGAATTCACTTACAGTTCGGGAAGATGGGGGACCTCTGCCTTATAACTCCAGAATTCCAAAGGGAGAAACAATGTTGTTTTTGCAGTCTTTTCCCGAGTTTCCCATGAGGCAACTAGAGTGGTCTCATTCTGTCTTAGTCATGTGTTGTCTGAAAGCTTGAAGCAAAAATTGAAGCCAAGTCAAGTCCAGCTGATACCTACAAGGCACACTCTCAGAAGTCAATTATTTCCTTTGGGTTTTTATGCCTGGGAGTCTGAGATGGTGATGGAAAGAGCCTTTCTTCCTGCAGGCAGGGCCAGAAATGCCTCAAATCTACGGCTTTGTTAGAAAACACGGTATGACTTACCGTTCAAAGCAAAATCTAAAGAAGCTGTTCGATGACACAAATATCTTCTAACAGATTTTGCATGTTTGGGTTGGTTTGTAACTCAACCCAACCTTCATGAGAAGCATCTCCTGGTCCTAATGTACCCACAATCTGCAAGTTGGTGAAGCTTCAACACTGAACTCAACATCCAGTAACTGTTTACTCTTCTGGAGTCCTGGGACTCTATGTATAAGGGAATTTATCCATTCCCAAATTAATTTGTAGATAAGACATTTTGTCTTGGCAGATCTTGAGAACTTTATTCTTGAGAGTGCACTTATTCCTCATTTGACATAGTCTGGAGTCTTCTCACCCTGAGATACATACTCCTGAGCTGTAAGTTAATCCCGCAGTCAATATCCTCATTAAATAGCCATCCAGACCTTGCTCAAACATATTCTACAATGGGGATCCATGCATCCTAAAAGAGCTTTTTCTGTACAAGTCTACTTGTGACTAAACCCTTAGCTAAGACGGAGGCAACTGCCTTCCATGAATGTGCTAGCTCTGCCTTCAGACACTCCTTAAACCTGGTCACTCTTCCAAAATTCTCAGATTCATCTTACGTATGCTTTCCTCTATCCTAGTACAGACTTGTTCATAGAATCAAAGGATGTCAGAGTTGGAAAGAACTTTATATAATACATTCCTAAATTAATTTGTGGATAAGACATTTTGTCTTGTCAGAACTTGAGAACTTTATTCTTCCCACCCTGAGATACATATATACATGTATATACTCAGTGGTTTTATTCATTTTTAAATGCAGCCTAAGATTGCATTTTCTTGATAATCACATCACGGTATACACTGATCATAATGAGCCGACAATCAATTAAAACCCCCAAGATTTCCTCATATGACCTGAGTCCCATTTCCCCAATCTTTACTTTGGCAGTTGATTTTTCTTTTTGAACCTTAAGTGCATGTGTTTACATTTGGCTCAAATTAATTTTGTCGTACTAATCTGGCTGATTTCTCAAGCCTATTAAGGTTCTTTCGGGTAGCAAATCTGTAACTTTCCACTTTAGCTGTCCATTTCACTTTGGTCATTCACAAATTGAAGGATATCATTTATGTCACTTATGCCATTAAGTACACAGTCTGGGCTTGAATCTCAGCTCTGCCACTTAGGAACTGTGTGACCTTGAGGAAATTAAACTCTCTGTGTTGCAGTTTACTCATTCATAAAGTGGAGATAAAAGGTTATCAATATCAACTACACAGAATTGTGAAGATTAAATAAACTAATATATATAGAATAATAGAACAGTTTTTGACACATAAGAGTTCAATAAATGTCAGTTATTTCTATTGTTTCATCAAAATCATCACCATTCATGTCACTGATAAAGAGAGATCTGGAATAGAACAGAGTCTATACTGGTTACCCTCCGCAATTACACTGACCCATTCTTTGGCACTCTCTGGGTTTGTTATGCAAACCTAGTTGTGAATCCATTGAAACTATTCTGTTATTCAGTTCTTATTTCTCCATTAAATCCATAATGAAACCCCGAGATATTGTGAAAACTGCGTTGATGAAATTCATATACACCATATCTATTACATTCTCTTCACTTTGCATTCCATTTATTCTATTGAACAGGAAAATCACTTAGTCCTGCTTGACTTCTTGGAGCCTAATGATTATCACTTGCTTTTCTGAGTGTTTTCTGTTTTCAGAATAAATTCCAGAATTTTGCTGAGCTTTTATGTTTTCTCTTTTTGTCAATCACCAAGCTTCTGGGGGCTTTCTCCATTCTTTGCCATTCTCACAGATGACTGACTGCAGCAACAGTCACAGGTGAGCAAGGCATGTGATGCAATCCCGGCCAGGTGGCCCCAGTCCATGACGAGGCACTAAGGGCCTAGCACTACACTGCTGGGGACCTCAGTTCCTTCTTACTCACATTTTGTTTTACCCTTACAGGTGAGAAATCAGTATCCTTGATTAAAAGGCAAGAATAAGAAGGGAGCAATAGTACTTTGTTTTTCTCTCATCAGAGATCTTGTCTCTTTCTTATTTTTTTTCTTTACGAAACTAAAACAAATCTGTATAATAAAAAAGATAAAAATAATATCGCAGTCTTGACAGAAATAACTACATCATTATTAAAAAATGCACAAAACTCGACATCACTAGGATTCCAGTCTTCCATATCTGGATTATTCTGTCACCATTATTTTCTGTAGGATTGTTTCTTACCAGCTTTTTATGTCTTTGGTTGTTTTTAGGATTTTTTTATATATTATACTTAATTTATACTTATTATCCAGTACTTAATACTTATTAAGTATTATTATACTTACTATCCAGCTCACCCTGGATTCCAGGCTTCCTGACACTTTTCTGATGGGATTCTGTCTCTCTCTTTGATATTTGTTCTTGGTTATTGGCCTCTCCCTGCATTCTTTTTAAATGGTCTTTTATGGCCCCTGCCTCACGGTGGCTCATGCCCGTAATCCCAGCACTTTGGGAGGCCAAGGTGGGCGGATCACTTAAGGTCAGGAGTTCAAGACCAGCTTGGCCAACATGATGAAACCCTGTTTCTACTAAAAATACAAAAATTTGTCGGGCATGGTGGTGCAAACCTGTAATCCTAGCTATCCAGGAGGCTGAGGCAGGAGAATTGCCTGAATCTGGGAGGCAGAGGCTGCAGTGGGCTGAGATCGCACCACTGCACTCCAGCCTGGGTGACAAAGCGAGTCTCTGTCTCAAAAAATAAATAAATAAATAAAATAAATGAATGTTCTTTTATGAGTTAATTTGAACATGCCCTTTGCAGCCATAACTCTCTTCTTTTTTTTTTTTTTTAGAACTATCAAATCTCTAATTCTAATCATTCAAACAGTTATGGACTGTTAGACTTGGAGTACATGTGTATGTGTAAGACAGAATGTGTACATTATCTTTGGTAATTTGGAAACATAATCATGATTATATTATCAAGATTTCATTGTTGATTCTTTCATTTTATACATATACACATATATTTTATATATGTATATGTAAAACTTACTGGGTATCAGCTATGTGCCAAGACTGTTTGAGGAGCTTTAGGAGTACCTAGAAAGAGCCCTAATTTGAATGTAGAGATGGGCTTCTCATCTCTTCAGTCATCTTCTCTTTCAGAGTCTCCGGCTATAGAACTATATCTTCTTCTTCTCTGAAATATTTGGGATTTCCCCCTGAAGTCTGTAATACATGTCTGCTATATCCACCATCTGCTCCTTAGTTAGCACAAAAGCTTAAACATTGTGGTCACAATCCCCCAAGTGCTGGCCCACAGCAGACACTCAACATGTATTTATCAAATAAATTGATAAAGATTCCTTCTACTTCTATTTTACCAACCAATCTTTTCTTGGTTAAAATTAGGTCCAAAATAGCAGTTTCCTTCATTTACTTTACTTCTCTAGAGAGAAAATGGCAGTGAGGCAAATTAGTATCTGAGACCCCATTTTCATTTAAACATGAATAAGACTTCAAGCAGATGCCGAAAGAGCTTAAGTCTCTCATCACTCTTACTACCTCTGTGTCATTTTTGTACATTATAGCAGAACTAAATTATACCAATGCCCAATATGACTGAATGGTCTAAGTTCATTGAGTCAACTAAACTATGTATTGTCCACCACATGTGAGGAACTCTCCTGGACACTGAATTTTTTTCTTCTTCCTTTTAACTTCACCAAGTATGCATCTTCTTTTGGGTTTTTGGATTCTCACACCTCTGCCTCCCTGAGAAGTTCGGGATTCCTGCTCCACGGAAACAACCCACTGAACTATTACAGTGAAAAAGCTCATTTCCCTTCTGTTTCTGCTCTGTTACAAATCCTGCCATTCATCAACTTCTTTTCTTAGGGCAGATTAGTTAAAACCAGGTTTCTCAACCTTTTTATAATGAAAACTTTCTTACTTTCTTATAACGCTGTTTTGAATACCAAATTAAGTATAGTAATTTAAAAATCAGAACCATGAGACAAAATACTACATTGTTTATAAACTACAACTCTTATCACTTACCAGTTAGGAACCATTTATCTGAATCTGAAAATAAGTAACATTTTTAAAGAATGCAGCTAAATTTACAATGTGATTCAGTTGATCATCAACATGATCAATAACTTTTAGGATCTGAACTTTCATTCACACATTCATTTACTCCATATGTAGCATAAAAATTGGAATTCACTTTCAATACTGGGATATGTAAATATGGGCATTCCTTTCTTAACTTTTTCAATCTACTTTTTAGAAAGTAATTTAGGTAATCTATGATCAAATGCAAACGCTGCACGCAAACAAACCACATAATTTATTTTCCATATGAAATAAAGACATACTCTTATTTTCTTGAAAAGTATAGATTTTCATCTAGGCTTCTGTACCAAGATTTTGAGTCATCAGATCATTTTCACTGACTACGATTTGAGTACAGAATAACTTGTGTTCACAGAAACAACAAATCCATTTGTCTTTGCTGTTTCCTGGTGTGTTGCTAGAAGACTGTGTTCTGTCCACACGAGGTCATGGCCCTGACCTGGAAGTGGGCTTTGCTGAGTAAGCAGGTCAGAGATCATCATGATTGCAAAATAAGCAAGAAGGCATGAAAGTAATGAAGAAAGAGAGAGTGGGGGAAAAAAACCCAACTTAATGTTAATTAGCCTATAAGCTAAGCTAAACACAGTTTTTGCCCAAAGATAAAAGAAATTCTGTACAGGGCAAGAAAATGTTTAACGAAATACAGACTAAAATTTATTTGTAGTGAGTTTACTTAGAATACTGATGTTTTATCCTCTCAGGTATATCTTTTCAATAATATTACGACTTTGCAGTAAGGTTAAGAAGTAATTTCTGAAAAGTGTTTAGTCTATTTTTGAGTCTTCGATTAGTGACAGTCACCAGCAAATGTTGAGCAAATTTTGGAAAAATTAATTGCACCTATAGAAACTCTTAGTAAATTACTACTTTGGTTTATTACATACTATATATTAATAAAGCATCTAAATGTGTTTAATTTACTAGCAAGAAGTACCTGAGATATGGTAAGATTTTGATTTCTATGGTAATAAGCTTTAGGAATGTAGAAGGCAACATCTTGAAAATCTGTAAGCCTCCAATACAATCTTGCAGTGTGACATGGATTCCTCCATTAGTTAGGAGTTAGCTAAGCAGACATCACATGTGAGCTATTGCAATTATTTACAATTAATACTGCACATTTTTGCTGGGATGTTAGTTTGCATTTTCCTTTTATTTTCATATCAAATATTTCACACAGTCATGGTATTATGCCTATTACCAACTCAAGTCCATGAATAATCATCAATATTTGCAGACTTTTTTCTTATTTGATACTGCTGTTTTTATACGATAGTTTATTTAATTATATTCACTTGAAATTCTTAGTATAACAAAAGATTTCATTAACTCTCCCTAGGTAAAAAACAGATGGATACAAGAATAAGAAAGCAAACATAAGCAGAATTTGTTATTTTCTCAGGCTCAAAAGCCTCCTTTTGAGTGTGCCAGTCAGTCCAAATGAAGAGGATATTCTATGATAAGTAAACCCTTGGGATCAAGGACAGAAATATCAGCACAAAACAGGTATGAATCTGTTGACTGTTAATGTATGTAAGTGGATGGGGTGAAATAATTAATCCATGTTCAAGTAGTCTAGGCAATCCACCTAACTTGTACTTTGCAAGATATGATTGTTGATTTATGGTGCTGGGACAGCTAATGAGTTGCATTAGAATCCCAATATGTTCATGTTTGAAAAGAACTCCTTAGCATCTCAACAAAATTTCTCTTTTTATAAATGAGGAAACTGAGGCTGTATGGACAGAAGGAACTTGATGAAAGTCACACTAGTAGAAAGTGGCAGGGTCAGGACTTAAACACAGGTCTACCATTCTTACTCATTCAAGAAAATTTTATTGAGCATCTCCTATGTATATAGGCTTGTGCTGAGTCCTAGCTAAAAGAACAGTACATGAAATACAATCCCTGGCCTCGAGGAACTTTGATTTTAGTGAGGGTGACCAGACAAGTGAGCAGAAAACAATACAATACAAGCCATTCTAGGGGAAGCACAAAGTTTTATTAGACCACTTTGAGTTGGGGGTGAGATGAGGGCAAACAACAAAAATTAGGAGGGTCAAGGAAAGCTTCCAGGTGGATGTCAGGTTTAAGCTGGGCCCTGAAGTAGCTAGGTGAATGGGGACACAGTGAAGAAGAAAGAAAAAGGAAGAACATGATCCTTAGAAAAAAATAAATACCCTAAGAATAAGGCCATAATGTTTCTGGCTAATCCATTATCCATATTAAAACTTTGTTAGCCTGAGTATATCACGGTAGAGTCTGATCATCTCTGAGTTCACAGACAGAGTCCCATGTATAGACTTTGAAGACTGAAAACCAGGCTTTGAAACATGGCCTCAACTGAGAAGTCCTGTGTAGGCAACCAGCCAGCAGCAGCCCCACAGTGGTCATATTGCTGTCCCAGCCAAGCCGGTACAGCTGTCATCCTCCTTGAGCCCCATGATCTTTGGCTGTAAACAGGCATAATGCCATCTATTTATCTATTTCATAGTGATGTTGTGATGATGCTCCCCTTCCTCAGCAGAAAATGGAAGTAATAATATGTATTTCGCAGTGATTTTGTGAGCATTAAAAGATAACATAAGTAAACCCACAAAATATTAGCACTTGGGTAGTAGGAATACAATTCTGTTGGTTTCTTGTCCTGTGATAATGCAAAAGCTGTTCCCTGGGAATCTGACTGACCCAGCAAAGACAGAGGAAAACCTGTGGCTTTCACTTTATTCACTTACACCAGGATCTACCCAACTGACTTAACTGACCTGAAGGACATCAATGAATGTCAGATTGCGAAGATTCTCCTCTTTAGAGAGACTTTCTTAATCAATAAAACAAAACAAAACAAAACAAAGCAAAAATAAGAAAACAATACACGGAGTTTATTCTTCCAGCCCAGTCATCCCTGAACTGGAATGCCTCACTCTAGAATGCCCAACCCACCTGGGACTGCCCTGCACTCACCGGGATGACTGGCAACTGGTCCTTCTCTGCTCCCTGCTAGGAACTTCCCTCCCCTACCTCTCTACAGACCCCAACAAGCCTTCAGACATTCCTGCAGTCCAGGCAGAAAGGAGAAAGAAAATACAGGGAGAATTGCTTTGGGGAAGGACCTATGAGTGGGTGGTATCTGGATGGCACTAGAATAAATTTCCCAAAACTTGGCAACAAGTGAAATAAAAACATCTTCTGAGAGTTGATATATAAAATCAATAAAT
This sequence comes from Homo sapiens, assembly GCF_000001405.40. Lineage (NCBI taxonomy): Eukaryota > Metazoa > Chordata > Mammalia > Primates > Hominidae > Homo > Homo sapiens. The sequence continues at coordinate 200,364,570 of NC_000002.12, read as the reverse complement.
GATGAACCCTAGGAGAGACTTCAAAGTCCCCTTAAAGTGACTGGGCCACTATAAGACTTGACAGTTGCCACTGACATTAAGAAAGAAGTCCATCGGCAACCTAAACACGGGAACAGGGCACTCAGTGGGAAATCTTGCCCGTCTGAACGCTGGCAAGGCGGAGATACATCACTATGTTCCCTATGCTAAGTACTTCTCACAAATCATTTTATTTAGCAATTACAACAAACCGGTGACACAGCTCATTCTATTCTTCTTACCGAACAGGAGAGGAAACACTGTGTTTCCTAGTGCTGCTGTAACACATTAGCACACATTTAGTGGCTTAAAATAATAAAAATTCATTACCTTACAGTTTTGTAAGTCAGAAGTCTGACAAGGATCCTTTTTGGAAGCTCTAGAGAAGGATCTGTTTCCTTGCCCTTTCTAGATTCTAGAGGCCACCCACCTTCTTTAGCTTATGTCTCCTTCCCCCATCTTCAAAGCCTGCAGCGTCCCATCTCTCTGACCATTATTCCACAGTAACATCTCCCTCTGACTCTGAGCTCAGCCATAATATCTGTTTTTTTTCACTCTCCAAGAATCAATTTTCATACCCTTGGGGGCAATGTTGCCCCTGTTGAGAATTCATGACCTATTCAAACAGGAATACTAACACTGAAGTGAGTGCCTGTTGTTGATCTTCCACCACAACCTCCCAGTTTTCCTTCCTCTGGTATGTGCCAGCCATGCAGGTGGAGACTGATCCAAGGCTTTAAGCTTTGACCACAGAAATTAATGCAGAAAAGGTACACACTAAAGCACTCAGCCAATGAAATGAGACTTTTCATTATTATGTCATCTCTACAACAGACAGTAGAAATGCTAACATTTGTATATCAAACAAATGACCAGCTATGAAACATATTTTCAATGTCATTTTTAATATCTTCTGTACACTTACATTAATCCAATTCTTGGGAAGAGCTATGTATTTATTTCTTGTTCCTAGTTAAAATAATGAATGTCCTTGATCTAATTCTGCCATGGTTTTTATTACTTTTCTCAATAACAAAAGCCAGAAACAAAATCTGATTTTGCTTCTAGCTGTTTAAAGAGATAAAAATCAGTGTGACTGTCAAAATCCAGGTTGGTCTTGTCAGGTTGAGAGGAAAACCAGGGCTACAGCTGAAGAAGACGAATATGGACACTAACATGAAAAAGTGCTTGGCTAGTCAAGTAAACAAATAAGACACACAAGTCCCCGATAGAGTATGTATAGCACTGCACTATAATAAGCAAACTGTCTTTTTATGATTTTTTTCCTAGCGAGGATATTGCTGAAGTAATGCAGATTTTATAACGAGGTGGTAGTAGTAGTATAATTAAAAAAAAAACTTTAAATTTTCATTCATTAGCATTTTAAAAGTTTAATTTTTATCATTATAGGCATCAAACATACATTACTGCCCCTTTCAGAGACGTGTAGCAATAACTGAGACTAATAGAAGGATCTGGATCGAGGGGCAATGGCAGTACGGCTTCCGTGGCCTAAAATCACAGTGATCATGCATGCGATCTTGGTTTTATACTGAACCTATCTGGCCTGAAAATTGTACCTAGAAAATTTATTTTAATTCAATTGTACAGTAGCAAAATATATTCCTGGGGGTTAGGCTTCAAATTATTTTCCAGCAGGAGGATAGGTGTATCTCATCATTGAAATGGAGGCCTGAGAGCCACAAAGCTGCAACACCAACCTTCTACTGCAGAGCGAGATTTTCTCCTTCTTTATATCCTTAGATATTTTTTTACTTTGCTTACTAGTCCCCTAGCTGAACTCCGGGTCAAAACATGCTGCTAGGCTGGCGCTACAAAGCCACAGGCAAAGCAAACTGTTGTCCCCAAAATCCATTACTTCCTTCTACCTGGGTGCACAATCGCCCATCTAAAGGTCATAATTTCCATCCTCCCTTGCAATTAAGTATCTTCACATAGGTAAGTCCTGGCCAATGGAATGTGAATGGAAGTAATATGCAAAACTTCTGAGTTGTACCTTTAAAAGGAAAGGGTGTGCTTCCCACTTTCTTTTGTCCCCTTCTTGCCAGCTGAAGTGTGACAAGAATTTGAAATGGAAGCCACAATGTAAGGATGACAGGACAACCTGCCAGAAGACTGTGCAGCTCCCTCATCAGCCTGTATGCCTAGACTGTGACATGAGGGAGAAACAGACTTTTGTGTTTCTAAGCCAGTGTTGTCTTTATCTCAGCAGCCAAATTGGTAACAAAACTAATATTTAATCCAGAAATTTCCTGCACTCTAGCATTCACAACTCTTTTTTTTCAAGACAAGGTCTGTCTCTGTTGTCCAGGCTACAGTGCAGTGGCTCCATCACAGCTCACTTGCAGCCTCAACTTCCCAGGATCAAGCAATCCTCTTGCCTCCATCTCCTGAGTAGCTGGGATTACAGGCATGTGCCACCATGCCTAGCTATTTTTTTATTTTTTTATTTTTTGTAGAAACAGGGTCTGGTTGTGTTGCCCAGGCTGGTCTTGAACTCCCGGGCTCGAAGATCTTCCTGCCTTGGCCTCCCGAAGTGCTGGGATTACAGGCATGAGCCACCACATCTGGCCCTGCATTCACACCTTTGGGTTAAGAAGGTTTCAATATCCTAAAAGACTTATGTATAAATGTCCTAATACCCTGAACAAATCATAATGGACAGGTAAAAAACTGATTTTGAATTAACATTATAGTTTTTCTTTTAAGCTGAATACTGGGGATAAATACATAGAAGCACACAGAAACCAGTAAATAATCCTTTTATTTTGTTCCCACAACTAAAGTGGTATGTGAAAAACTGAAGAGGATGTAGAAAAGTGCATGCATACAAACAGGTGCATGATGGCAAAGGACTGGCTTATTCAGTTGTAAATCTAGCGGTCAACTTAATATCCCTGTTTCAGACAAAGGATGGCAATGAACTGAGCCTTCTACAATGGAAAGAAGACCATTTTAAACTGCAGCAAGAAAGCCTTAACGATTTGGAGAAATGTATTCTCTTAGCGTGCAGTTAATCATTTTAGTTACTGAGGGAGGTTTTGAAATCTCTTTCCCTGCAGATATTTTTTTAATTGGATAGATTTTAATTTTCTAGAATGTCATATTAGAATTCTGCCCTACGAGGGCAAGAAGGAGGGAGTGAGGATGGAGATTATCTCAACAAGGTCCCTCATCCAGGGACCAGGGCTTCCAATCTTTCCTTCTCCCCCCAGTCAATTTCCCTTCTTTCTCCTTTTTCTTCTCTCTCTTTCTCTCATGACATTAAGTTGGTTTGTGCTTACATGAGAAGCAATAAACTTTGTTTCTCTTTGCTTTATTTCTCATGACCACATGCTTTCACCTATGTCCATTCTATAATGTGCCACAGATTGCAAAATTTAATGGTAGGAACAGTGTGTATGTGTATGTAGGTGTGTGTATCTGTGTAGGGATGTGTGTGTGTGGGGGGGTGGGGTGGGGAATAGTGGGGTGGAGCTAGAAAGGGAGTTTCACAATGGATCCAGAAGCAATTCACAGACACACATACACAGTCACACACACACACACACACACACACACACAGCCCTGTTCTGCTCTGTTCTGTTCTATCCTACCATTGGGAAACCAGATGATGAACTCTGGTGGGGGCGGGGGGTCGTACAATGGCATCAAGCCTCAGGCCTCAGTACAGATCCATCTTCAAGCACACAATTCTACTCATCCCCTCAATGGGTCATGTGCCATGCTAGTCTTTTTGGTAAAAAAAGAAAGAGTGCTCCTTTTCAGGTAGATACATTTGAAACAACACAAGAGCTTATTACGAGGTGATGAAAGCCAAAATAACAGTAGCTTATTTATTTAGAGGAAATCCCATATTGTGAGGACACTGCTGACCACCTGCCACCTGCTTCCCCTCCCCCAAGGAGGAGCGGCTTATCTCCTAGGTTCATTTGAAAGAATAAACAGGGTAACCCCCCTTCCTCTCCCCACTCCGATAGGATCCTTCTGCCTGCCGGCAAAGAGGGTAACTTTCCACCTGCTCTTGGCCATGCAATAAGCTTTGGGTGCAGGCCCTGCCCCTGGTTGGGGAGGACAGAGGTAGAGAAGGGGATGTAATGTCCCACTCTGCCTGTAACTGGGTCTCCTTACTGCAGGGGCGAAGTATTGGCAAACCATGCTGGCCCTGATCTAAAGACACATTTTCCAGTGAGCTTTTATCAGAAAGAAAGCTGACATTTTACTCTCCTCTTGCCTGACTGCCCTCTCTCTCAACATTACCTGGCACACTGTAGGAAACTAGTAAACAATTTTTGAAGAAGAGAATAAATGGACTTGGGTGGACCAGTTAGCTGACCTTCTAAAACCCCAGTGAAATTGTTCTGAACTTGAGGCTCTATGTATTTTTTATCACTCACCCCATAGTTGTAGTGCTTGCACATGGACCATATATGTTATTTATTTATAAAGGTTAAACATGTGCTTCTGTATTAATATATCACATACTTTATAGAAATATTCTAAAATAGAAATTTGAAAAGATATGGAAAAAGATGTTAATATAAGCTCCAATATATTCTTACACCCCCAAAGGATTATTTTGAGCACTCCACTTTGGAGCCCACTGGTCTAGAATTTCAGTACTGTAGAAGTTCAGAAGAGAAGGACTTAGAAGTCTGGAGTAGTCCAGACAGACTCAGCTGGACTGGAAGGGCCCTGGTTCACAGCCGTGCACTCCTTGCCACATGCTGTAAGATGACTTTCCATTTGCAGAAGATGCTCAGTGTATATGTGTTGAAATGAACTGGAAGGAGGTGAGGACTGAGCTAACAGTTGCTGAATGGCCAGGATTTACAGAGCTAGAAGGAAAATGGGAGGTGCATGCCAAATAAGACTTCTCTGGGAATACTTTATTCCAAGAACAGGCTTATCACACAAATGGGATAGAAGTTGGCTTTCATCACACTGACTTGAGCGCCAATATATTGCAGAGTAACAGGAAATAATGTTAGTCATTGGAAGACAGAGAAGAGTCAAAGTGGCAGGTTACCTTGAACAATGAAATAAAGGTAGAGAAATCTGGATTTGATTTGCTGTAGAATGAAATATGGAACCATTCAACATTTTAAAGATACAAACATCATCATGATATCTATGTTTTGTGAAGATTATTCTGAGGTTAGGGTGCAAGCTGGATGGAAAAAAAACTGGATTTGGTTAGAGCAGCTCAGAAGAGTCTGTAGTGAGACTATCAGAGTTTGATTAGAGTGATAAAGGTGGTAATAATGAAGAAAGTATGAAACTGAACATCAATTAGAAAGAATATGATCAAGCCTCAGTAAAATATGGAGGAAGAAAGAGAAGAAACCAAATACTCCTAGAAATGATTCCACCATTTAAAAACTAAACAACCCTAATTGATTTCTTGAAGTTTTTTATCCTGATTTGCTAGAGTAAGTAACAACAGTGTGAGTTGATATTTCCTTACTCCTATTTAAAAGCTTGGGGCTCAGCCTCTAACCTCAAAGAAAATTTGTGTGTGTGTGTATTTTTTTTTTTAAGAGTCAGGGTCTCACTCTGTCATGTTGTCCAGGCTGGAGTGCAGTGGTATAATCATGGCTCACTGCAACTTTGAACTCCTGGGCTCAAGGGATCCTCCCCTTCAGCCTCTCGAGTAGCTAGGACCACAGGTGTGCACTGCCACGCCTGGCTAATTTTAAATTTTGTTTTTAGATAGAGATGGGATCTCACTATGTTGCCTGGTCTCAAACTCCTGGCCTCAAGTGATCCTCCTGCCTTGACCTCCCAAAGTGCTGGGATTACAGGTATGGCCCACTGCATCCAGCTAAAAAACTCTTAAACATGGAAGATGGACCAAATTTTCAAGAGCCCAAGATATTACTACATTTGCTTGAAGATGCAATTTAGAAATGGCACTCTGCCTTAAAAAAAAAAAAGGAAATATCACCTTTGTGTGTATGTAGTGAATAACTCCTGATTTTCTGCATGTGAGTGAGCAGAGCAATCTGGTCAACCACAAGATGAAGACCAATATTAAATTCACGTACCTTTGCAGCCAGGTTTTTCCTGTATGTGAACTCCACTGTATTTCTAGCCATAGAATTTAGCTCTAAGATAATTTAGCCAAATGAATACTAAAAGACATGGAATAGCGGTGTAGGTCATGAAAATGCTGGAAGAAAAAGAAGTCCAAGCATTTTCATCAACTAGTGCTAATTCTGTGAACAGGTTATATGATGTGCCTGCATTTGTACAGTTCATCTTTTGAAACCTGTGTGCTAGATCCCTCAATGGCTTATTCTGAAAATGGTCTCCTAAGATGGTAAGAAATGACCAAAAATTACATAAAGCTCACTTTCCAAATAGAGTTATGCAGAAAATAATCTGCCATCTGGCTTTCTGGCTAACTTCACTTCTTTCCTTTTAGGCAGATATTATTTTATCCAGACCACACAGTTTGTTCGTCTAGTTGGTTCACGAAAATTTCAGAACATGACTCTGTAACAGGAATGTTTGGCAAGTGACAGAACAGTAGCTGCTTAACATCAGGCCAGTTTCCTTGTCTCAGTGGTTAAGCAAGTCTCTCCCAGGCTATGTGTGCTTGGGTGCCTTCAGTTATAAATTCAAACTGATGATTTGATGACATCTTTGATATCTCTCAAAGATCACGTCTCCAATGCACTTTGAGACATGTATTGCTCGCGTACATATACTGATGCTCAAAAATTAACTACGAAGACTTTAAAACCCAGTGCTACTTCATGAGAAACATTATGATAGTCTACTTGAATGCAGATTGATCTAAACCAAGTCAATGTACTTGTCATTTCATGTGAAATGGGAGTAAAGTTTCCCTATTCTTGTTACATAAAAAACAACCTGTGCTTTAAAATTTAGCCAAGTTGTGCTGGAGTATGGAAAAAGTAATTTGGTCTGGGTTGGCTTTTCAAAACCATAATCTAAGAAAAGAGGCATCTGATTTTTAAAAAATCAGATAAGTTGTATAGTTACTTTTCCCCCTCTCTACATTTTTCAAAAGGCAGAAATCAATGGTCTTTGTAACCACCTACCTGTCTCCAAAGAAAGTGACAGGCTGAGCTGAAAGTTAGAGCCTCCAAACTTCTGCCAATGTAAGGGAGGAAGGCTTTTAATGACACTATGGGCTTGGCATTATTTCTCAGTGGCCTCACTTAGCCAGCAATGCTAAGGGCTCCAGCAGAGCCTAAAGCATAATTCTACAGACACTGACAATGAAAGGACTTTCAGGAATGTAGTAACCGATCCTACAGAAGCAGTTTAGAAGGGAAAACACATGTCCAAAAAAATCTGGCCCCAAACAGAGGTGGAATGAACAGAATTCAACATCTGTGAAGAATGTTGGATGATGACATTATAGTTCTCAAGAAAATATTCAGTAACAACTTCACACAATTTTAATAAACACAGTTTATCTAGATCCTTGAAAGTAACAATTCCATTGCTATGGTTTGAATGTATCCCTTAAAGTTCATGTGTTGGAAACTTAATCCCCAATGCAGCAGTGCTGGGGGGAGTGATTAGGTCATGATGGCTCTGCCCTCATAAATGATTAATGTCCTTATTGCAGGAGTGGGTTAGTTATCTGGAGAGTGGCTTTGTTGTAAAAGCAAGGTGAGCCCCCTCTTGCTCTCTTGCCAGCCATGAGATGAAGGCAGCACAAAGGCCCTCCCTTCACCAGACACCAATGCCATACTTCCTAGCCTCCAGAACCATGAGCCAAATAAACTTCTGTTCACAAACTACACAATCTAGAGTATTCTGTTATACAAAATAGGCTGACATCCATGATCCCTAAAGCGTTATTAGTCATTTACCAAGCCATCCTCAGATTTTTATTTCCTATTGAATCTAGTTGATAAGTTATATTGCTCATTTGCATAATTCCATTTCCTCCACTATGTCTTTGATCCAGAGCATGACATCATGTAGTCAGAGAATGGAAAATGTTTCTATATTTTGGGAGAAAAAAAAGCAATGTTTGTGATAACCCATTTTTTTCCCTCCTTCTAAGCTAAACACTTATAATTCTTAACACATGTTTTTTTCTTGGAACCATTTTTTTACTTCTGGCTTTATGTAAAATGTGAGAATTTTCTGTCTCAGAAAATGGCACTAGTTCATCTCTTATGATGTCCCCATTGTATGTTCATTGCCAGTGAGACAAATCTGTTTAGTGCCATCATTATTATTACTATAAACAGACCTGTATAATGTGCTTTTATGCATGTTTATCATTTTCAGTTTCAGAACTGTGTTATTTAGGCCTTGATCAGAAAGGTTTTCATATGAATAATGAGCCTGACTTTCTGGTCTGAAATTCCAATACACTTTATAGATAGATACACATAATACCCATTTACCGTGGACTGACTTGTAATTCAAATAAGAAATTCAAAACCACAGGTGTAAATGTACTATTAGTGTTGGGCTTTGACTTGTAAACAGGAATATAATTCATGAATTCCGTTAATTATTTAGTCAACCATTACATAGATATTTCTCAGTCAAGTTGTAAAATCTTAACATTCAGGTTTTAAGTGTGTTTTACAGGTACACACGATAATCTTAATCTCTAAAGACTTGGAAATAAGGAAACAACCTTCTTTATTTCCTTATGAAATAAGACTCAGTCATCTAATTTTCACCTTCCAGGTGTAAGGATCTTATAAAATAGCATAATACTGAAGTCAGAGACAGTCTGAAATTGTCTGAATTATATTCTGTCTTCTAATTACCTGCAAATGTGTTTGCTTCACTGTTTAAAAAGACATAGATGTATGTGTCTGCATAAACATATTTGTATACACAGTGGAATACGGAATGGAAGGAGAACTCAATTCAGAACTTCTAGTCCTGCTTTCCGCAACTCAAATGTATCAAGTTCTCTGACTCCCAGTCTCACCATCTGTAAAGCAGCTGTGAAGAACAATCGTGTGTGGAAACCTTTTGTAAAGAGTGAAACAGAAATCACTAAATGCATATGAGATTTGTGTGTTTGTGTGTGTGGTTGCTATAGCTTGACCCAATTCACAGCAACATGACAATGAATGGGGCTTGTCCTCCTTATCTGTCTCACAGACATCCAGATTTTTAAAAAGGATACTTGTAAATCCAAATGAATCAAAGTAAATGAAGGTAGAAAGAATCACACCACATTAGAGAAAATACTGAGGAGCCCACCAGGTCCAGCCCAGAGGCTATGTCTGGGGTGAGACCCCCTAACTGTGTCTTTTGCACAGCTTCTCCTTCCATTCCAGAAACCACGATTTTTCCAGAAGGGCCAAGTTTTTCCACAGGCGGTCTCCACAGCAGTGCCACAGTGGCTCTGGCATTGAGGGGGACAGACAGCAGGCGGGTGAAGGGCAAAGAGGGGAAACAAAAGAGATGTCTGAAAAGGGAGAGATAGAGGAAGGGCGGCCTTTTATGTCTACGGGAAACCTGTTTGTCAAGTTCTTGTAAGTCAGGGATTGTACGTATATCCAACCATACTTTACTACAATTAAAAAAAAAAGTCATTCACGGTTGACATTTCCTAAATGTCATGTATAGCTACGAAACACAACCCTGGCAAGATGTCAAAGGTACTGCCTTTGTTGTTAAAATCTGGTTTGTTCAGGCACAGCAAATAACTAACAAACTCATGGCCATTTTCTCTTAAATCGAAAAATATTTTCTGATGTATCCCAAAAAGCGCTTTTAAAATACATCTACAGACAGTTAAAAGCTATTTGTATTTTCTACAAACTATCCCTCCAAATGGGAAGAAAGGAGAGGAATAAGAATCCTTGGCAACAGCTAGCCTCTCGCAATGGTGAGGGCTTGAAAGGCACGAGAATGAAGTGGGTAAGTGGGAAGAAAAGGCTGAACTCCATTCTCTTTTTTTTTGAGACGGAGTCTTGCTCTGTCGCCCAGGCTGAAGTGCAATGGCACAATCTCAGCTCACTGCAACCTCCACCTCCTGGGTTCAAGCGATTCTCCTGCCTCAGCCTCCTGAGTAGCTGGGATTACAGGTGCCAGCCAGCATGCTCAGCTAATTTTTGTATTTTTAGTAGAGACGGGATTTCACCATGTTACCAGATTGGTCTCAAACTCTCGGCCTCAAGCAGTCCTCCCACCTCGGTCTTCCAAAGTGCTGGGATTACAGGTGTGAGCCATCGCGCCCGACCTGAACTTGATTCTTTACTAGGGCTGGCTACACTGTCCAAGACCTATGGCTCCACTTCTAGGATCACAGGGTAAAGTTAAAGTCATCTCATTGTATGAGAGCGAGGAACATCAACACCCCTTTCTATTCAGAGCAGAGAGCCTTCACTAAATTCCATGGTCTTGGCTATGCATCTTTCCCTCTTTGGGATAAATGACAGGGTCTGAGCTAATGATTCACATTGTTAAAATTACAGACCGAGGCAAATAATTATTCATGGTTAGTTAAGCTTAAGTTTGCTCCAACATGCCTTCCTGAAGTGATTCCTCTCAAAAACAAACTTACTTGGGAAATGTTTAACTTCATTAAGCCCTCACTGACATCAAGAAGGTATATTTCCAATGGACACCACCATGCAAAATATGGATTGGACAACTTAACTGAAGGCCCACTTTGCTATTTATGGAATGTTCTCTTCTCACTATAAAGAGAGGACCAGAGTTCTGCCAAGAAAATGTAAAAGCTGTAGTTTCCTACAATAGTGGTGCATATTTCTGTTTTAGACCACGGCACAGTACTTGTAGAAGTCATTGCTTCAGTAAGAGTTGATTATGTGTTCATTTCTCAAGGACAATGGGTCTGAGTGGCAAATACCTTCAGAATTTTTTTTTTTTAGGGATAAGCTAAACTAAGTCAGATTTCTTTGTGAAATAGGGGATGTGGCAAAACAAAGGGTGGTTAGATTCAAAGTTTGAAAATTTTGGGTATCATAGCTATTGGAGGTAGGGAATGGTAAAGGGTTGGAAGAGGGTGGAAATATCCAGGGACCACATCCATTTGCTCTTCTTGTTTTCTGCTTCAGGGGTAGTGACTTCTTTTGAAAAATGAGAGGTTTATTTTCATAACAGGCAGTGAGGAATAGTTAGGCAGATGTGTGTGGGTTGGTTCTGGCCCTTGATTAGCAGACAGGAATGATACTGCCTTTAAGTTTCACCAAATATATCCGTCAAAACACATACAAGGGACCTCCACTTGGATTGCACAATCAAGATCCCAAATTTCAACGCAGCGATCAAGCTGTTTTAGGAAAGTTTAAATGGAGCCAAATTTCCATTTCCAGAACTGTTCTCAGATGTGGTTAACAGATTACATGGACTTTTTCATCTCCTCTTCTTTGCTCCTCTAGGTTGAAAAGTCTAAAATCAAGGTATTTTTGAAAATTTTTCTGTGTTTTGATCAAGGAAGTCCTTGATAGAGGCCAGATGTCATTCTGCTACCAGAGTATCCTTTCTCAGAACCACAGCAAGAATGTTCCCAAACCTTTTAAAGAAAGTACATGCCATGTACAACATGTAGATGCTGTTGTCAGAGTAGTTCAGACTTTGGGCAGCTAAAATTGGAATGTGGCTTTGAGAACACTAGAAAGTTCACTGTGTGGCTGTGCATGTGTGTCAATGTGGGTGTTCCCCTCCCCTGCTTTCTCATTTTTTTCCCTCATACATGCAGGTTTTTGTGCTGTTAATCCTCTTGGAATGTAGCTCTTATCAGCACCTAGAGGAATTCATTACCCCTTCACCTTCGCTGTTCACCAGCCCATGAGGCTAAGGAACAAGAAAGCAATTGTCTGCAGAGCTGAACCCTGAATTCAGGTGTGCTGGCACTGAGTTACTGTCTACCTGATTTTTCCTATAATCAAAAGGGAAGGGGAAAAATTAATAATGCTTCCCTCTCCAAGGGAGCAGGAGGAAAAGAGCCTTCAGGAACAGAGGCTAAGGCCCCCTGCCATTAAATCCAGCTATTCTAGAGCTAAGGGTTAAAAAAGGAAAAAAAAAGCAGCAGGTTAGCAGATTCACAAGAGATCCTAAGCTGTGTCTGCGTAACAGAGCAAATGATCAATACAGTGGAGGTGAAAACTAGTTAAGCCTGTTATTTGGGATAATGTTTAAAAGAGAGAGAGAAAATCGAGCTTGTTTACCATATATATATATATATATATATATATATATATATATATATATATATATATATATATATAAAAACTGCTGGTTATATAGCCTCAAAACCAAAATATTTTGTATTTTATATAGAGCTGCAAAAACTCATTTTATGGTCTTTAAGTATATGCCCTTTTCTATCACCCTTAAATTGTCAGTTTTGTTCACACAAGAAAAGAAACTCAGAATACAAATACAGCACTACCTTTTTTGGTTGTAAACCATGAGGCATTGCTACACTGTCAGGCATTTACAAAAAGCAAAAGGCAAGACACAAACACCCATCAGTCTCTGGCTCTTTCTTCAAGCACGTAAACTGAGATGTACACTGAAATGGGAAACTACCCAAGCCAGAAAGGTAGCCAAACAGACTGGAAAAGAGATATAGCAACATTCTTAGAATCCATTAAAAGGCAATAGAAAGCAACCATTAACTGAACAACACTCAAACAGATTGACAAGATAGAACTGAAATGGCACAGGGGGCTTCCACCCTCTTAAAGAGCCGTGTCAAGGAGCAGGGGATTTATAACCAAAACCCTCAGATATTTCTAGAAGCCAACAGGGAAACCTTATACCAAAGACTACATCATTGTTAGCTATGTTTTTACAAGGTTGATTTATAGTTGCATCAAAAAAAAATCTCAATCTATAACTCCTCGCTACTGAAGGGAGGAGTGAATAAAAAAATTTTTATGCCCCATCCTTCAGTTTAAGGCTATGTAAATCAGTCATCAATTCTGAATATTGTATTAGATGAATCCCTTTGTTAACAATTATGCGTGTCAGAACACCAGGAATAATTTAGTATTAACCAAAATACATCAGGTGTTGGAGAAAAGTTACTGACAAGGTAATATATTTATTTTTTTAATGGGACAGTTTAGTTCTCGGCAAAACAAAATATGTGCCATTCATTTAATTTTAATTTCTCAGGATTTTGAAAAGTATCTCAACTTCAAATGTTTTTACTGCAAATATATTACTATAGTCACAAAATCTTCTAGCATACATTAAGTTTATTCACTTAGCAAACATCATTCCTCTGTATTCCCGGTACTTACATGCTTGGAGAAAAGCTTGCTATTGTTGGTTAGTGCATCTAAAAACACAAACACTGAGATGTTTGGCACTCCCTCCCAGCAAGTGCTCAGCTACAGAAGAAATACACAAATGCACTTCTCCCTCAGAGTTCGCACTGCTTTCCACCCATTGATTTCATAGTGGTGCATTTCATTTTCAAAACACTTGCATAAACATGATTGTGAACCATGCTGTGAGGTTAACTTTTGGTGATAACACAAAACCTGAGAAGATTTGTTTTTCAGAAGGTTCTTGGCAGTGACTGAACATATGGTGTGATCTTTGTGGAGGGTAATTCCTCACTTGCTTCACCCATTCTCTGTATTGCTGAAGCCAAGAGCCTCAACATTCCAAAGGAAACAAAAAAAAATTAACCACACTCAGCCCTAGTCAGTCACTATCCACAGGATTTTAGGTCTACTTAAAATTTAAATTTAAGCCAGGCATGGTGGCTCATGCCTATAATCCCAGCACTTTGGGAGGCCGAAGTGGGCAGATCACTTGAGGTCAGGAGCCGATGACCAGCCTGGCCAACATGGTGAAACGCCATCTCTACTAAAAAAACAAACAAACAAAAAAACATAGCTGGGTGTGGTGGCACACACCTGTAGTCCCAGCTACTTGGGAGGCTGAGGCACGAATATCGCTTGAACCTAGGAGGCAGAGGCTGCAGTGAACGATCGTGCCACTGCACTCCAGCCTGGGTGACACAGTGAGACTCCATCTCAAAAAATAAAATGAAATCAAAATAAAATTTAAATTTAGAAATTTGCATTGAGAGAAAAATTTAAATAATATATTTTTTAAAATGGCTATTAACATGGGGTGGGGGTGGTTAACACTGTGCTGATCTGTTTTCTTCCAAAACCTGCTTGGATGGTGAGAAAGTAATTTTTAAAAGGTATAAGCCCAAAAGGACAACAAATGAGAAGATGAGACAAAAATGGCTGAGGCATGACACAACCATTCAGAAAGAAGGAAAGCAGACAAAAGAGTAGGAACTTGATTCAGCAGAGGCCACTGAGACTTAAGGGCCCACAGATAAGAATACAGAGAAGCCAGCCGTCTGGCCACCAAAGAACCCCTGGAAGGCTGAGAGGGGGAACAGACCCACCTCACTCACCGTAGCCACGCAACCATCCCTCTCAACCCTGTGGGACATATGTGGTTTCCTCTCTAGAAAACTGAACCCAAGAGGCTGAGACCCCAGGCATTATGGAGGGCAGGCTGAGGGTCCAGGTTGAAAACAAGGGCCTAGGAGGAAGTCTCTCTGGGCACTAACAGTGAGGCCTCCAGCTCTCTCCCATTCAATAGCCTGGGGCAGTGGCTACTCTTAGACCCCCAGGCAGGAGATGTGAATTTCATTCCTGGGTAATGGAGTGACCACAGTGGGAAGACATTTAGATGTTGACACTTTGGTGGGAGGACAAAGTAAAAGGTGGCTTCCAACAAACTGAATTTGCTGAAAGGAATGAATTCCTGCCCTTCAGTGCTTGGATGAGAATGGCAATTAACAGGAGACCAGAAGGAGAAGGTTAGAGGATAAACAGGGTATAGTCATTAATTCCCCTGACCTGGGCATTGAGAACCTTGGATTTCACTCTTGCCTGTGTCTTTGACTCTTTTTCTTTTCTGAGACGAAGTCTTGCTCTGTTGTCCAGGCTGGAGTGCAGTGGCGCCATCTCAGCTCACTACCACCTCTGCCTCCTGGGTTCAAGGGATTCTCATGCCTCAGACTTCCAAGTAGCTGAGATTACAGGCATGTGCCATCACATTCGGCTAATTTTTTTGTACTTTTAGTAGAGACGAGGTTTCACCATGTTGGTCAATCTTGTCTCAAATTCTTGACCTCAAACGATCCACCTGCCACAGCCTCCCAAAGTGCTGGGATTGCAGGTGTGAGCCACCATGCCCGGCCTACGTGTCTTTGACTCTTGATGTAGCCTGTGAGTCATTTCTCCTTTCTAGATCTCGGTTTCCTCATTTGTAAACTGGAGGCTTATGACCCTAGGGTCCTGCTATTCTGAGATGTTGGAACACTCTTTCCAGAAGGTCTAAAGTGACAGACGGAATGCTGGTGGTCTCTAACGTGATGCCAACTACAGGCCTGAGACTTTGCTGACTTCTCAGGGTCCTTCTGCTCTCTCAGCAAGTGGCTGCCATTCTTAGATGTGATGCAATAACACCATTCTTCTTTTTAAAAAAGGGCTGTTTTAAACAAATTTGCACCGAAAGTACAGGACAAGATCCTAAGATAGTAAAAGCACCTAGGATATGCCAATACTGACTCTCCATTTTTCTACACAAGAAAGTAAAAGCATAGTCAGAAAGGAATAGAGCCAACCCAAATTCAACTTCTTCACATGCAAATTTTTTTTTTTTTTTTCTTAATGAAACTCAGGGGAAAAGAGTGAAAAACTCAATAATATTTCTCTTTCTTTCAAGGGCCAGCTCTGAAACGGAGTAATAGTTAACATTTCCTAACACTTAGTACAGGCCAGAAGCACTGAGCTAGGAGCTTTCCAGGCCTTTTCTCATTAGATTCTCATGTGTGCCTATCCTACAAAGGAGGGAAGTGAGGCTCCTAGAGCTTAGTGATCTACTGGTATACATGGAGGTACTAGTGTCAGACCTAGGCCTCTCTGACTGTAGAGCTCACACTCCATCATTCCACTTCACTGCCTCACCTCCACCTAGCCCCACTGTCCTCAGCTCAGATAGCCAGTCCCTGGCCACTGCAGGAAGACTTCCCACAGTCTGCTCTCCAATGACGTGTCCCGTGGCTTTAAAGGAATTGACAAGATTGGCCCTTCTGCTGAAAAGTTAGAAGGCATTCTGGAAAATCAATACTGGCTTCTGCAAGAAGCAGCCTTGCCCAAAGCTAATTGAAGTCCATCTGAACATCTTCAGAACTGTGGCCATAATCATCTGTCTCGTTGTTTACCATGTCTCAACATGCATCTGCAGTAAATCACTTCAAAATCACTTTTACATGCTCTCTCATACCAAAGACAGGACAACGACATTTTCTGTCACTGCCCTATAACTTCCCCATCTAAACTCAGAACACTAGTATTATGGTTACATAATAGACAGCCTGCTGACATTACTATTTTAAAGCACCACTTTTTCAGGGTTTATCACAAGTCGTTTTAAATTTCATTTAGCTGTAACTTGTTATACAACTTTATGTTCAGAAACAATGTCCTCTGCTATATCAGCAAGCCATACTGGAAAATACAATTGCTGTGATTTGAAAAAATTTCTTGGCAAGCTTTTGATTCCACCCTTTTAGCAGGCCATATATGGGGTGATAATGGAAAGAGAAGTTATATGACTTATTATAAGATATTACTCAGGAAAATTAGAAGATATATATTTTGATAGCTAATCCAGATTAATGGTGCAGCCTTGAGCCTTCAACTTCGTTTACTATAAATGAATCTAGTGACTAAATTGTTGTTCACGTAACTTTGCAAACCAAGCAGTTTACCAGATTATCAGAGACTAATAACTCAGAGAAGAAACTGGCATACTTGGTGGGGTGGACATTTGTAGTATGATCATTCAGTATCCATCCACCCCCACTTCTCCTAGCCCTACTTTGCTTTAGGGGACCCAGTGAAGCTGCCTCCAACCTGAGCCCTGGGGTTGTTATATGACCAGGATGGATCCATCGGCACATTGTATTCTATGTGTCTCAGTTATGGGTTCAAGGCAGCTCAAAATGGGCAATGAGGGCAAGGACATGCAAACCGGGGGCTTTGTTTAAGCTATTAGGAAAATGGACTTTTTCTTGCTGGGCTTAAATGAAGAGGATGATGAGATTAAAGCTGACTTGACCATCCTGTGACCAGGTGGAGCTCAGAAAGGAGCCAGAAGATGCAGAGTCAAGACATGCGCAGGACAGTCAACTCCCACTGAAGAGGTTTCCTGGAACTCCCACCTAGTGATCTCTGTGTTGGCTACCCCTCACTGCAAAGGAGGCTAGGAAATGCAGTCTTTTGGCTGGGGACATTATCCCTTTGAATAAAATCAGAATGTGTTACTAAGGAAGAGGAAAAGAATGGGTACTGGGTAGGAAATTAGTGACCTCTTCTGTGGCCCACTTGGGTTGTGTTTTCCATGCTCGGCCTAGAAAACAGACAGCTATCTGACATATATAAAGGAAGAATGGCATATTTCAGAGTCTAAATTAGAGATAGAGTTAAAACACATGAGTCTTTGGTTTGTAAAATCTTTCATTAGGCAAGAACCTGTTATTTTGCAGTAGCTTCATTGAAAATTATTACTCAATTGAAAAATAATGTAACTACAATTAAAAATACAGGATCTGCAAGCATGTACAGCAGCCCAATTTTGCATATTCAACTTAGATACTGAAAAAGTGTTGTTAAAAATCCTAATTTCTTCTTATAGAGAAAAATCAAGCTACATATTTATGAGCCCACTGTCTCCAGGCAAGAATCCTTCAGTTTCAAATTATGTCTTGGACTTCTACAGGTTAGGGTAGAAATGATAACAAATGCAGGAATCTTTGAATTGACATTTAGTTCTCAGGGGATAGCTTTAAAAACTAGAGAATAATGGAAGTAGCTGCTTTTAAGAATTTTTTTCAGTAGTCACGAAGACACATCATACATTAGAGGATATAAAGAATGCCAAAATGAGATTCTCTCTGAAATTACTTAGTGTTTTATGAGAAAAGGAAGATAAACAAAAAAACAATAGTTTATTGGACCAAGAGAAATAAGTGGCAGGGGAGTCACTGAAATGGAGTGTTAACAGACACTCTGCCTTTGGTCTTGAGTTATGAAGGCAACAATAAATGACCTTTATAGATCATAGTCACACAACTTCAGAACTGAGAGGAAGGTTGAAAACAACCACATTCAACTATTTCACTTTCCTGAGGAGAAAAACTTGGACCTAAAAAAACTAGGTCATCTTTCTAATGTTCCCCAAGAAGTTCACAGCAGAGCCAGGATCAAAATATGGGTTTCCTAGCTCATGGAGCTATAATACTCTTTCCACTAACAACCACTCAGAAGTCATGGAATTAGGAAGTCAGTCTGCCAGATGTTACTGTAATTTACCTCTACATTTATTGTGAAGTCATTCTGAAATTATATTTTTAAAGGGAGGAGAAAGTGGTTGTAATACTATGACATCTGCCAAGGGTGATTAACAAGGAAAAATATACGGCATCTTGCCTCACTGAACTAAACCAGGTCCAGGGTTTGTAGACAGACAGAGGTCTCCTGGACACAAAAGGAAGAGGCTGAGAGGTTGTCAGGGGTTTAACAGCTGGTGGGAATTTTATTTTCTGATGGAAGTGACTTCTTTGTTACAGTTTGCTTCAACTGCTTCCCACCTACGGCTGAAGCTCCCCTGAAACACTGAGCAGCTCTCAGCTATGTAACCCTCACCATAAGCGCTCCAAAAAAGTTAAAAACTAGAGTAATCAACAATTGATACAAAAACTAGGTATTTTGAAGGTCTTTCTTCAAAGGAGCAAAAGATCAAGGATAATATTACAGAGTAGGTTAGCTTGAGTGTACTACAAATGATACAATGAGTCCTTAATAATACATGATCATCACTTGGGAGCTAGTAAATAGAAGAAATGCAGGGAATCCCCACTCAGCAGTTTCTCTGGGTAAACCTAGAAAGTGTAGACCTGGGATTTGGGAGTAGGAAGAAACCCCAGAGCTGGCCTAATAAATTGAGTTCCTTCATTTTGCAGGGCAGTCTAGGAAGAAAGCTAATAATCTCTGCTAAATCAAATGTACTATAGAGTAGTCAGTGTTTTCAAAATCACAGCACACATGTTCAGCTGAAATATGTTTACAAACAAATACAGCCAAAAAGCCTCATATAAAGTCTCTCAGTTATCCAGAGTCAGTCACTTTAATAAGGTTTGATCTAAATATTTTCCTTTTCTCAATTAAAATAACCTTTGTTGCTGGAATAACTGGCTAGCCATATGCAGAAGATCGAAACTGGACCACTTTCTTACACCATATATAAAAATCAACTCAAGATGGATTAGACTTAGATGTAAAACCCAAAACTATAAAAACTCCTGAAAGACAACCTAGGCAATCCTCTTATGGACCTAGGGATGGGCAAAGATTTCATGATGAAGTTGCCAAAAGCAATCACAACAAAAGCAAAAACTGACAAATAGGATCTAATTAAACTTAAGAGTTTCTGCACAGCAAAAGAAACCATCAATCAACAGAGCAAACAGACAATCTAAAGAATGGGAGAAAATATTTGCAAACTATGCAGCTGACAAAGGTCTAGTATCCAGCATCTCTATGGAACTTAAACAAATTTACAAGAACAAAACAGCCCCATCAAAAAGTGGGCGAAGGATATGAACAGACACTTCTCAAAAGGAGACATACATGCCCACAAAAAGCATATGAAAAAAAGCTCAATATCACTGGTTATTAAAGAAATGCAAATCAAAACCACAATGAGATACCATCTCACATCAGTCAGAATGGCTATTATTAAAAAGTCAAAAAATAACAGATCCTGGCAAAGTTGCAGAGAAAAAGAACATGTATACACTGTTGGTGGGAGTGTAAATTAGTTCAACCATTGTGGAAAGCAGTGTGACAATTCCTCAAAGAGCTAAAAACAGAACTACCATTTGACCCAGCATCCTATTACAGGATATATACTCAAAGGAGTATCAATCATTCTACCATAAAGACACATGCACACAAATGTTCACTGCGGCATTATTCACAATGGCAAAGACATGGAATCAACCTAAATGCCCATCAGTGATAGACTGGATAAAGAAAATGTGGTACATATACACCATGGAATACTATGCAGCCATAAAAAAAGAACAAAATCATGTCTTTTGTGTAAATGTGGATGGAGCTGGAGGCCATTATCCTTAGCAAACTAACATAGGAACAGAAAACAAAATGTTGTGTGTTCTCACTTATAAGTGGGAGCTAAATGATGAGAAGTCATGGACACATGAGAACAACAGACACTGGGGCCTACTTGAGTATGGAGGGTGGAAGGAGGGAGAGGATCAGAAAAAATAACTAATGAATACTAGGCTTAGTACCTGGAAGATGACATAATCTGTAAAACAAACCCCCATGACATGAGTTTACCTATATAACAAACCTGGACATGCACCCTCAAATCTATTTTTTTTTAATAAATTTTATTTAAAAATAAATTTTTTTTAAAAAAAATAACCTCTATGGATTATTTTCTGCTTATTATGAAAGCAGTATATGTTCAGAGTAGGAAAATTAAAAGACATAGATAAAATAGAAGAATGCCCCAAACCTTACCACTCAGAGAACAACTTTTAAAACTCTTAAATACATTTCCAGAATATTTTCTAAGAATATATACATATATTAAGCAAAATATGATCACATTGCATACTTGGCTTTTGTTAACATTTTATTACCTAACAATGTATCATAAACATCTTTTCATTATCAATACTTATCTACAACAGCATCTACTGTGGCTGAACAGTATTTTATTGTATGACTGTGACATCATATACAGAATATATTTAACTAATCTGTAATTGAAGCAATTTCCTGTTTACTATATTATAAACAATGATGTAATGAACATCTTTGTGGCTAAAACCTTTCCACATATCTTTAATTATTTCCTTAGCACAAATTCCTATAAATAAAACAGTAAATATATTTTAAAGGATTAAAAACAAACATAGTGACAAACTGCCCTCTAGAAAGGGCATCATATACTTCAATTTACTTGAGTTACTTGCCTATCAAGTGTTATGATCAGCTTAGTACTACATGAAGAGAAACTAAACAGGCACCCTTGGGTTGGTGAAGTATGATAGATGTGCTTGTATCCATAATTCTGATGAATGTTAACTACAGACACCTTAATCGATTAGGTGATTTTATATTATATACTCCGTATTTGTATACTTCCAGCCAAGACTGACATACGTTCCATTTTGGCTCTTTCTTTGGGACCTGATGCCTTTTCTCCCTCCCCTGTGTTAAGTACTCTTCTTATACACTTACCAACATTCTTAAAAACATTCTAAATGGGTCAGTCCCTGACAATATTATTGTAGTGCTCTGATTACATGCATCAGCTAGAAAATCTCCATCCAAGTTATTCTCCCAATTAGATGCCAGATCAGTTTGTAGTCTGAAATTTTAATGAAGTGACAAAAAAATTACATCTGAAGTTTAGGCAAAATCAACAAGTACCTTAAAGAGAGAAAGTAGAATGTATTGTCAGACCACACATTTTATTTGAAATTTTTTTATTTATTCATTTATATTCCACCTGATTCCAAAAAGGACTTACAGCAGCTTTTCCTTTTAGACATGTTTTCTAAATTGGACATTTCTGCCTCATTGAGACTGCCAATTTCTTTCCTAACATAAGGATATTCTTCTATCATAACCACATGCTATATTTGGAGACTGAATGGCAAGGATATTGTTCTTATCCAGAAAAGAGGAAAAATATAACTCATTATGATCACAAACTCCGCTTGGAAAAGCCCCCAAACAGGGTGACCCTGGGTATGCAGTACCAGTCCCAGAAGACACCAGGAAAAACTCAAATTTCTAGGGTGCATAAAATCTCCAAAGAATCACAAAAAGTGAGACCTTTGGCTCTCCACTTCCCCCATGGGACTGTAAGAGCTCAGCTCCCCAACAACCTGACTTGTGTGAACATAATGAGAAATGAAGGTACTAGACCCACAGACACAGAGTAGCTGCACAGCAGGGAAGGCAGGCCCAGCATCAGACGGAGGAGGAAGGCTTCACTCCCCTGTAAAGCAGCTGCAAGAGAACAACCAGTCTCCTGTTAAGCTTGTCTTTCTCAGCGTCCTCTTCCAGGTCCTCCTCCAATACCACCCAGCTGACTCTTCTGCAGCTCTGGTCTCCTGTCCCACATTCTGAAGCAGTCATTTTAGTCTGCAGCCTTTCTAAATCTTTATCTCTGGACTTGCTTTCTACCTCTCTTCCACTGGTCTATCCCTTGCCCAATATCTCTTGTGTTTCAGGGCCCTGTGCTGGCAATACAAGACATGGTCCCAGGTCCAGTATTACACAGTGAGTGATAGTTAGTGATAAGTCCATGGTATATGGTGAATAGACACTGGAAAGAAAACTTATTTTGCATGATTTAGAAAAAAGGGAGGGAGTGTCAAGTGCTACATTAAAGGGGGATTAGAGTAAAAGGAAAACAATGATATGATTACTTGGCATATTACAAATGTTATAGTTGGCCGGGCGCGGTGGCTCACGCCTGTAATCCCAGCACTTCGGGAGGCTGAGGTAGGCGGATCGTGGTCAGGAGATCAAGACCATCCTGGCTAACATGGTGAAACCCCATCTCTACTAAAAATACAAAAAAAATATCTGGGCGTGGTGGCAGGCACCTGTAGTCCCAGCTACTCGGGAGGCTGAGGCAGGAGAATTACTTGAACCCAGGAGGCGGAGGTTGCAGTGAGCTGAGATCCCACCACTGCACTCCAGCCTGGGCGACAGAGCAAAACTCTGTCTAAAAAAAAAAAAAAAAATTATAGTTAATTTTGCCTGTCCTCTAAATGCTTCTAAATGCCACCATTTTGGAAAGGATCCCTTTCATTGTGAAACCTGAGGTCTTCCTGTGGTTTCAAAACAGCCTTAAAAAAACACAGTTTTTCATCTGAACCAGCAGTATATCCAAGCAGCAAAGGACAAATTCACCAATAAGACTCATAACAGAAAATCCCATATCAACATTTCCCCCAGACTTCAACCTTATGCTTCAGCACATCACAATTAAGTGCATCCTCTCAAGTAATTATTTTATTTGATCCTCACAATTTAGTAAGGTAAGTGTTACTATTCCCATTTCGGAGATGAGGAAACTTAGGTTCTCAGAGGTTCTATGACACACTTGAGTTATTGAGTTTAGTTCAGTGGTTAAGAACATAGGTGCTGAAGTCACACTGCCTAGGTTCAAATCCAGGCCCTGCCCAGGGTTAATCGTGCGACCTTGAGGAAATCACTTAACTTTACTGTGCCTCCATGTGTACATCCATAAAACACAGATAAATGATAATACTACCCACCTCACAGGGCTGTTGTGAGAATTGGTTGGGATAATGCATTAAAGCAGTTTTAGAATTAAGAAGTCGGTCTGCCAGTGACACATACGTGCACATACAGAGTAAGCACTTAAGAAATATTAGCAAAGCTGAATTCCCAGAACTAAGTATTTTAGGGCCACAAGCGCTATCCTTATCTTTAACAGTTACATTGCTTCTGTGATTCATAATTTTATCAGCAGAGAAATTCGCTATTTCTCACAAAAGGAAAATACATGATAAAAGAAAACACTGAATTGGATAAAATGGCTCAAAAAGGAAGAGCAAGGGCAAAAGTTCAAGTGTGCCTTCTGAAAAGAACCCCATTTATTTTTGTTTCCAGAAAAATACTATACATGATTTAAGTATTTTCAGTCCTTTTTCAAGCACAATGAAAGGTCAAGCTAAATGGAAGTAATATTTGTGTAACCCATGGTGACTGTCAGGGAGTCTGTTTCCCATGGTCAGGTCCTCCATCCGGACAATGTGGCACTTCTCTGGAGGACCACTCTGAGCAGAAAGGGCTGTGCCTCTCCACAGCCCTCCCCACCTCCTGCTGCACCCCCTCCATGTGAGCGCTCTGAAAGAGCAGAGAACAAAGATGGCAGCTGGCAACACTAGAGTGCTGTGGAAAAGAGCAATTTCATCCAGGGAAGAAGGCAGTGGAAAATCGGCAGAGGAATATTATCAAGACACGCTGTCTTGTTTCTGGTTTCTTGTAGCATTGAGGGCAAACAAAAAAAAAGATGCTGAAGTGAAGAGAATGTGTTGTTGGGGGAACAGGAAGGAACAGACATACCCAGCAGGACACAGGATTTGCAGAAAAAACTGCTGGTGGCCAGAATAACTACAAAACACATACCAGCCATAAGAAGACATCAAAGCAGCAAGAGTAAAGAGTGCAGGGCAGATAAACTCTGCGAGCACAGCATACTTCAGAGGACCATAACAGAGGCCACCCAATACCAAGGATGAGCGATTGCTCAGCCCTTTTCTAGTGCATGGGAGAAACTGGGGAGATGGCCACAGTGGGGCTCTTAGATTGCAGATGTGACGTGGGTCGAGGTTTCTTTCTATAAATGAGACTTCCAGCTAAAGCATCATGTGAAGGATCACATGGAGGCACAAGTGTCACCTAAAGAGCTGAAAAGTCAATTGCAGTGTGAACGATTCCATCTAAGGAACTCAGGGCACCCCCGACACAAAGGTTGCATGTGAAAAAGGAAATCTCACTCTAAACAGGAACATTCAGCATTTAAACAAAAAATTATGGACTGTCATTCAACCCAGAAGTTCTTCATGCCACAAACGTTAAAAATAGCAGTAACATAATTACATTTGTATTGCACTTTAAACTTTGTAAAAAATTATAAACATGATCTTCTGGCCCACATGGATGTTTTTTTGCTTGCCCCAACAAGACATGTTCCTTGTATTATTTCTAAAAGTCCCTAAGAATTGACTTTATGTTATTGCAAGCATGTTTTTAAACCTATAAATACATGCATTGAATTTATCTATGGATACTATACATAAAAAGCAAATGGTGGGTTTTAGGTACTGAATCTATTCTAAAATATCTACTTATTTTCCAGAATGACTAATTAAATATAATTTATGTTAACTAAACCAGGTGTAAACATTTCAATACTCTGCATAGACTATTAAACACATCTCATTAAGAAGTTCCCATATTTTCAAACCCTCAGACATTCTAAGGGGGTACTATAGATGAATAATTATTTTCAAAAGGAATGTATTAAAGGATATCCCTTAAGGGTCTTTAAAAACAGGTCTTAAAAGCATAAACAGGAAGCATGCTATAGGGTTATAAAGAATCGTGGAATAAAAATGATTGTGGCCTACTTCCATAAAGAAGCATAAAAAAAAAGAAAAAAAAGCTAAAATTACTTCCAGCTTGCTGAGTTAAAATGAACTGTTATTTCATGAGGCAAGTGTCTTATTTACTCTTTGCCCTATATACAATAATAACATGTGTTGTTGCGAGTCAACAGTTCACATTAGCATTTTTTAATTTAGGAAAAAGGGGAAATTGTAAACTCTAAGGAACGGCTTTCTGACTGACATCGTTCGGCATGCCTGGAGGATGATGTGTACTTTGTACCCAAATCTTTATTAAGTTTTCTGTCCTTGAGATACAAAGATAACACTTCTGACCCACAGTCAGCAGGGCATTGGCTTTGAGGTTCTTTCTCTTTCTTTCTTTCAGCTTTGATGAGAAATTTGTGCTGATCCACCCTCTTTTGGTCATCTGGTTTCCTATGCGACTGACAGTGCACATTTGGGAGACAGCTGTCTGGCTTTGAGAGAGAAGTGCAGCTTGGAGAAGAAGGGAAGTGAAGTGGAGAGGTAACCCCTTGGCCTTGGCACTGGTGTTAACCAACTGATGTGTTAAAAACAAAATTCTATAAAGTAGGAACTGACATTCTTAGTATGGTAAGATGCAGCAAAACTATTTTCATTAAGAAAAGCTGTGATAAGATGAATCTTTTCACTGTACATGCTAACTATTGGAGTAAATTAAGCCTTTGGGGAGGTTGTATCAATTCCTTCTATACCACTGGGCTTTCAGGTTGTTCCAGGCTTTGGTTTCTCCAAGCCCTTAGTCTACATCACAACACTTGCCTTGTTCAGGTTTTTTGCAGCTCTCATCACTTGCTGAACTATTGGGTTTATTCACTTGATTACATGTTTCTTCATTGTCTGGCCCTCCCACTACAATATAAACTCCATATATTAGAAGATCTCAATCTACTAAAATTAGCTACTGATTCCTTGATCAGAGTTAATCTGGGGCTGGGCACGGTGGCTCACACCTGTAATCCTAATGCTTTGGGAGGCCGAGGTGGGTGGATTGCTTGAGCCCACGAGTTCAATACCAGCCTGGGCAACATGGTGAAATCCCATTTCTATAAAAAATACAAAAATTAGCCAGGAGTGGTGGCACACACCTGTATTCCCAGCTACTCTGGAGGCTGAGGTGGGAGGATCACGTGAGCCCAGGAGGCTGAGGCTGCAGTGAGTCATGATTGGACCACTGCACTCCAGCCTGAGCAACAGAGTGAGACCCCGTCTCAAAAAACAACAAAAAAGTTAATTTGTTTCAGAGTATATCTGGTTCAATAAATTAATCACCAATATATAGATCATAGAAGAAAATACCTGAATATATATGTTCATTCAACAAATACTAATTGAGTATGTCTTATGTATTAGGCAGTGGACACAGCACAGGAAATATTGGTGAACAAAGCAGAACCTAGACAGCTGGCAGTCTATTATGGGGCTAGCTGAATATCTTATGTAATGTCTTGCTAAATCTTTGAGCAGAACATAGAGAAAGAAAAAGAAGAGAGGCCATCAGCTTGTGCATCAAGGAGCAAGCAAGCTTTTAGAGGACAAAGCCACATCTCTCTCACGTTTTAAATTGCATCTCCCGAACTCTCCACTGCTCTAGGTAAGCCACACATGCCTTTCAACTAGCTGTCAGAGCCCTCTTCAAGTTCTCTTTTCAGAAAGTTTTGCAAACATCTTATAAACAATTTTGCTATCCCAGAAAATGCCCAGGTACCCCTTTGAAAGAAAAGGAAAATTCCTTTGAGATATTTTTTCTCAGTAACAAGGAATGCAATTAGGCCTATACTTGGCACTCTGTCAGTTCTCATAGCCAAGAAATCTCGGGGTTAGGAGAACAAAGCTACCAAGATGCTTTTGCTATTGACTATGGCTGGCCCAAAGTTCAAGGGTTAAAGCCTGAGAATGTTTTACCCCTTTAATTTCGCACATAACTAACTTCCAAATACCAAAGCTTAGATGACCCAGAATGTAAAATCCTTTCCATTACTTTATTAAAAAATTTTGTATGCTGTGATTTACTGCTAATGCTGGTCTTTCAAAGCATTAGTCAGGACACCTACAAACCTTCCTGCAGTGGCTGCCAATAGAAGTTTAACATTTCATAGGTTAGCACTTAAAATCTGACAAATAATAAATCATCCTTGTAAACAGTGTGAGGCACTGGGTTGATAATGTATTGAGAGTTAGTTAAAAAGATGAACTATAGATTACATTATAACTCAACACTGTGGAAAACCAAGGCCAAGTAAACTAATGATCGTTATTACCATATCTGTCTCTTCAGCGATCTGCTTTCTCTAAGAAAGACATTTTCTTTTAATAGAAAAAAAATTTCACTAAGTATGAACAATATGAAATTTGGTTGTTTCATATGTACATGTGCTTGAAAAACAAGGAATCAACACTCTTCACAGCTTTAAAATGAATGATCCAAAGGGGACAATATACTAACATTTAGAACTTGTCAGGGGCAATACTGAAAGAATCGTTTGAATTGTTTTGGGAGTTATTCATCAATTTTTCAGACATATGAACATTTAAATCATTTCCATCCTTGAAATATTATTAGTAATTACTCAAGTCCTGGTAGAACAAATGTTATGTATCGGATACACATTTGGTGTGAGGAACAGCAGTACACATCTGTTTTAGAAATGGCTGTGATACAATCAAATACACTTTAATAGGTTCACAAGAGAAAAAAAAATTAAGGTCTTTTAATGGTATGATGACCTGCCTGTGATATGCAGACTTTTCCACACATTTTAACTATGAGCAGTAAGTAGCCTTTGAAATACATGACAGTAGTATCCAAGTTATTTTCTACTCACATTTTGTATGTGTCTTTTTTTTTAAATTCATATACATGTATTATTGTATTAATATGTTATATACCTTATAAAACATGGAAAAAGGATGACAGAATGAATACAATGTTTTCTAATCATAATATCTCAAGGCAATACGAACAGGACGAAGTTCATGATTAAACAAGGTGAATATAAATCCCTTAGTTTTCCAGGTATCATAAAATTTTCATGGCCAGCTTCTTGCCAGATTTGATTCAGTGGTCCCTGTCATTAACTCATAACGTGGCTGACAAAAAGTTCATGCAAAGCTTTGCCATTCTTTTTTTGCTTGCAATATTAAAATTGTCTTCAACTTATGAGAATTCTTTCCAGAATCTTTTAAAAATTCTGCTAGTTTGTGAGGTTTTGTTAAAACTAAAATATAGAATTTGTAAATCCAGTTAACTAGGCACAATATATTTCACAATATAACAAAGACAGATGGAACAGTGGGGAAGCCACTAGGAAGCCCCTGAGCTGGGCACTCCCATTCTTTGCTCAGGAGACTTCGCCTATGCCCCAGGCAATACCTAACCACCCAGATATGTGGACTCAAGGATGGTGCCAATGTCAATACAGTTGCCATCAGTTACCATAATGTTTCATGATAACAAAATGAATGTAAATGCAAGTCCTAATCAATTTCTTTTCCTACCCAAATGAGTCTTCTCAAGTGCTCCCTGGGGTGCATATCCCACTTTGGAGACCACTTTGCCATGCAGTGACACAGTCGTTCACTTCTAAAAGCCAGTTATAATCACAGAAATCTCTAGAACTAAAATCAGGTGTGAACACAAGGTGTGAACTAAGCCAGGCCAAAGAGATAGTTACTTTATCTTTTTAACTTTTTAAATTATTACTATAACTCATTAACAGGAAAGTAAATTTAAAAATTCATTTATTTTGCCCACGTCACTACCAGCCCCGTCAAAGCACACAATATTGCCAGCACCCTTGGAAGCCCTCCAGGTCCTTTCTCTTTCCTGTCTTAGAGGCAAGCACTATCTTCTTTTTTTTTTCTTTCTTTTTTTTTTGAGACAGAATCTTTGCTCTGTCGCCCAGGCCAGAGTGTAGTGGCGCAATCTCGGCTCACTGCAAGCTCTGCCTCCCGGGTTCACACCATTCTCCCGCCTCAGGTAAGCACTGTCTTGGTATCCGATTCTTTCAGTAATAAGTTCCTTGCTTTTCTTTATTGTTTCAGCCACTTGAATATACACACCTTAGCAACAAAGTTTAGTTTTGTCTGTTTTTTAATAAGACTGCTATGCTCATGGGTAGGAAGAATCAATATCGTGAAAATGGCCATACTGCCCAAGGTAATTTATAGATTCAATGCCATCCCCATCAAGCTACCAATGACTTTCTTCACAGAATTGGAAAAAACTACTTTAAAGTTCACATGAAAACAAAAAAGAGCCTGCATCGCCAAGTCAATCCTAAGCCAAAAGAACAAAGCTGGAGGCATCACGCTATCTAACTTCAAACTATACTACAAGGCTACAGTAACCAAAACAGCATGGTACTGGTACCAAAACAGATATATAGATCAATGGAACAGAACAGAGCCCTCAGAAATAATGCCACATATCTACAACTATCTGATCGTTGACAAACCTGACAAAAACAAGAAATGGGGAAAGGATTCCCTATTTAATAAATGGTGCTGGGAAAACTGGCTAGCCATATGTAGAAAGCTGAAACTGGATCCCTTCCTTACACCTTATACAAAAATCAATTCAAGATGGATTAAAGACTTAAATGTTAGACCTAAAACCATAAAAACCCTAGAAGAAAACCTAGGCAATACCATTCAGGACATAGGCATGGGCAAGGACTTCATGTCTAAAACACCAAAAGCAATGGCAACAAAAGCCAAAATTGACAAATGGGATCTAATTAAACTAAAGAGCTTCTTCTGCACAGCAAAAGAAACTACCATCAGAGTGAACAGGCAACCTACAGAATGGGAGAAAATTTTCGCAACCTACTCATCTGACAAAGGGCTAATATCCAGAATCTACAAAGAACTCAAACAAATTTACAAGAAAAAAACAAACAACCCCATCAAAAAGTGGGTGAAGGATATGAACAGACACTTCTCAAAAGAAGACATTTATGTAGCCAAAATGCTCATCATCATGAAAAAATGCTCATCATCACTGGCCATCAGAGAAATGCAAATCAAAACCATAATGAGATACCATCTCACACCAGTTAGAATGGCGATCATTAAAAAGTCAGGAAACAACAGGTGCTGGAGAGGATGTGGAGAAATAGGAACACTTTTACACTGTTGGTGGGACTATAAACTAGTTCAACCATTGTGGAAGACAGTGTGGCGATTCCTCAGGGATCTAGAACCAGAAATACCACTTGACCCAGCCATCCCATCACTGGGTGTATACCCAAAGGATTATAAATCATGCTGCTATAAAGACACATGCACATGTATGTTTATTGCGGCACTATTCACAATAGCAAAGACTTGGAACCAACCCAAATGTCCAACAATGATAGACTGGATTAAGAAAATGTGGCACATATACACCATGGAATACTATGCAGCCATAAAAAATGATGAGTTCATGTCCTTTGTAGGGACATGGATGAAGCTGGAATCCATCATTCTCAGCAAACTATCGCAAGAACAAAAAACCAAACACTACATGTTCTCACTCATAGGTGGGAATTGAACAATGAGAACACTTGGACACAGGAAGGGGAACATCACACACTGGGGCCCATCATGGGGTGGGGGGAGCGGGGAGGGATAGCATTAGGAGATATACCTAATGTTAAATGACGAGTTAATGGGTGCAGCACACCAACATGGCACATGTATACATATGTAACAAACCTGCACGTTGTGCACATGTACCCTAAAACTTAAAGTAAAATAAAAAATAAAATAAAATAAAAAATAAAAAAAATTTTAAAAAACCCTTGTACCCCAAACTCCCAACTTGATCACTACATATTCTACACATGTAACAAACACTCATATGTAACCCATAAATATATAAAATATCATGTCTCAATAAAATAAAGACAATAATAAAAACCTAAAAAAAAAAAAAGACTGCTATGTAATCTTGTGTCTTTTCTTTCTCTCTCTCTCTTTTTTTTTGAGACAGGGTCTTGTCCTGTCACCCAGGCTGGAGTGCAGTAGTGTGATCTTGGCTCACTGCAGTCTTTCCTTCCTGGGCTCAACTGATCCTCCCACCTCAGCCTCCCAAACAGCTGGGACTACAGGCACACACCACCACACCCAGCTAAGGTGTTTTTTTTTTGTATTTGTAGAAAAGAGATTCACCATGTTGCCCAGGCTGGTCTTGAACTCCTGGGCTCAAACAACCCCCCAGCCTTGGCCTCCCAAAGGGCTGGTATTACAGGCATGAGCTAACAAACCCAGGCCATATCTGTCTTTCAACATCATGTCTGTGGGATATATCCATGTTATTGTGTACAGCTCTAGTTCATTTTTTTACTGCTGTATAGTATTCTAGCATATGATTACACCACAATTTATTAATCTATTCTCCTACTGATAGAGAATATTTTACACATCTCTGGATGCATATAATATATATTTCTCTAGAATACATAGATACATACATACACACACACACA
This sequence comes from Homo sapiens, assembly GCF_000001405.40. Lineage (NCBI taxonomy): Eukaryota > Metazoa > Chordata > Mammalia > Primates > Hominidae > Homo > Homo sapiens. Next base: position 200,332,782 of record NC_000002.12, on the reverse strand, counting down.
CACACACACAGGCAGCTAACTTAGTTTTTTTTTTTCAAAAAAAAAATATAATGAATTCCAGTAATTCATTCTTTGGGCAATGAATTAAGAAATCATAATTAACTAACTCTTATGAAGCTATGAAGAAAGTTCATTAAATTACTAGATTTATTCTCTCAGTAGACTTTCACTCCTACACATTCACTAAATCTAAGCCATGATAATAAATGCATTTTACTGTATTAAAAAATAGTTTGGGCCAGGCATGGTGGCTCACACCTGTAATCCCACCACTGTGGGAGACCAAGGTGGGAGGATCGCTTAAGCCCAGCAGTTTGAGACCAGCCTGGGTAACAAAGTGAGACCCCCTATCTCTATAAAAAATAAAAAAAATAGCCAGTTGTGGTGGCATGCACCTGTGGTCCCAGCTACACCAGAGGCTTAGGCAAGAGAACTGTGTTAGCCCAGGAGGTTGAACTTTTAGTGAGCTGTGTTGGCGCCACTGCACTCCAACCCAGGTGACAGAGTGAGACCCTGTCTCTCTAAAAAAAAAAAGCTTGAAGATTTCCAGTAAACTTACTAAAGCTGATTCTTCCAAATCTCTCTCTTTCCTCTCTGTCTCTCCCTCTCCCTCTCCCTCTCTCTCTCTCACACACACACATTTTACATATTGTAATAAAATTTTTCCTCTTAATGAGGGCTAATATTGTGCATACCAAGAGAACAAAATGTTCATTCAAATTTTAAAGCAATTTTGCACCAAAAGGGTTCCAAGTTCAATACTGATCAAGCCTGGAAAGCCAAAAAATGTTATTTCTGTAGCCAAACTAAGGAGTACAAGCACAAATAACAGAGATTGATTCCAAATTCAGAGTCTCCAGTGTTTTCATTACCATCATAAATGTTCTCCAAGTGGACCGTAGAAATGGGACATACTTAGATGACAATACTGTGGTACGAGCAAAATCTGCCTCTGGTCGACCACTGTCTTACCAATAACAACAAAATAACTAACATTTTTTATTGTGCCAGGACTTTCCACATATCAACCTACCTATACTTTCCATATATGGGCTTGTTTAATCATCATCAAAACAACCCAATGAGGTGAATACTCTCATTTGTCCCATTTTACAAGAAGAAATTGAGGCACAGAGAGGGGGACTAACTTGACCAAGGTCCCACTGCTGTTAAGTAGCTGAGGTGCGACTCAAAATCATTCCTCCTGGAGCCTCGGTCTATATTCCCTACACTACCTTGCAGAATGTTAGTTTTGTTGTTATTGTTGGCACTGTTATTGTTATTTTGATAACAACAAGAATAGTTCCTTGAGATCAGAGCAAAATGTGTGAATCCTAGGGGGAAAAACATCTATGTACATTTATTTTGATCCATGAGAAATTTGTGAAAATGACTGTAACCAAGCAACTCTCTAATTCTGGGAGAACAAATTAAGAAATGAATTAAGGGATTCAGTGGATACCCAAATTAGTCATTAGAACTTGAAGATCTGGAATTCTGGTCTAAATCCAGCTTTGGCACTTGCATCGAAAATAAACATAATCAGATAAGCATCACAGCTCACAATTAAAATGGATTTATATGGCTTATGTGTCCACATGGGACAGGCCTCTTCATAATTGAATTCGGACACCTCTTCAGTTATTGTGGGCTTCATTTACCATCTTCCTAGTCTTTCATAACTGCTGGCAATAGGATTATGCTGAGGGGGAAATCATTTTCAATCACTGATGTCTGCAGTACAAGCATAAAAAGATAAAAGTAAAGCCTTTGAGCTGTAATTAGAAAATTCCTAAAGTGTGCTCATGTGGCATATGGTTTAGACTACTACCAACTGGCAAGACCAGTTACAGAAGGGATGTCTAATGTCACCGTTCTGGGATAAGCAGCCAGTACAAGTAGCGTTCCAACACATGATTAGAGTAATCTTTTGCAGGGTAAAACATTCCTGCTTTCCACCTCTAATATGATTAGTGACAGGCAGCTGGAGGCATCTCATTCTCCTGACAAAAATATGATCAGAATTGTTTTCAATTGGTACATCTTTCCATCAAGCTGTTGCCTTCCAGCAGAATAATCAGAGTTTCTGATTATTTGGTATACGTTTCAAGAAAACAGGAATTGATTGTGCCCTTGCTTGTCTGATGGGTAGAAGGCTGCCAGGATCTACATAGTAACTCTTCAGCTGCCTAACCAAAGGAAAACTAAGCAGTGTGTGCGCCTGTGCATGCAGACATGTGTATGGAGACAGAAAGACAGAAAATCAACAGTTGTTTCTATATTAATTCTCTTTGAACAACTGAAAGTGCTTTCATTGTGATTCAAATATGAGGAAGTAAAATATTCGATTCTATTCATGGAAAACAACCAACTCCCACCAATATTTATGGCTCTTTTCAAAAAGTTACAATCATCTTACCACAAAAGTTTTACATTTATGGAAAAAGAATCAAGTTTATATTAAACATTAATGGAAATATCCAGGAGGCAATAAGACTTCATTAATTTGGACTACCTCAATTTGGAATTTATGATTATTTAACAGGGTCTGGACCAAGGATGATCTTTGGTTACTGTTTTATTGAATATCAATTTTGTGTAAGTTTGCCTTGCATACATGAGCTTGAAAACATCTTGACAATTCTGCAAGATGGGTATAATTACCCCATCTTAAAGAAGAGGAAACCAAGGCTCAGAAAAGTAAGTGACATGCGAAGACTGCACGATTATTAGGCAGCAGAGGCAGGATGCAGAGCCAGGCTGTCTGGCTCAGGAGTCTGTGTCCTACTCCCACTCAATGCTGACTGAGCACTGTCAATTCCAAGTCAGACTTCTGCAATCGTGGGAGCACATTCTTCAATAAGAAGGACAGTGAGAGCAAAAGTGGCTATCACTGTGAGGAGGGAAAGCCAGGCAGTCTGGCTCCAGAGCCCACCACTCTTAGCCATAATTCTTTTCTAAATCACAAGAATGTCTTTAAAAGCCCTATTTTTTTTTTTTTGGTACTTCAAAGTATTTCATATGCATGAAACTACTCTAAAGATCCACAGACGTGGCAAGGCAGGTGGGGAAGGGGGATGTGGGTGGGGTGGCACTGACTTACATCCACCAGACCCCACTGCCCTATCAGGAATAACTTCAGTCAACACACTCTAAAAGAGAACTCTGGTGTTGAGCCCTGAGAGGCAGCAGAGGCGGCCAAAGGCTGTGACAAGGCTCCCAGGAGGCAGCTGCAGGTGTAGGGACAGCTGGCCATGGCAGCAGGAGGAGGTCACAGAGAGGGAAGGACCATCTCTACTCACCTGGGAATCCACAGCAATGTTCCTGAAAGCAGCCTGGTTTCTGAAGAGCTCTAGGAAAAATGGAAATTTGGGAAGTCAGGCAGGTCTCAAATTAGTAGCCACACCACCCATTTCCCATCACACTCAAAACCCAAGCACAGGATCTGGAGTCAAGAAGACAGGGAATTCGTCCTCACCCATGACTTAACAGCTATGTGACTCCAGGTAGGTGGAGTAACCTCTCTGTGCCTCAGTTTATTCAACTGTAAGATGGGGATAATAACAGTACCTTCCTCACAAAGTTGTTGACTGGATGATATATAACATATGTAATGCATTTAGCACACTGCCTAACATATAATAGTGAAATACACCAACAACAGCTAACATTTATTGCCTGCTTAGGAAGTGTCTAGCATTGTTCTAGGGCTTCACATAGGCTAACTCTTCAATACTCTGAGGTAGGCCCTGGTATTACTGGCACTTTACAGGTGTTGGAAAATGAGGCACCAGAGAGGTCAAATCACCTGTCTCATGAAAATGTAGCTGGCAATCAAGTTCCAGAGCCTGGACTATTCACCAAAATATCTTGTCCAATTTAATGTTAGCTATTGTTCTTGTTATAATCCTCTCCTCTCCAAAAGATATCCTATAAAGTACACACAATCCCAAAGAACTCACCATTCAACCAGTAACCACTTAGGTGGAAAGATGGGTGCCAAGGTCGTAAGTCAACCAATCAATCACTCACTCGGTCACCCATCACTTCACATATTTCTTAATAATGCCTATGTCTCTAATGCTCTGCTGAGTACTGTGTGGGGATTCAAATGCTCCGCTAACTGGTCCTACGAGACTCAGAAGATTGACCTCCACAAAATGACTGGAGAACAACCGCGAGGGAGGCACTGGAAAGAAGGGGACGGGGCCTCAGGACACGAGATGCTGTTCCTGGCTCTGGCACCAACTCTCTGGGTGACCTTCTCCAAGCCAGCTGACCTCTCTGGGCTTAATCTTTAAATAAGAGGATTGACCTAAAGACTTTAAGCCCTGAGATTCTACTTTACAACTGTGACTTTCTTTTGGACTAACTTTTTCTCCCTACCAGTCCAGTTTTGAAAAAATATAACCCTTCATTTAGCCAACAAACATTGACTGAACACAATGTTAGGCACCATGAATAATGCCAAAGATATAACACAGGACACAGCCTACACTTTGTAATGACCTCCATAAGCATGGTGAATTCTCATCCTATGAAATCTTGGCAACCAGAAGACAAGGGAAGAATGCAGCCCTGAGGACAACTGTACACACTTGGTCTGTCCCAATCTGTACCAGTCTAACACCCAGGATCCACGTGCCCCAAGTGTCCAGCAGACTGGGAAGGGGTAGGGTGTCATGCTAAGCAGATGGGGAGGGTAAGAATGTCTGTGAAAAATAAGGCAGAAACAAGAAAACCAATGGGATGCTTGGGTGGAAGTTAGATTTGTTTTCTACAAGTTAGTAGTGTTGTATGCAACAAACCGAAGTGACAAGAACTCAGCTGGTACTTAATTGACTTTCTTTAATAAAGTATACCAATGGCTATTTTGACAGAAATCTTTTGTTTGCGTGTGTATGTGTGTGTGTGTGTGTGTGCCCGCACACGCCTGCTTCTACGGGAAACATTTACTTCTACATAAATGCAACTGACTTTATATAAAGATCAGTTCATCTCACCTAGATACATTTGCTTTCACAAAAACTCCTTGGAGGGTAATAATTTAGTGAGTGTAATACTTCCATTAAAAAGGAATTGATTTTAAAATATGCTTTTCACACTTTTGACAAAAACAATTTTCTAATTTTCTTTATGCCCCACAAAAGGCAAACATTGTTGTGTTGACAAAGCAATAAATAACATGAGTTGTCAAATGAGATATTAAACATTTATGGATTAAATTTTTAATAAAGACTTTTAGACATTCCCCAAAATATCCATCAATCTTTGACATGGAAAGAAGCAGCACTTTGGTAAATTCCATCTGCCACTACAATAGAAGTCAGCACAAGATATTTACAACTCAAGAGAGGGCAATGATAGCTTTTTTTTTTTGAGACGGAGTCTCGCTCTGTCACCCAGGCTGGAGTGCAGTGGCATGATCTTGGCTCACTGCAACCTCCGCCTCCCAGGTTCAAGTGATTCTCCTGCCTTGGCCTCTCAAGTAGCTGGGATTACAGGTGCATGCCACCACACTGGGCTAATTTTGGTATTTTTAATAGAGATGGGGTTTCACCATGTTGGCCAGGGTAGTCTCAAACTCCTGACCTCAAGAGATCTGCCCTCCTCGGCCTCCCAAAGTGGTGGGATTACAGGTGTAAGCCACCACGCCTGGCTCAATGATGGCATTTTTAATAGGATGGTTAAATATTTGCAGCATAGGATTTCAGAAGGTACAGGATGGCCAAACAGGGCCGGACATGGTGACTCACACCTGTAATCCTAGCATTTTGGGAGGCCGAGGCAGGTGGATCACCTGAGGTCAGGAGTTCATGACCAGCCTGGCCAACATGGCAAAACCCCAACTCTGCTAAAAAAAAAAAAAAAAAAAAAAAAATTAGCCGGGCATGGTGGCACACGCCTGTAATCCCAGCTACTTGGGAGGCTGAGGCAGGAGAATCGCTTGAACTGGGAAGGCAGAGGCTGCAGGTTGCAGTAAGCCGAGATTGTACCACTGCACTCTAGCCTGGGTGACAGAGCAAGACTCCGTCTCGAAAAAAAAAAGAATGCTCAAACATATCATGCATTATTCTGATAGGTTTTCAGGTAGCAGATATACTGTCTTTACTATGTTTCTACCAAAGTAACCTGTGCTTGGGAGTCTATAGAAAAGTTGGTTCCTAAACTGGCTCTGAAAGGGATTCCACAATTATTTTATGCAATGGCAACATTGTTGGAATACATGCATAAACCTCAAAGAGGACATCTTTCCTCAAAGAGGACAACTTTGAGGAAAAATGCTCATTTGGATAAATAGCTTTCTTAAGCCTAGAGAGAAAAACGATTGAAATTTCAGTAGTGATAATCCCTAGGGTGAAGGATTATTGGTAATTTTTCTTCTTTTTAATAATTTTCTCTGCTTTCTAAATTTTCTATAGTGAGTATGTACTACTTTAACAATCTGAATTTTTGTTTTCAATCTCAGAATATATTATGGAAAACAGCCTTAAAAAAGTGAAAAGGAGTTGGGCATGGTGGCAAGCCCTTGTAGCTCCAGCTACCTGGGAGGCTGAGGCAAGAAGATAGCTTTAGCCCAGAGTTCAAGGCTATTATGTGCTATGATTGCATCTGTGAAGAGCCCAAGACCCCATCTCTAAAAAAGTGAAAAGGCTCTGGAATCAGACAAACTTGGGTTCAAACCTCAGACTACACCCTTTCTACCTGGGTGCCCTTTGATAAGTTACTTAGCAGCTGAAGTCTCATGTTTATCTGGAAAATATAAACAATAGCATGTGCCTTGAGCATCATTTTGCCTGTGAGAGGTGAAATATTTTAAGTGCTTAGCACAGAGTAGGAGCCCAATAAATGGTTAAGTACTCACCTAGTCAAAGAACACAAGGAAGATAAGTGAGGCTTTTCTGATAACACATAGTAAATAAATGTGTTGGTGTTTATAAACTGATGCATCAGACTATTTGTTTATAGAAATACTGAGTTTGTAATAGGTGACTTCCAGAAATTGTCAAACAGTTAAAACTTCAGAGAAAGAGTAAGTAGAAATGGGCTTCTACTCCACTCTCCTTCCCATTACAATTATTTGATTATTAGATTCCTACAGTCTGGCCAGGGCGGTGGCTCACACCTGAAATCCCAGCACTTTGGGAGGCTAAGGCAGGCAGATCACTTGGGGCCAGGAATTCAAGACCAGCCTGGCCAACATGATGAAACCCCATCTCTACTAAAAATACAAAAATTAGCCAGGCGTGGTGGTGTGCACCTGTAGTCCCAACTACTCGGGAGGCTGAGGCAGCAGAATTACTTGAACCCGGGAGGCAGAGGTTGCAGTGAGCCAAGATGGCACCACTGCACTCCAGCCTAGGTAACAGAGTGAGACTCTGTCTAAAAAAATAAATAAATAAAAAGATTCCTACAGTCCAAGAATCTTGGATTCAGCTGTACCTGCCACTTTGCTCACATGTACCTGCTCAAAAATCCTTTGAATGGGACGGAATTTGGGAGAAGGATTAAAGCAGCTCTATTTGAGGATAGAGAAAGAAACCACAGCTATCACAATAAAAATATTTTCCATGTTGTCATTCCTTATGATTAAAGAAAGCAAAATAAATTATGGAATTGTTTAAATGAGGGGTAAGGTACAAGATTATAGATTCCCTGGCTTTTCTTTTTTTATGATAGCTATGTTGATGTTTTCATCCTTTTCCTCTGAAGGTAGTTCAATCAGGTTTATGATAAAATATATATTCTCAACAAAATATGGCTGTTGGGGAGTTGTTGCCCTTGGATATATGTTGCTGTACCTTGACTACAGCAAGAAATATTGATTTAACTGGCTTTAATATCAAGTCGGGTATTTGTTGACACATGGAAATGAAAAATATCAAAACCATGAAAAGCTTAATATATAGGTCAAATCCCATTTCAGCTCACTCCAAGGGACTCTCCAAAGTCTTCTGCTGTATTGAAATTGTGCTCTGCTGATACTTGCCTAAGTTGCTGGATAACAGAGATTTTCATTATAATGGAATTTGCCACACAAATGGATATTAGTATAGATTTTTATGAAGTAAAATTTATTGTATAGAAAGTACAACAGAAAAAAATTCACTGCATCTTCAGTTCTCCCTTCTCTCAACTCTGGAGACACATCTTGCTTCTTACCTAAGGCATGCACATTCTTTCCTTTCAAGACCTGATTTCCCTTTGTTCCTCTCACAGTGCCTGGTGCAGAGGAGACACTCAGGAAATAGCTGATGAGCTCAATGAAAGCTTTGGTACCAAAGCAAAGAAGGGAAATTCAGAATAGTTCCCTGTGTCGAAGGAGAAATAAAATTTAGAAATTGATTCCAAATGAGAATAGCAAGCAGGTTGACCCTCACCACCTGGCATGCTCAGAGAGTCCTGGGACCAGTGGGCCTTGGGTGGGCTCTCTACTGCAAAGCAGTCACAGAGGTTTGTCTAAAATGTCCAGCACTTAGCTCACACACTTACATCCCTCAGGAACTCCACAGAGACATTTCAATCATTAATTGCCTGAAACACCTTCAAGGTCCTACAGTATAGTCCAAGCAAGGGTGGTCAATGAGCAAATCCTGTTGTCTTAAGGGACTAAGATAAAGGGCGATCCACAGTGACTGTATGGGAGGCCATAAAAGCCAAGGAGGTCAGAACATAGCCGCCCAGGATAAGGGAGTCAGTGCAGCCCCAGGGTTGGGATTTACTCTCTTGCAGTCAGACCCAGAAGCAGTTTCTGAGCCCTTCACTACATCACCAGAACTGGGGGGAAGAACCAAGAGAGACCTCCAAAAACCTCTGCACGGATGCTACCCAGTGTCAAAGTTCCCAAATTCCCGTTCCCTTTCCTGTCCCCTCCAGCACTTGCATTACTTTAATAATAAAAGAGTTGCCTATAATTTTCTGTAATGCAATCTTCTGAAATCTTTTTTCTACCTTATAGTCTTTTTCTCTGAGCCTTTCTTATTGAAGAGTAAAATACACATCAAATACCAGTTTTGTTTCTATCTTAGAACAACATAATAGATCTAAATGCCTATTTCTATAAAGGTCTTTACTGTGATCAAAGGAACCACCTATTGAAGTCAAAAGGCCCCCTTCCCTCATTAGAGGAATATGCCCTGGGTGTGAGCATCCAAACTCTGAGAGACTCTAAGCTAGGCACCAGGGGTTTCCAGGGCAGTAAAAGGGCCTGTCCCATTATTACTGGATAAAGTCTAAGCAAAGAGTTAGAAGGGTCTGGTGAGGTTAGCCCCAGGAGTTATATATTTCTACATTTATCTTACAAATATTCCCATACTTCATTTGAAAATATTTTAAATGGTATATTGGCTCATGAGAATATTTAAAATATTCTCATTAAATATTTTAAATGGTATAATGGCTCAAGCCATTATTAATCACCTAGAAACAAATCATAAGCAAACTTTTGGGTGAACCAATGGTTTGCTCAATACATCTGACCCTCCAAATGATCTCTGACTATATAGTAGTCATTATCTCCATTTGAGAGCTGAGGACTCTCAGGGATAGGAAAGCTGTTTGCCCAGGGGTAGACAGCTACCACACAATGGAGCCATGCTGTAAATCCAACCTGCAGATCCCATAGCTAATTCTCTGTTCACAGTTCTAACTATTCACTAGTTGCATAGTAAGTTCAAATTTAACTTGCTAGTACCAACATGCCAAGTTGGTGGTCATGTTCTGTCGAGATTTGAAGCCTTTTTGGCCTTGGGTCCATAAGTGATACTGTTTCTCCCTTGCAAAAACTAAAATGACTGGAGGGAAACCAGAATAATCCTAAGACAAAAATGAGCAAGCTCAAAGGCTATAAAAATTCGAGATCTCAAAAACCAAAGATAGCTTTCTTGACTAGACAACAGTTGGTTATAAACTCTGCAACAAAGTACCTCTCAGATATGAAATATTACTCCTAGAGTTGGGTTTTTTCCCCCATTTTTACTAAGAATTGAAACCCACAAAATGACAAATCAGGATTACCCTATCAAAAGACAACTTCAATTGCTCCTTTGTTCTAAGAAACTGTGTGTTAGGTACTGACTGGCAATACCTGTACCTTGATCTTCACATTAATTATGCATTTTTCCTACAAAATTGGCTGCCACAGTACACACTGTAAGTCAGATTTGAGAGCTGCCAAGAGAAATGTTCCGAATGGCTGACTTTTTAAAGACAACTTGTCAGTTCACCAAATAATTCTTTGAGGGCTTATCCTAGTATACTTTGTCTCTCGTATACCTATACTTATACCTATAGCAATTATTACAGCTCTTTCCTGATGTATCAGCTTACAGCAAAGGCTAAAGAGGTATTTTTTTACATTCAACCCCTGATATACAAGTAATGAAACATACAATTCCTTTGACAGCATCAATTTACTTTGGCTGTTGTTATTGCTTAATTCCTAAACTGACTTATGTGAAATACCCTGATTCCTGGGGAGATAAGTGATTCTGGCTTAGTCCGTACAACTAAAACAAAGAAGAGTTTCATATTATCAACTCAATGAATATTTTCTTCCTTGAGGTTTCCTTTCATCAAATAATCATATCAATGCTTCATTTCCTTTAGTTAACACCTTATTTTAATGAGGCTTGATTCCAAAACATATAAGAATACACACACGCAAGAGGTACTATATTGAGTAAGTCAAGCATTCCAGCCAAGTATCCTATCTTTCATGTGGCACCAAGTGACATTTTGTAGAAGGCACAATGCTAACTATTCATTCTGCAAGCCTCAAAAAGATAGGCATGAACTACATGCCAGAATGGAAAAAGCATAAGCTTTGAAATCTGACGCTGGCTTCAAACACCATCTCTACCACCACTATCTCTCTGTGACCTTGAGCGAATGACTTATCTCCCCTCAGAGCTCTGTCATCTGAAAAATGGGCGTAACAGACTTACCTCAAAGGGGATGTGAAAGTTAAAGAGAATTTTATTGTAAAGAACATAGCATATAACCTGGAACATTAATAGACACTAAAGAACTGTAAGTTTTTTTCTGCCTCTCCATAAAATGCGATTAGTAATTCACTTTGAATTTGTTGTCTATTCACAAAACATAATGTAAACGATATCAGCTGTGGTGTTCTTTGTGATCACAATAAATTAAAAATTGTTTATCCATAGAATAACATTAAAGCACATTCATATACTGAAATTTATGCAGTCATTCTAAATATTTTTCAAATAATATTTTATGACAAGGAAATTTTTACCCTATAATTTAAGTGAAGAAAGCAGAAAAGAAAACCTGCATAATAAAAATAGTTCACATTTGCTGAGCATATGCTATGGTCCAAGAACCATGCTATGTACTTTATCTGCATTATCTTATTAATTTTTACAATAAACTTACTAGGTATATAGTATTATTATCCTCATTTTATAGAAGTAGAAATTAAGGTTTAGAGAGTTTAAGGAATTCATAGTCACTACGTAAGTTGTATAGCCAGAGCTGAAATCTCCAAGTGCCTGATTCCAAAGCTCTTTACCGACTATGTCATGCTGATTCTTCTGTACAAACGTCCTGGGTCCACCAAGAGCTAGTTTAAAACACACAAATATACACATGCACACACACTCACAACCTCACACAAATGCACATCTGAAAGGGAAACACCAAATGCTAACAGTGACAATCTCTGAGAGGTGGAATTTGAGCTGACTTTTAATTTTTTATCCATTTCAGTAGCTTCCAAATTCAAAGAGTATGTATTATTTTTAACATCAGATTTTTTTTCAAAAAAGAAAATGCATGAAAGTACTCTGAAAAATATAGACACAAATACTAGTATTTTTATGAAGCACTCATTTATTCCTTGATATATTATAGATTTGTGTTTCTTAAGAATACTATTCTTTTAAATTATTTTTTCTATCTAGTCCAAGGCAGAGAACATGTTTTTAAAAAAACTATTTTGTACATGAGTACAATAAAATATAGCACAGAAAGCACCATATGTGTTACTTGACAGCTATTTGACATTAATATGAGAGTCAAATAATTTGTGTGGGAAGAAAAATAAACCTCTTTTCAAATAATACAGAATTTTCAGCTTAGTGAAAACACATCCATTAGTGACACAATGCCATCAGAGCTCTCTCTGTCATGGTCACGTTACTGATACTGTCATGGAGCCATCTACACAGGCTGGCACACTGTTAGGACATGCCTCAGCCTGACGACTCTGTCCCAGGAGATGAGAATATCATGATGTGCTGGAGTGACACCTATGGAGTAATTTCCTGTCACCCCACCAATTCTCTTTAAGAGTAATGATTCTGTAAAGAGAATAGAATGATGTATTACATAGCAATTCCTTTGAACCAAACAAGTTCATGAGTTGAAATGATAGGTGAAGTTTGATTTTATTTTACAAAATTATTTTCTCTTAGATACATTAAAAATAAGGTGACTTAGATATGCTTTTTCAAGAAATTTTTCAGAAGAAAAATTAATGCAATCTAAAAATTACTCTCATGAATCTTATTCTTTATCATAGAGTTCTACTGTGTGGCAATAAGTAGACCAATAATGATCTCATTACTAAAGCATTTGACTAAGTCTTTCCCTGACTCTATGCTCTTGGATAACAAAGTAAACAAGTGAAAGACTGTCAAGCTAGTTTAAAAAAAAAATTCACATACTGATGTTAATAATTCTCTTGCAGAATGTCACAGGGCCCTATCTTTGGCCTGTCTTGGTCAACATTTTATCAACGACAAAGTAACATTTCCAAGTGTGCAATTGATAAATAAGTAAGAGTCTAACATCATTAATATATCGAATTTAAAAATTTTAGAATTCAAAGCTGTCTTGATAAAGAGGAAAAATAATTTAACAAAAAGAGACAAAATGTAGAAGGATAAATGTATGTAAAGTCCTCTAAGTAGGCACACATGATTCACTGCTCAAGTAAAGAACAAAGGAGACCTGGCTTTGTAGCAGTTGTTAGGAAAAAAGGCTTGGAAGTTTTCTTTAGCTTCGTATGTGAACAAACAATGTGCTGTTCCTGATTTACATGTGAGGCCCACACAATATTTGACTAGATTAATAAAAGAGTGCCCTGATCAAGGGAGTGAATAGCAGCCTGGTGTTTTCTACTGTTCAGAATACTCAGTCAGGAGTAGGCTGTTGCATTCAAGATGCTTTTTTTTTTTTTTTTTTTTTTTTGAGGTGGGGTCTCGCTCTGTCACCTAGGCTGGAGTGCAGTGGCGCAATCTTGGCTCACTGCAACCTCCACCTTTGGGGTTCAAGCAATTTTCCTGCCTCAGCCTCCTGAGTAGCTGGGATTACAGGCATACGCCACCATGCTCAGCTAATTTTTGTATTTTTAGTAGATACGGGGTTTTGCCATGTTGGCCAGGCTGGTCTCAAACTCCTGACCTCAAGTGATACGCCCACCTCGGCCTTCAAAATGCTGGGATTACAGGCGTGAGCCATAACATCCGGCCAGATGCACTATTTTTAAGATGGCATTGATAGAGTAGTGGGTGCCTAGAGGAATGTTAACAGGATGAGAACTATCAGTTAAGAGAACTAGCACTGCATAACCCTGAAAGGAGAAGACTTCGAGGAGGAGATACAATAGCTATGGTCAAATATTTGAAGAGCGACCACACAGAAGGTGCATATTTATTCTGTGGCATTCAAAGGGCGGATGGAAGACCAACAGGGAAGCTGCAGGGAGGCAGGTTTCAGTGCACCACTGGGGAAGAGGTTTTACAAATATCTGTGTCCACCTGTGCTTGATGGAGTATTGGTCCAATCACAAATAACATGAAGTCCAAATCGAAATGGGCTTAGGGTCCGGAGCACTGCAGACTACTGTCATTAGCATTATTTGGCTTCATAAAATGTTGACCAAACTCCTCGTTCCTGGCTGGTTCAAATGGCAACTGGGATAATGTGGAAAGAATTCCTGCATTTGGTGAGATGTTAGACCACAGTATCCATTTTCCGTTTCCATTGTCTGCTTTCTACACGTGTAATTTCTTATCACTGAGTTTCATGAAGATACTCCTAGTACACACATGTAAGTAATATCTAAATATGCCTCACCTTAATAAATGAGGGGAAAATGTAAATTTAAATGCAATCGAGAAGAGTCCAGAAGGTGAAATTCCACAAAAGTTTTCATATTATAAATTAGTGCTGCCATGGAAACCTTAGTTGATATCATCCACTGCAACCGAAACAGTTCTTGTTCAGGGAGTACCAGAACAATGAATGAGTTCATATATTCAGTGCTACAAACCAGCACTAAATAACATTTTTAATGCCATTATTTCTAATTTTTGAGGACGTAGATTTACATGGTCTCCTTGAGTGTTCATGATTTTGATATGGCACTAAAATTGAGGGTATGGAATTACAGTGGTGTGATCAATTGCATCAAGAGCTGACCAAGTCACTGGAAGCTCAGTACATGTACTGAATCCACCATTCAGATTCCACAGGAGAAATAAACGAGAAAGGAAAAAGACCTGCCAGATCAGGGCATTTGCAATCACAGTGACTGGCATAACATCTTCCCCTTTTCCCTTAAAAAATTACAGGACTGACCACATTCCTACAATAAACACTTGTCGATCAGGGCAGTATGTGAGATCAGACTCTCTGCTGTTTACAGCACTTCAACAAATGGGTTTTCTCAGTTATGTACTGGTAATCACTACAATACGTGAAAGTCAGCCCACACTGAGAACAATATTGCCTCCAATCAAAATCATTCTTACCTTAGCATACTAAAGCTTTTTCCCTCTTGTAAGCAACAAAAGCTACAACAAAAGAACTTCCCAAACACCCACAGCTAAGGAAAAAACTGCTCCAACAAAATAAGTGTGAAAAATCTGTCCCTGGTGTCCAATTCATATATAAATCTTCTTTTTCAGGATATTTTAGTGGCTTTATTTGTAATCTATCAGCAAAGAATAGAAATAAAAGTTTATTTTGATGGCAGTGCACCTGACTATTCAGAGATTCAAAAACCTGCTTTGTTAATTGTTATGCTATCCTGGCAGAGGATGTAAACATGCCTTTTTTCCAAGGCTTCATGCTGTACCTATAATCTCAGATGAATATTTTCACAAATGCAAAGCATAGGGAGAATGGGACTTAGGCAAAATGTGAAGGCAACTTCCTTCTGGTCCTTTGTCACCCTTGGCTGGGTAAAATCTGGGCCCCTTGCCCCAGATTTCATATCCTCTTCCTGATCAGTCTCAGGGAAAGGTCTATAAAATTATTCAACATAAGGAGGGTGAATTGAGATATACTGAGATATGAGGATAAGTTTGACTTACCACCTCCATAGCATTTGCATTTTAGGCCCTGGTGCCAGGCACTTTATATTTTATCTTATTTAGTCACAACAAAATCATAACAGAATTGTAGGCGTTACTCACTTTGCTTCATACATGAGAAAACTGGGGTCCAGAAAGATTAAATAACTTGCTCAAATTCATATAGCCAGCAATGGCATGACTCAAAATCAGGTCTTTCAAGTGCCAAAGCCCGTCCTCTTTTTCTTCTAAATCATACTGGTCATAGGAAACTAAATAGAGTTTTTATAACGTAGGCTTTCACATATTGGAGAGCAAAAAAGAGAAACTTGATATTTGAAGTGCCCTTTTCAGCAGTATGGATTCTGAAACCACAACATAAAGGCGGCCACCTTTCTCATACACACATAAGACCAACCTTCCCACTAGAGACAAAGATATGAATGCACCATAATTTAAGAAAATCAGCCCTATATCTGTCTTCCTTTCTCCTTCCAAGTTGTACAAATGGGACTCAGAGACCAGCGGGACTGCAAACTAGCAAGAATATTTGCTCTCAGGGGTCTGGAGCCAGGGAAAAGCCAAGCTCCAGGCAAATTATTCAATTCTAAATATCTATCAAGTTTCCTGACCCTTGCTGGTAGTTCTCAGTACTAAAGAGGCCTAGAAGGGAGTAGCAGTGGCCCAACCCTAGGGACACTACTGTCCCAAGAAGGCTTGGAGAAACATGACAGGATCCTTAACTAAGACAACTTGGGGTCCCTCCACAAGAACACAAATCCAGGACTTGGGAATGCAGGAGACAAGGTGGAACCCAGTACAAAAGTGAAAACTTGTTTACCCAAGAACAAGACTGAGTTATGGCTACCTGGCTAAACTACCTGGACAAGGCAAACTGCATGGTTGGTCCGCGAAGTCGCTAAGCCTCAGATGAAAGGAAGCTGTATGCCCTCTGGAAAGGGCCTAAACTGGTCCTAGATCCTGCGAATGAGGGAGAAATAATCACATCAAGGTAGTTACCACTCCTCTCAGGCCATTTTCTATAATGTAGGACTTTCAAACTTCTGTTTTTAGCACAAGAACCTTTGCCCCTAACAAAATCTTATACAAAATGCCTACTCATGAAGCAAATAAAAACAGCCGCCCAGGTTGAAACCAAGAGAGGAAGTTCTCAGAATTTAAGAGTCCAACAGACTACAGCAGGCAAACCACCACTAGAGAAGACACTGAGTCACACTGCCTATCAGATTTCACTGGAATCTAATCCCACTGGACTGTTCTCTTTATAGTCACAGTTTCTTCCCATCACCTCTTCCAGGAGGGTTCCCCTTCCTGATCCAACCTGGTAAGATCTGGTTTCCTATCACAGGTTGGCTTTTCCATCGTGAACACATAAAGCTCTGCATATCTCTTTTTTTTTTTTTTTTTTTTTGAGATGGAGTCTCACACTGTCTCCCAGGCTGGAGTGCAGTGGCACGATCTCCCCTCACTGCAAGCTCTGCCTCCCAGGTTCACGCCATTCTCCTGCCTCAGCCTCCCGAGTAGCTGGGACTGCAGGTGCCCACCACCATGCCAGGCTCTTTTTTTTTTTTTTTTTTTTGGATTTTTGGTGAGACGGGGTTTCACCGTGTTAGCCAGAAGCTCTGCATATCTCTTAAGGCAACAGGTGCTATCTTCCAGGTCTTTCTGACAGTCCGTATGCCCTTCCCTCAAAGCCCTTCAGGCCAACTCATCCACAGATTACTGCCCTCAGTGTCTTAAGGCATAACTAACTTCTGTAGAGCCCTTATCAGTGTGGGTCACATCATTTTGTTTGACACATTATGACTGTATGGTGTGCATAATATTCGGACTCCAGATTCGTTGATTCATTAATTTGTTCAGGATCCTACAGCCAGACAGTAGGGGAGTTGGGACTTAGCCCACTAGGAAGAATCAACGGCAGGATGGGGAATCTCAGAGACCTGGCTCTCAGGGTTTCAGCTGGTGCCTCACAAATAGGAGGCTTCCAGGGAATGTGATTCCACTTTCCCTTCCCTTGTTCCTCCTGTCTACCTCAAATCCTTCCTCTACCATACCACGAGAATTCCTGCCTCCCACTTCTGATGATGGCTGGGTGGGCCTGCTGAGACAGATGTGCTTTAATAGTGCTTTCCACACTATGCCCATTGTACATGTAACTCCTGGCTATAGCGTTCAGAAGCTGTCTCTCCAATTCTGAATCTTATCCAAACATTTCATACCTCTGGACTGAAAAAACTGAGCAACTGCTACTTCTCTATGCCAATAGGGCTGACTTAATCATTCAAAAAGCTCGTGGGCTTGGCTCGTACAGGATGCATCTCCTGGGAATGAGATGTTCCCTAACAATGCTGTCCAACAGAACTATAATGTGAGCACACAGGTGATGTTTAATTTTCTAGTAATCACATTTTATTTTATTATTTCTTTATGTCGCATGGTAACGTCCACTAAGTAATCACATTTTTAAAAATAAAAAGAAATATGTGAAATTAATTTTAGTAATATATTTTGTTTAACCTACTATATCAAAACTATTGCTGTTTCAACATGTAACCAATATTACAATTTGTTAAATAAGAAATTTTACATTTTTTTATATAGTCTCAAAGCATGGTGTATTTTACACTTACGCACATCTCAACTTGGACTAGCTGTATTTCCAGTGCCCAACAGCCACATGTAGCTAGTGGCTACAGTACTGAACAGCAGGTCTATCATCTCGCCTCTATTCCCATCCCTCCTATCATTTCTTTCCTTTAGTGGAGATGCTACGGGCAGGGGCAGACAGTGGGGACCAGGATCATTAGAGGAGACTGACACACACCTGAAGGGAAGGCCCAGATCACAAAGAAGCTTTCGTGCCATGCCAGGGAGCTTACATTTTAACCTGAAGATGCAGAAACTCCTCTGAAGGATTTTAAGCAGTGGAGAGTTGTAATCAGATTTGCCTTTTAGAAAGGCAGCAGTATGAGGAACAAATTGGAGACAGGCCAGGCAGAAGCCAGAGAGACCAGTTGCGAGGCTACTGCAATAATCCTCAAGAGAAGGGATGAGGGCCCGAACCACGGCAGTAATGAAGGTTATGATACAGGGAGGAAAGAGCAGATTCAAGAGAGTCTGAAAAGACAGTCTCTATATAAAATGTAGAGGTTGAAGAAGGCAAAGAAGTTGTCCTGGGTTTTAAACTTGGTGAAGCAGGTTTCATTCATTGAGATAGAAAACACAGAAGGAGTATGCTGGATTGAAGTTGGGGAAGTGATGTTTTGAACTTGTCGAGTTAAAGACATTTGGAACACATGTCAGATAAGATTTCAAGGCTGGAGATGCAGATTTACAATGGAATCAATGGCATATAGGTGGTAGTAGAAGAAAACAGAAGATGAGCTGCCACAGGGCAAACGTGCAGAATGAGCAGAGGGCTGAGGGCTGAACTGTAGGGGAGGCTAAGGTTTGAGAGGAAGGGAGGACAGTAAAGAGAAGTCCAAATATAGAGCAGCTGGACAAGAAAGAAAATGAGGAGAAATGGATAACTCAGAAAACAGGTGGGCAACATTTTAAGGAGCAGAGAGTGGTCAAGAACACCAAATGTTGTGCAAAGTTCAAGAAATGAAAGAGAATCCTAGATAATGGACCTGGTGGTCATTAGGAGAGGACAGGAGTGCAGGGGGTTGAAGATGAAAGGAAGATGGCGAGGTGCGGGATGTGTACGAGGACCTGTACTTCAAGGAGCTGCCTGCTAAGACCAGGAATAAGATGAAACACACCCAAACCTAGAGAGAAGCGACCAAAAGCGTTCATCGTTTTCTGTTTTCATAAAGAATATGAAAGACTTATGCATGTTTATATGTTGAAAGAAAAGGATCATTGAGACCCTGAAGAAAAGACAATGAAGCAAGGTCCCTGAGGAAGCAAGAGGGATTAGCATCAGACTGGAATAAGGGAAAGGAAGACAAGGAGTGGGAAGAGAGCCTGCCATTTATAAGGGACACAGATTACCACTGCAAAACATTTTTCCTTAATTAGAAATATAAATGTAATAATAGTTATCCGTGAAGGCTTTCTCTCTCTTTAATAGTACTACTTATCATGTATAAAATAAAATAAATGCTGAGCATGGGAAGAAGTCACTAGAGCTCCAGATCTGTGGTCTTGGTAGATTACCAAGCCTTTCACACACCTTCAAACTGCTCCTAAATATCACTTCAGGTGATACTCATCACCTGCAGAGCCACAGGCGTTGCTGACAGCTCTGACTTGTTGGTTTCTGTGCAGACCGATAGGTAAATATTTTCAGTGTCACCATGTGTTACCTCACAGGGTGGTATAAGAAAAAGCAGGGCCTGGGTGTCAGACACCAGATTCATCTGCCACTTATCAACTCTGCAGACTCAATCAAGTTATGTAACTTCCCTGAGCTTCAGTTTCACTGTCCAATAAGGGTGTATAATCCTTACCTTCCAAGATTCCTTTGAGGTTTAAATAAAATGATCAATAAGTGATAACTATGATGATGATGACTGTATTCACTTTGTTCTGAATCTCTAGGAACTGGGTGCTGATAATGAACTAGTACTTTGCAACAGCTAGCATCTTGATCCCTAAGGTGAATTAAAGTATTAATCCTAGTGTTAGGAAGGAATCTTGAAAATCCATATGGCCACCTAATGTTTGCATCCTTTCTTCATCTCAGTGCATATGCAGTTTCTGCCCGCAAACTGCCTGGGCTTTATACCAGCTCTACAAATTACTAGCTACTCAACCTTTCTAGGCTTCAGTTTTGCTCTTCAGTAAAACTGGAGTAATAGGAGCATGTACTTCATAGCACTGTTTTGAGAATAAAGGAGAGAATGTATATAATTAAATAAGATATTGCCTGGTATAGGCGATGCTTATATATGTTTAGTGATGGGGGCCTATTACCTCCTGAAATAGCACAATCCATAATGGGGCAACTTTCCATCTATTGACCCAAAATCTGTATTCCTCAAACATTCCCATTGGTCCTAGCTTTACAGACCATGGGACTCCGTTCCACAGAATCAGAATGAGGGTTCTATATAACAGTGTGTTTACACCTTTACTCAACTCGGCTAGGTGCACTGTGCAGTGTCCCACAGATGGCTGGCTGCTTGGGACCACAATCTGGGGTGCACCTCTCATTATTTACATTACTGTGAAAGTGTCAACCTTCAGTGGCATTTCCATAATGCAGGAGGCCTTTCTGAGCATTCTAAGTGAGCTGGATGCTATCCAGGAACACACTGGTTATACTGCTTCCAAGATTTATTTTTTGCTTTGTGTCATAGTCAGTTCAGCACTTGGCACCACATGTAATTACTGCAGGTATCTATATATCCTTTAGGTTCCATTATTGAACACTGCAGCCCACCAATGCTCAGAAGACTCCTAGCTGGGTTCAACTCCTCAGAAGCAGGAGTACTATAAGAGTGCTGATGTAAAGTCAACAAATTGGCCCTGGAATTCACTCACAGCACCCTTCCCCCATCCTTATATTCCCAATAACACTGAAATCTTATCCAAATCCTTTCAGTAATCACCTCAAACAACTGTCATTCTAAGAAGATTCCCTCCACTCCCCAACAGATTTTTTTCCCTTCTGAGCTCTGCTAGACCTTTGTTTCTGGGATACGTCTGTTATTTTTTCCTGCTAGGCTATAAACTCCTTCCCAGCAGAAACAGTGCCTTGTACAAAATAAGGCTTACTAAACAATTAAATTCGGTCCTGAATACAATGGGATGTGGTAGACTCTTCCCTACATCACCTTTCACCCTCAGATGGGTGCCCAGATGTATTTTTTTCTAATTTACAGGGATGCTTTTAAATGAAAAACTTGAGCAGCCCTGCAATAAATACAGTCTGAAATTTTAGAGCCAATTAGCTGAACTTTTATATAACTGATAACTTTAGCCTAATTGTTTGACGTATAAAATACTGGCATAAAGCCTCAATGCTTTTTTTGCTCAGTACTGGGGCCCATCACTCCACCTTAAAATAACTACAAGCTTCTTAATTCCAACTCACAACTGCCAGACTCCATCATTATCCCAACTCTGGGAAATGCCGAGTCCTCAGAATTCTCACAGTTGATGAATGGAGAAGCTGATTAGAACTACTGAAGAAAAATGGGAAAAAAAAATCTTGACAGACGCCTCCTTCAAATGCCTGTCCCTTTTATCCAATGTCAACATGAATTTCTAAGTTAACAAATATTTATTGAGGTCATGACTATGTGTCAGGCTATGAGTTAGGCTCTGAGGACCCAATGGTGAGCAGTTCAGAGTCAGTATCAAAGCCCATGATTTAAAAAAAATCATCCTTACATTTATTCATTTTATCGGTGTATTTATCAAGTGCTTCTTACGGCCAGGGCCGGTAGACAGAATAAAAGGCACATCAGTGCCTTACTATCTAGTTGAGAAAGAAAGAAAGAAGCATGTAACAGCGTAAGAAAGGATGTGATGGTCTAGAGGAACGATGCAAACAAAAGGGCAGAAAGAACCAATGAGAGTAACATGATCAGGGCAGGCTGACTTGAACTTGAAGAATGTGGTTAGGTCAGAGAAAAAAAGAAGAGACACATTCTAAAAGGCAGGGCATGAACAAAAAAGGACACATGAAAATGAGCATGTCATCTTAGAAGGGCAGTGAGATCCAACTAGTAGGAACAGAAGGTTCATGTTGGAAAGAAGTAGAAAATAACATTGGTAAGTTAATTTGGGGCAAGACTGTGAGGTACACTGAAACCAAGTTGAGAGGCTGGGCAATGGGGGAGGCCATGGAAAGTATTTGCACTCTGGTGCAATACTAAACAATGCTAAAGTATTGTTCCTGTGAAACAATCCTTGAAGAGTTTTGAGGGAAGAGTTTTAGGAAGGTTGATACGGTGGAAGTGCGTAGAATGGGGAAAACTCAATTACAGAGAGACCAAGATGTAGACTATAATTATCCTAGAAACGGTGATGGCTGACGGCCTCCCATCCGATCAGGGAGAGTGAAGAATGAAAACGAAATGCAGGGGTGGCTCAGAGAAACCATTAAAAAGGAAGAGTTAACAGGACTTGATAACACAGTTTCACAGAGGCAGTGAGAGAGCGAAGAGTCAGCAATGGTTCCTACATCTCCAGTCTGGGTGATGAAGAGAATGCTAAACGGATCAAGAAAGGAAAGTCTTTTCATCATAAAAGGAAGAAGTTTAGAGAGAATACAAAAAGTTTGTTATCAAGCATGTAGTCTTTAGCTTGACAGCAGGCCATCCACCATAAAAAGTCTATTAATTAAGGAAGTAGATAAATAGGAATGGAGTTTGGATCAGTACTAGAGACAAAGATTTGTATGATGCAAGGAAGGATAACATCACATTTAAAATTTTTTTATCAGAAAATAAAAACACTAGCTATTATCAAAAATAATAAAAAATTACATAAGTTGTAGAGAGAAATATATCTTCATAAGACTATTTTTCTCAGCTATGGTACTTAGGGGATCCTACCCATTACCACAACACTGAAGGAATAAGCTTCTGCAGAAATTCAACATATGGCCTATTTACATAACAAGCATCACAACTCCAAATTAGCCATTTTGATGTGTCAAAGACATAACACCTTCATAGCAAGACTACTTCAAAAAAGGGAAGAAAAAAGAAAGGTTTGTTTTTCTTCTATAATTATGTTTACTGGGTTTTTAACTGTTTGTAACATGAAAATCTTATTTTAATTGTGTGATTACACTTTAAGGCAAAACAGTGATGAAATGGATTAGTTGAATGTTGCACAACATTCAGAGATCAATAAACAGACCCAATCACTTAAATCTGTCCATATGAGACACCTACTCTCATGTCCTGTGTCATGCTTGTAAAATCTACTCTTCTGTGCACAGAAATTATAAAAAACATATGATTTAATTATCACAGTCAAATGACAGTAAAAGTGCTACAGAAGATGGCTAGGAAAGAAGTACTATGAAGCAGTGACTAAGCAGTACCTGTCAAGTGCACATAAAATGCATTCCACTCTTGTCATACAGTGGGACAGGTAGTAGCAGCTTAGATCTTACGAAGAGCAACCACAACTTTTTCCATCCTATCCAAACTGTAACCAGAAGTTCTTGTCCTGGCTCACCTCAGAAAATGCTGATTAAAACTGTGTAAAGTAATAGAATGAAGACCACCTATGCCCTTTCAACACACAACCATTCACGAACATTCACTGTGATTGATAACACAACTCTGATCGCAGACTGAGAAACTCACAAAAATTAGGCCCCAAAGTGAGATATTTCTAAAGCTTAACTTCTGATGTAAAAGCTTACCACTTACATGGCAAAACGGGTCCATAAAATGCTTCAGACTGGCATGCAATCAAAGACTGCAACGGTGTGGCCTAAGTATTTTCTTTCCCTGATCCTTACTGGTGTGGCAGAGCAGCTTCTCAAGCCCACAGATAACTCTCTCCACAATGGCCTCAGGAAAATCAGTGCATGCAGAAAAACTATTTACTGAAGACTTTCATTAGGGGGCTCCCTAAAACAAAATGAATACAAAAGGAGTCTTGATCATTTTGCCTGTCTAAATGAGCACATTAAACTAAGTTGATTCTTAGAAAATCATTTAATATTTTCAGGGATTAAAGAAAGAAAATTGCCAATTAATACAGTCTTTTCCCAGATGTTCAGTTTTTACTAACGTCTTTAGCTATTCTCTGCATTCAAGTGATTGTATTTTTATGCAAATTATCTTTTGGGGCTAGTCTCTAGTTTGTGTGTCTGTGTGTGTGTGTGTGTGTATTTAAAGCCACACAGATACAGAATTTGACATGTTTTCTGCCACACAGATACAGATTTGACATGTTTTCTGTTCTGCTGCTCCATACAATAGGTTTTAACACAGCTTGAGCTTATTCCAAAACTCTAATTAGAAACTGCAGTATTTGCCTTGTCCAAATAGAAACCCATTCCCAAAGTTGATTTTTCCCCAGTTAAAATTCAACAAAGAATATCATACACAGATATTTTTAAACACGACAGTTACTAGATAAAACTGCCCTATCTAACAACACATTGCTTTCTGGTTAAGCAACACAATTTCATAAGGCCTATCAAATACTTTATCCAGACGGCCACTCTATTTTCAGGGTATTGGTTGTATTATTTGAAGTCTTTTTTTTTTTTCAGAGTGAAGAGATTTCTGACTTCCTGTCCTCTTCCCTGCTATATTACATACATCTGCTTAAACTCTGGAAAACAGTACCAGTCAAAGTGGTGCTGAAACCTTCCTTTAAGACAAACTAAAACGATGTTAAAAAGGTTACACGACCTTACTATTTCAAGTACTGGTATAAAACCACTTTCTCTGCACAGGTTCTAAAATTTCACAGTCGTTTGTCTTAAAGTCTGTCGGCTTGTGAGGGGGCTGGTACATATTTTAATATTTAAATTTCAAAAAATAAGCAATGAGACTGTGTTTGAAGTTCAAGGGTTTTCACTAGTTCTCAAGCTACAAACCCTGTAATATAGCCAAAAGAAAACGTACAGAAAGAATCTTTCACGAAAAGTGTCAGGTCTCCAAAACCCCGACATCTGCTAAAACCAGGATTGCGGGGGGGATGAGAAGCTCGTGAAGTTCAAAAACACACCAACCCCGCGGGAACACGAAACCTCCACTCGCGAAGACGCGACGCTTCCGCCGCATCCCCGCGCAGGTGAAGACTCGGCCCTTCAGCCCCGCGTGTGCGGCAGCATGATATTCAGAGTGCGCCGGCGTCCAGCGCGAGCGCATCCTACGACAACCCCGTCTCCCGCTGGGGTCCGCAGCCCGCGGACTCCGGGGTCCCCCCGCCCAAATGCGGCGGCGCGACCGCTTCGTCCCGCGGCCAGGGCGCTCCGCGTCTGCTCCGGCCACCCCAGCCCACCCGCGCAGCGCGGACGCCAACGCATCCCACTCCCGCTGGGCGCCAGGGGCGCGGGGTTCAGTGGGGCCGCGGCCCCCGCACCCGGCTGGGATCCGAGGGCGGGGTGGTCGCGGCTGACGTGGGCTTTGCGGCTCCGGGCCAGAGAGCAGCCTGGGGGACGGTGGGTCTCTTTCCGGCTTGGGAGGGAACGGGGGCGCCCGCGCGGGAGGACGGCAGGCGAGGGACGGCGGCCGCGGGCGATTCAGATCCGGGGCGGGCGGGTACACGTCGGAGCGCGGCGGCCACACGCTCGCCCGGGGAGCGCCACTGTGCGTCCCAGCCGGCGCCTCCTCCCGCTTGCCCGCGCCGGCTGGAGAAAGGAAGGACGGCGACCTTCGCGTCCGGTCCGCGCCACCAGCCCGCCTCGGCGCCGAGCGCGGGCCACACCCAGCGCTCCGGGAGGCGGCGGAGGCTGGGCGGCCCGGGCTGCGGAATGCTCGGCCCAGCCGAGTCTCCGTCCCGGCCGCGCAGGCCCCTCCGCGTCCGCCCGCGCCCTGCATCCCCAGCCGGCCCGGCGTGGAGGGGGTCCTGGGCTTACCTCTGTGTCGAGCGCCGGCTCCTCCGTCCCGGGCCGGAGCCGGGGCCCGGGGGCGCGGTCGCCAGGGGAGGCGCCGCGGCGGTGGCGGCCCCTGCGGCTCGGAGGGCGGGCCGAGCGGGAGCCGCTGCCTGGGCCGCGCGCCGTCCGGAGCTCGCCCCGCGCTGCCGGCGCTTGCAGCGGAGGGCGCAGCCAGCTCGGCCCCCGGACTGGATTCCTTCACTGACACAACTCCGGCTCGGCCGCCCCACGCAGGGACACTCCCGCCCCTCGCAGGCTGCCCCCGCCCGCCGACCCGCCCGCCTTCCCCTCGGTGTCACTCACCAGGAGCACACACCCCAGCCGGCGCCCCTCGCTCCCGCTCGCAAACACAGCGCTGCTCACGCCTCTCTCGGGTTTTGTATCCGCTCACACGCACGTTCTGACACAGATCTCGTCCCTCCACACGCCCTCCCTAGCTCCTTTCCCACCCCACTTTCTAGAAGAATCCCAGTACAGCTTCCGCACTTTGCTTGCTTGCTCCAGACCGACTTCCTCGCCTTTCCCCAAACCTCCACTTCACCGAAACTCCCCTTGTTAATGAAAGATTTTGTCACAATCCGCACGTGTTGCAAGAGAATCATCTTCTCCTACCCGAGAAAATGAACTTTGCTCCCTCAGCACTGTCTGCAAATACGAGATGTTTTTCCTTTTAGAAGGTAGTAATGCTTTCTGGAGAGGATCCAAGCTCAAAATGTAAGCAAAGATAGCCCATTCGAAAATGACCTGAAAAATCAGGCGCGGAAAAAGTGCTGGAGCTCGGGTCAGCCCTTGGAAACCCGACCAACCCGGGGTGTTCCGCCGCCTCCTCTGCGCTGCGGGTCTGCACACTGGGCTCCAAACGTGTGTGTAATAACCAAGTTACACATGGGCATCGTGGGCTTCAGCCGTGGGTTTCTGCCTGGGAGTACAGTAGTCGGGAGAGTAAAAGCAGTTTCTCAATCATTATTCATGATGGAAGCACTTTAGATAACACTCTTCTTCCAGAGGCAGTAGAGTGAAATGCAGGCAGCTCTCCAATTCAGGTTTTTATTTATTTATTTATTTATTTATTTATTTAGAAGGGTGACTTCTTAGCTTCCTTTTTTTTTTTTTTTTTTGGCAATACCAATAACTGTTTCTGAGTGGCTCCTTGGCTGTCAAGCTCCTTACAAATATCAGACCAGAGTTTGTTATGCTTCTCGAGCTCCAGACTCTAATGGGCCTCCGAGGGCACTGCAGAATCGTACATAATCCGATGTTCAGGAATTCATAATTTGAAATAAAATACAAACACCTTTCGGATAAAGTTCAAATCTGCTAACATAATGTGGCCCTGTTGACAACGCACTGCTGAAATAAAGAGAGGAGCTAAAACGAAAGGAATTCATTTTCTTATGTGACTTGGAGTGGTTCTTGCTACCTTATAGTCGCCTTGGATTGGTGTGTGGATAATATAATTTATTTAACAGACATTAGCAAGTGCTTTATAAGTACTAGCTCATTTAATCCTTGGAAGAACCCCATCAGGTAGGTACTACTTTTGTCCTGTTTTACAGATAAACTGAGGGCTGGGCCCAGTGGCTCACACCTGTAATCCCAACACTTTCGGAGACCGAGGTGGGCAAATCTCTTGAGCCCTGGAGATCAAGACCAGCCTGGGCAACATAGTGAAACTCCATCCCTCCAAAACAAAAAAACTAATAATAATAATTGGCCGGGCATGGTGGTGCACGCCTGTAGTCCCAGCTACTCAGGAGGCTGAGGTGGGAGGATTACCTGAACCAGGTAGGCTAAGGTTGCAGTGAGCCAGGATCACACCCCTGCGCTCTAGTGTGGGCAACAGAGCCAGAGCCTTTAAAAGAAAAGAAAGAAAGAAACTGAGGCACAGAGAGGTGAAATAAGTTGCCTAAGTTTTTAGCTAGTAAGTGGTAAAGGAAGAATTTGAACCTAGACCGTTGGACCCTGCCTGTGCTACAGAGAGGAAAGCTTGCTTCTAGAAGCCATACCACACATAAAGAACAAACATCCTATTGCTTATTAAATTTAGGTGTAATAAGTAACTTGTAGCCATTTGACTTGAAATTTGATGCACTTCTTAGGTCCTCTGGCTAAATAATTTATTTATGTTTTTGGGAGGTTTCCTCCATAATTAGAATTCCAAAATGAATAATAAACAACACTTTTCCTAGGAAGGGCTTTGGAAATAACATTGAACTCAGTCTTCATTCTTTTCTTCCACCACTTCATAATCTTCCCATGACTCCAAATCTAACTTGCTTAGTGAAGTCCGACAGAAAAAAATGCCTTCAAGAACAGAATATGACCAGAGGGAAGAAAGGGTTTTAAGAAGACCATATACCGCCTTTCTAATCGAAGGCTGCTTCTTTTAGTAAGTACTGTAGGTAGGAGCTATAAGAATAAATGCTGTATGTGTTGAGAGCAAAGATGTTAAAGCAGTGAATCAATGAAAAAATAGAGACTAGGCAGGTAGGAGTAGCCACTGTACCACAGACTAGGCTAAAACTAATTCTCTACTGTGAGTGGAGGCCTAGCGCGTGAAAAGACAAGTATAGAATAACTTCGAAGAAAACAATTGTATATTTCAAGAGTTAGCTAAGGGGCCCAGCACCCCCCCAAAAAAATCAGAGTTTTAAAAGTTTTAGAGACAGTGAATTTCAAATCAAACTTGAACCTTTTGCTGTTCAAATTAATTTCTTCTGGAAATAATGAAAACTTCTGTTTCTGTTAGAGAGGATTTAATATGCTTATTGAAACATGTAAAAGCTTCTTGCACATCATATAACTAACAAAGCATTATTTTTCTGAATTAGGCATAAATGATTTTTAAAATATGCATTATATTCCTATTATTATAGGGAGATAGAAAAGTCTGAAGAAACAAAATATGAATAAGATATATGTTGATGTTTTCACCAGATGGTCAAAGTTTATTTGAAAAATTACATTGTTTGAAATCTTGATCTGTGTAATGCTAGTTTGACAGTATTGTTCAAAATGATTCTCTGTGATTACAATTCAGAGATTGAATTGCATTTTACTATTTTCTAAACTAAATAGAAATGTGAAGATCTTTTCTTAAGCAAACAAAACAAGAACCATAAGAGCAGATGTTTTCTGAGGGATGAACAAAGTATGTTCGTTTATATTTTTTAACATTTACGTGTAGGTATTTTTAATCTGTGCGTACTGCTTTCCTCCACATTGTCACCTACACTCTTTATTCAGGGTGCTTAATTGTAAGCCTGGAGAAACAATGCCATGTCCTTCAATAAAGATGACTCTTTTCTTGCAGTATTGATTTTTGCAAAATGCCGTATTTCCCGCTTGCCACCCCTAGATTGTACCAGGCTCCTGATTCTCTAGGCATGATCGTTCAGAGCAGGGCTCACATTTGTGGATATAGCTCAGATTCTGGAAACCTGTTTCAGGCCATGATCAGTTGTGACTCTGTTAGGATTTTGATATCTGAATAAGTAGTGGGGACAGAGAGGAATTTTAGTTGCTAGACTCCAGATCACTAGGCAATATTCAAACTTATTGGGGAGGGCATCTACCATCTAGGATCTTGGACTTTGTGTGCAGTGAATGAATGGAATCTGGGTTATCTCCCATAGGAAGGGGATGAATATGTGTTCTGTGTTTGTTAATGTGCAATCCAGTAGGGCTGTTCACAAATATTCCAGCTCTGCTGCCTTTGAAGCACATGATAAGATTGTACTTCCCCACCTGACTAAAGTATAGTATAGCCCTGCGAGTTGCTTCAGCCAATGAAAGGTGGCCGGAAGTGATGAGTATAACTTTGAGTCAGAAGTTAAGAGTTGGGACATCAGTCACCGCATTCTTTTCTTCCTAGTGCTGCAACATCAAGGTGCGTGGTGGTGACTGCTTCATCAGACTGGAGTGAATGACAACAATGAGCAATGCCATCCCTGCTGAGCATTAGTGGACATGTAGTATGATCAAGAAATAAGCCTTTTTTGTTCTAAGCAACTGAGATTTGATGGTTGGTTGTTTCTGCACCGTAATCTAGCCTATTCTGTTTAAAAATAGGAAGGAAGAAAGAAACAGATAATTGCAGGGAACACCTTGGCAGAATATGGCTAATTATTCCCTTTCCTCCTCAGTGCACAATAAATTCACATTTCCTAGCCTCCCAAATTGTTAGGTGAAGCCAGGGACTGAATTCTGGCCAATGGAATGTAGGCGAAAGTGTTGTACTCCCCTTCCAGGCCTCATCCGTGGAAAGCCTCCCACATGATCTCTCTTCCCCATCTGCCATGTGGAAACTAAGGACCCTGAGACTTCAAAGCAGAAGTCAGGAAACTTTTTCTATAAAGGGCCAAATAGTAAATATTTTAGGCTTTGTGGATCATATAGTCTCTATCAAAACTGCTCAACTCTGCTGTTTTATGGAAAGCAGCCATAGGCACTATGTAAACAAATAAGTATGGCTATGTTCCAATAATACTTTATTTACAAAAACAGGCAGTGGGCTGCATGTGGCCTATGGGTTGTAATTTGCTGACCCCTTATCAAGAGGAGGGTAGAGCTAGGATGGAAGGAGCCTGGGTCTCTGAGTCACCCTGTCACTATTTCTTATAGACACTCACAAACACCTGATATTAAAACATTTAATATAAACATTTAATATACCTGTGTCTGCTTGTTGAACACCCACAGTTGTTATCTGAACACCCACAATTGTTATCTGAGTAAAAAAAAAATCCTTCTGTTGAATGAAGCATGACTAATACACTGTCTTAGCTCATATTCCAGAAAAAATTCCAGATGGATTAATAATCTAAACATAAAAAACTATAAAAGACTAAAAGAAAATATAGGAGACTTTTACAATATTTATAATATTTATAATCGAAGGCTGCTTCTTAGTAAGTACTGTAGGTAGGAGCTATAAGGGCTCCTTATAAGAGCTTTATAATACTAATTAGAAATATCATGAAAAAATTTCACAAGCTATAACAGAAAAAAATTAAACAGAGAAGACTATAAAAATTTAACATTTCTATCAAGTGAAGGGTACCATAAACAATGTTACCTAAGGGGAGAAAATACATGCAACATGTATACACAACAGGAAAGGGTTAATATGGGTAATATAGACAACTTCTTGAAATCAGTATGAAACGAGAAGCAGCAAAAGGGTAAGAAAATGGACAAAGAAAATAGACAATTCTCAAAAGAAGGACTATGTGCTAATAAGCATATGAAAACATACCCAACTTCATCAATGATCATAGCATAAATAAAAACAAGATAGCATCTGTTATTTGTCAGATTGGCAAAAATATGTTTTACTATCAGGTGTTTGCATCTATAAGAAATAGGAACTTTCATACTTAGCTGACTGGAGTGTGAATTAATAAACATTTTTGGAAAGTAATTTGCAGAACCTATAGATATTAAAAATGCATGTATCCTTTAATCACACTTTTCCACTACAAGTGATCTCATCTACAGAAATATTAAGTGTGCCAAAATATATTTACAGATATGCCGATTGTAATATTATTTGTAAGGGCCAAAAAAATTTGGACCACATTCCACGTTTATAAATAGAGGAATGGTTCATCTACTTCTCTATTTGGGCACATCTACACTGTAGAAAAATAAATAGCTGTTTAAAAATGAGGGAGCTATGTATGTGTTGACATGGAAGAGTGTCCATGATATATTTTTGAGTGATAAGAGCAAGTCAGAACACTGTGTACAGTATGAGCTCTAAACAGCAAGGGGGCAGGGCGGGGAGGATGGAAATTCCTGTCTCTCGAAGGATACTCACACTGTTGACCCTGGTAACCCTTTGACCCTTAGGGTGATGGTGAAAGGGGTGAAACCTGCCCTTTTAACTTTGTGCGCTTCTTTATCATTATAATTTTTTAAAAAGTAAAAAGATGGAAGGCAACAGAAACTAGAAGAAAAACCCATCATGGACACTGGCCAATGTCAAGCAGTTGAGGGATGGATAGGCAGAGAAACAAAGACTTGTTGAAGACCTGCCGAGGCAAATCCAAAGGGATGACTCACTCCCTTGGTGTTCTGGTGCAGCAGATCAAGTTGTTATGACCTGAGACCAGGGCTCAGCTTGGAAATTTTCCAGAAAAGATGAAGACTTGGGGTGAGAAGAGAAAGTATAACCTTGCTGGCCTGAGGGTAAAACATGTTGGAAAGAAGAAACCCAAACAATGCACTTTGGCTGAACTTTTTCAGTCTATACAGGAGCTAAATATTAGGTTATCTTTTCATTGTTTCAGGCATTTTTTATGTTCAAACCTTCTGTCCTCAGAAGAGTTGCCTGAAATGAACATGTACCTAATAGAGGGGTTTTTTCTTTGTTTGTTTGTTTTACAGGTTTCATGTCACTGTGTATTCTAGGAAGATAATTTTAGGTTCAGATTGTGCCAACAGAAAGACAAATGGAACCAGTTGTGTATTCTAAGTGAACAGGCTATCACTCATTCAGGATGCATGCATTTGTTCTCTGATGTGTACAGATGATCCTTGAGCAACATGGATTTGAACTGTGCGGGTCCACTTACATGTGGATTTTTTTCAATAACATTTACATCTAATGTGCCTGCCTCTTCTGCCTCTTCTTTCACTTCCTCCACCTATTCTGCCTCTGTCACCCCTGACAGCAAGACCAGCCCTCCTCTTCCTCCTCCTCCTCAATCAACTCAATATGAAGACAGTAAGGATGAAGACCTTTATGGTGATCCACTTCCACTTAGTGAATAAAAAATATTTTTTCTCTTATAATAATTTTTAATAACATTTTTTCTCTGCCTTTATTGTAAAAATACAGTATATAATACATATAACCAACTAATCTACTGTTTACGTTATTAGTAAGCCCTACAGTTAATAGTAGGCTATTAATAGTTAAGTTTTTCGGAGTCAAAAGTTATACTCAGATTTTTGACTGCATGGGGGTCAACACTTCTAACCCTCACAGTGTTCAATGGTGAACTGTATTAGCATCTTCCGTTTGCCAAGAGCAGTTTTTTTCTCAAATCTGATTACCAGTGAGATAGAAAATCTTGCATGTTTATTAACCATTTGTTTTAAGTAATGTCATGTTGATCTGTTATTTAACACAAAGTTTATTTTTATTGAATTTAGCTTGTACTCTAAAATTATCTACAATAGTATATATTATTTACCTTATAAGCAAAGGACTACTGGTGTTGTTTCTGGATGTCACACTGGGGAGGTTTAATGGGTCTTGTCATAGACTCAAATTCAGTATTTAAAGAGAAACCTTTGAATTCATCTGGGTCACAGCATAAGAACAAGCTGCAGGCAGATGCAGGCATGTTTCTGGTTAGTCGTGCTCTGAGTGCTTTTGCCCAAATTTTCCCAAATGTGGGACTGGCCTTGCCTAGTGTGGTATCTGAAGCTTGGGATATGCTTGTGACACTGAGATGGCATATTAGTTTGCTAGGGATGTTGTAATAAAAACCCACAAACTGAGTGGCTTAAACAATAGGAATATATTGTCTTACAGTTCTGGAGGCTGAAAGTTGTCTCACAGTTCTGGAGGCTGAAAATACGGGCAGGGTTGGTTTGTTCTGAGAACTGTGAAGGAAAGGTCTCTCATAGCTTACAGATGCCCATGTTCTCCCTGTGTCTGTTCACATCATCTTCCCTCTACATATGTCTGTCTCTATGTCCAAATTTCCCCCTTTTCATAGGACATCAGTTATATTGAATTAGGGCCCACCCCAAGGACCTCATTTTAAAGACCCTATCTCCAAATAAGGTCATTCTGAAGTACTAGGGGTTAGAACTCCAACAGATCTTTTTTGGGATGGCACAATTCAGCCATTAACAGATGGCATAATAATTAATTGTAAAAGTGGGATTAGAGCCAGGGCTTCTGACTGGCTCCCTAGCATTCTTGATCAGACTATATTACCTCTACATTCCAGGGTCTCTTCGCTGCTCCTTTCCGCATGTTCCTATTGATTCCTGTGCATTGCTCTATCACAATAACTAGGTAACTGTATATTGGCCTCCTTTGTGGGACTTATGCGCTCCCTGAGCAGGGACTGTGTTCTTTGGTCCTGGTGTCTAGCACAGTGACTGGCCCAGAAAAAGTGAATGAATGGATAGTGATATAATAGGTGTTTTTTAAAAATATTCCCACTGTCATTTGTCTTCCTGATTGCACAACTAAATGTGAGTCTAGACTCACCCCTGTGACACAAAATGACATGCAACTTGAAACTTAAAAAAATACTTATTAAAATACTTATTATATACATTGTGGTGCATTGTAGGCAGCAGCTTTTAAATAAGAAGGTGGAATAAGAAAGTCCAAGACAGAAAGGATCTTTATATTCAGCTTCTTCATAAATGAAGCCAGTTCAGCCAAAGGATATTGTGCTCTACTTACGCTAGTAATGAACTTTAGATTTAAAGTCTAAGTTAAAAATTACTGTTAGAGAAAGTGAAAATACTTTTGTGGAGATTATTCTGTGGCTAACAAATAGGATTCATGGGGAAGGCCTATGGGAGCTGTGTGTTTGTAAAACCTGCAGAAGACAAGTCAGGAGGGCAACTTAATAACAGTTCAAGCGAAAACACAGGGATGTTTATGAGTGAGCTCTTCTGTCTCCGCTGAAGACAGAACGAGAATAGTTTATGCTACCACATGCACGGGTTCAGTTGACTATGAGGTAAGAATTTCCCAGTAGAATATTAAATATCAGGATGGCTTGAATTCCAATGCAAGCTGTGGTTTTACATCTTTCTACCATTTAAATGAAATCTCCTAAAAGATATTGAGCCAACCTCTTTCACACTTACTAGCCCAAGACCGTGGAAAAGTTACATCATTTCTATTGAGGGTCAGTTTCCTTACTCATAAAATGGGCTTAATGATAAGGTTAGAGGAGATTGCATGTACAGCCTATAGCACAGTTCCTGGTACAATAAAACTGCTTCAAAAATAATATCAAGGATGAAGATGAGAGCAAATGTTCATTAATTATTTACTACATGCTAACCACCGTTCTGAGCATTTAATGTGTTTTTTCATTTTAATTTCACAGTCATCGTGTGAGATAGATGCTTTTATTTCCACTTTACAGATGAGAAAACTAAGGCACAGAGAGATTAAGCAATTTGCCCCAAATCACAGGGCTAAGTGGCAAAGTTCTAATACGACCCAATTAGTCTGCCTCCACAGCATGTGCTCTAGTCTATAATATTAGCAACCGCTACATGTTTTTAAACAAAGAAATATTAGCTTCTTAATGTAATCAAAAATTGGCATAGTCTAGTGGTTCCCAGGCTTTCATAATCTTTTTTATTATTTTTCTTCCATGAGTTGAATGATTTTGTTTACTAAAATACTGTAATTATAAGTAATAATTAATTCATTTTTCATTGTTATTAATCGAAGACACGTGGAACGGAGGTCCTGATCAATAAGAGGTAATGGCATGATGTGAATTGATACAATTCCTGTCAAAGGCAAAGCATCTTGACGTTTTGGTTGGCTCATGCAGCTTGATTATTGCACAGCTTGCACCAGGCTTTCTGAAATACCTGTAATCATTAATTGGTCATCTTTCACCCAATATTAACTTCACAGAAGTTAATATTCTGTGATGAGTCATCTCTGATGTTGATCAATAAATTCCTTCTACTGAAATACCAGGATGTAGGTTTTTCCCCAGCAAATGATTCCTCCATATGATTACATGTGTTCTGAAGGCAGACAGATGGACTACATTAGCAGTTCTCAAATAGCGTGGTCAGCAGTCTTGGAAAAGTCTTTAGGGTCCAGGATGTATTTTCAAAATATATATTCCATTATGAAATGTTGAATCACTGGCTATAGCTGAGTGTGGAAGGGTTATCTGTAAGCTGGAGGCTAAGGTAGGCTGAAGAGATAAGGATCTGGGATGAGAAGTGTCGTGTGGGTGTGTGTGTGTGTGTGTGCGTGCGCGCGCATTCAGGGGGTAATGACGGGGTGAAACAAGCAATGGCGTGCTGGTAGACACCCTTTCGGGAAAAAAGAAAGCCCTGATTAATAGTGTTTGCCAATTTCCATGTGGTACATACTCCCACCATGGCTAATTTCAAGCTACCAACACTTTAACAAGTTATATTTTTATAATTATTTTGTTTTTAACAAACAGCTCTCCCAAGCCAATACAAGCCTGCTCTAACGAACCACTAGAAGTAAACAAACTTGTTTATCGTCAGTCTCAGGGTAAAGCCTGGAAATGCTACTAATGAAAATAGGTGTCTGATAGACCAAGTGAAGGAGAAAGTCAAGAAAACATAATTTCAAGAGGACTTTGAAGACTGAAGACTTACAGTCAGAAAATGATTCTGAGGCAAGAAGTCTACCAAGAGGAGAAATGTATGAAGGTTGCAATCCAGTTATCAAGTTGAGAATGAAAATCTTAAGTACAGGGCGTATTCTAGAAATCATGACTGAATAGACAAGGGAGGAGAAGAGAGGAAGATGCTGCAGTTCAAGCAGGGTAAGGAGCTCTTGCCCAGGAGTAGATGTGTTTCAACCAGATGAACTAATGACTAATTGTCCTGGCCCCTTTTCCACACTTACCTCTTGTGTAATATGCTTATCTCCCCCTCCCCAGGGGAACTGTAAGCATCTTTGGCAGTACTAGAAAGTACTGTTTACCAGGAATTAATAGACAAAGTAATCTGAGCCTGGTGTCAACAGCCTGGAAGGTCAATAAGGAGAAATCAAGCAATTGAACAATTATGTCGATAAACATAGCAATAGAAACATTTGAAGCAGACTGTGTTTGGAGGCCCAGGTGAGTGGTCAGCAGGCAGGCAGATGTAGAGAAATCTATCAGGAGATATCAAGTCAGAGAGATAAGACAGGACACTGGTTCAGGGAAAGAAGGAGGATATAATGAAAATGGCAAGTTTCTAAGCTGAATAATTCTGTTAGAGGCTGCTAGTTCCCCACCCAAAATCTACTGTTTCCTTTTTACTTAGAACCCTGGTTTCATTCTGTTAGCACAGCAAAGTTTGGCCATATGACTAATTTTTAGCCAATGAAATACAAGTGTAAGTTTCTAGATGGAAATCTCTGGAACGTTCTGTAAAAAGAGGACAAATGACTGCTTTATGCCTTTTGCCTGCTTTCCCCCTTTCTCCAGTTTTTTCCTTGGAAGACAACCCTGATGGCTGGAGCTTCAACAGACAATTTGGGCCAGGAGGCAAGCTTGAAAATGAAAACAAAGGCCAGGAGTGGTGGCTTACACCTGTAATCCCAGTGCTTTGGGAGACTGAGGCAGGAGGATCACTTGAGGCCAGGTTACAAAAAGTTAAATTAATTAGTTGGGTATGGTGGTGTGCACCTCTGGTCCTAGCCACTCAGGAGGCTGAGGCAAGAGGATTGCTTGCAGGACTTCGAGGCTATAATGAGCTGTGATTGCAGCACTACACTCCAGCCTGGGTGACAGAGCGAGACCCTGACAAGAGAGAAAGAAAGAAAGAGGGAGGGAGAGAAAGAAAGGAAAGAATGGGAGGAAGGGAGGAAGGAAGGAAGGAAGGAAGGAAGGGAGGGAGAAAATAGAAACCAGTGCTAAGGCTGGTGTTCCAGTAAGAACCCATCTTGGTCTCTGACTACTGAGGAGCCATTGAACAGTCTGGGACTATCTACTTTGGATGCTTTTTATGTGACAGAAAAACTTTTATTTAAACCACTGTTATTTCCTACTTTGGTTACAAGCAGCCAATTGGAATTCCTGTCTGATGTAGCCAGGTAACAAATCAGGCACTGAGGAATAGGAAGCAGAGAAGGGGATTATGTTTCAAGAATTCTAGTACAAGGCAGGGAGAAAGAAAGAAGCCTAGTTGCTAGGACCAGAACATAAGATGAAAACCACACTAGCAACACTCCTCAAAGCCTAGTTCACTGAAAGAGAGAGCTACTCAAATCCAAATCCAAAACGCTTCCACCAGCATTCTCTTTTCCCAATAAGCCACAGGCAGAACAGCCATGGCCTACAGAAAGCAGCCAAATGCCTGCAGCTGTGAGCAGGTGTAAGATGGCTGTAAGGGCCATCTCAGGGGAGGGGACCAGGTAGGTCATTATATCAAAGAGCGAATGAACTGCATCTGCAGCCATGGACATAAAGGAGCAAATATTTCAGAGATATTTTAGTGTCATTCTCATTGGGGAAATTAATAGCATCTGGCTAAGAAGCCTGGTGATCATACTCTAGGCCCTTCCTGTTCTAGCACTCTAAACTTCCCCCTCCTATCAGGACCAGATTCCTGGGTGCATGAAGATGACAGGAGAGGAAAGAGTGTAAAGAAGTGGAAGTGGTGGACAGGGACCACTCTTTCTGGCAACTTGAAGGGGAGAGGTGGAACTGGAAAGGAATAAGGGGCTCAGGGACTTGAGTGAAGGAGAAAGAGGATAATGGAGCGATGACTGCCATGCATTTTGATCAAAATTAGGAGACTATGATTGTGTTCACATGGGGGAAAAGAGAGCAGAGAATTGAGAGACAGAAGTCTAGACACATGAACATCATCTTTTCAATGCTCTGGTGTGCTGTAATGTCCTGTCTGAGAAGGAATAATTCAAATATCCAACTGTTTCTTTTCTGCTTCCTTTACAATAACCAACATGCAAAGCAAGAATATTAGTGTACCAGTGTTTGGCTTCCTCAATGCAGTGACACAAAAAGTGCTCTCACCAAGGCCACTGGAGACATAATTGCTAAATTCGATTGACACTGTTCACTCCTTATCTTTGGCATCCCTCCTGAGTCATTTGACACTGTCCTCCTTTTGAGAATGCTCTACTCCTTGTGCTGCTGCTCTGAGTTCCCATCCAAACTTTCCGCTTATTTCTTTTCAGTCTCAGACTGGCTTATCTTCCCTCTCCTGCCTCTTGAATGTTGGTGTTTCTAGTGTCTGTCCTCAGTTCTTTCCACTTCTCAATCTAGAATCTATTTCTAGGCATATCTTTCATGCAAGTTATTTCATTAACTCTGTATCCCTGTAACTCTAATGTCTATATTTTCAGATCAAAAATCTGTCCTGAGCTCTAAACTTCTATATCCTAAATCTACACACACACAGCTCCAGTCCCACAAGTCCAAAATTTGAGCCCTCCGAACTCTGAAAGCCTTTGAAGGTTAGGAGTTACATTTCATATCTTCTTAAAGAATAGCTTCAGTGCTTGGGAACATTCAGGAAATATTGTCAAATTACAACATGGCTGGATATTTTCAAAAAATATATACTTAAATTTCATTTATTTAATATTTTATAGAAGTATAATTGACTAACAATAAATTGCACATATTTAAAGTGTACAATTGCATAAGTGTTGACATATATATATGCCTTTTAAACTTTCATCACAGTCAAGATAGGGAACATAGTTATAACCCCTAAAAGTTTTCTCTTTGTGTCCCTTTGTAATCCCATCCTCATTTACTTCCCTCCCGATCCGGAGACCTTCCCTCACCCAACATTCTGCCAGGTAACCACTGATCTAGTTTCCGTCAGGGTAGATTAATTTCAATTTTATAAAATTTTATATAAATGGACTCATTTTATATGTTCTTTTTGGGGAGGGGACTGGCTTCTTTTACTCTGCATAATTATTTTAAGAATTATCCACATTGCTTTAGGTATCAATAGTTCATTCCTTTTTATTGCTAAGTAGTATGCTATTGTAATGGCATACCACACTTTATTTATTCATTCACCTGTGGATGGAGACATGTGTTGTTTCCAGTTTTTAGCTATTATAAACAAAGCTGCTGTATCTGCAGAAAAGTCTTTGTGGGAACATATGCTTTCCCTGTGCTTGGGTAAATTAAGAATGGAATGATTGGATTATATGGTAGGTATATGTTTAACTTTATAAGAAACTTTTTCCACAGTTCAACTATTTTACATTCACACGGCATTCTATGAGCGTTTTGTTCCTCTACATCCTCACCGACACTTGATATGGTCAGTCATTTTAATCATTCTAAATAGGTGTAAAGTGGTAACTCATAGGAGCTTTAATTAGCATTTTCCTAGTGACTAATTACTAATTATGCTGAGGATATTTCTATATGCTTAAATGTCATCCGTATCTAACTCTGAATTGGTACATTAGAGAATCTTCAGGGTTATTCATGAACCATCTTTTCTGTATAAATATCTTCTCTGGTGAAATGTCTGTTCATTTCTTTTGCCCATTTAAAAAATGTGTTATTTTCTTATTACTGAGTTTTGAGAGTTCTTTATATATTCAGAATACAGGTTTTCT
This sequence comes from Homo sapiens, assembly GCF_000001405.40. Classification (NCBI taxonomy): domain Eukaryota; kingdom Metazoa; phylum Chordata; class Mammalia; order Primates; family Hominidae; genus Homo; species Homo sapiens. The sequence continues at coordinate 200,292,584 of NC_000002.12, read as the reverse complement.
ATCAGATATATGATTTATGAATATTTTCTCCCAGTCTGTGGCTTGTGTGTTCATTCTTTTAACTGTGTCTTTTGAAAAGCAGAAGTTTTAAATTTTAATGGAGTCAAATTTGTTCTTTTATGGATTGTGCTTTTGGTATCTTATCCAAGAAATCCTTGCCAACCAAAGGTCACAAATACTTTCTTCTATGTTTGTTTCCAGATATTTTATAATTTTAGATTTTATATTTAGGTCTACAATCCATTTTGAGTTATATTTTATATATGGTAGCAGTTATGAAGTGTTTTTTTGTATATGGACATTTAATTTGTTGAAACATATATTTTAAAAATTATAAGAAAGTCTCTTCTTGCTGTGAATAGGTAGAGGCTTTACTTTAAAATTTTTAAAGATTAATATGCCAACAGCCCAAACGAATTGCTTGCCTAATTCTTTTTTGTTTTTGTTTTTGTTCTTTTGAGACGGAGTCTCGCTCTGTCGCCCAGGCTGGAGTGTAGTGGAACGATCTCGGCTCACCGCAAGCTCCGCCTCCCAGGTCCACGCCATTCTCCTGCCTCAGCCCCCCTAGTAGCTGGGACTATAGGTGCCCGCCACCACGCCCGGCTAATTTTCTTTTTTTTTTCTTTCTTTTTTTTTTTTTTTTTTGTATTTTTAGTAGAGACGGGGTTTCACCGTGTTAGGCAGGATGGTCTCCATCTCCTGACCTCGTGATCCACCCGCCTCGGCCTCACAAAGTGCTCAGATTACAGGCGTGAGCCACCGCGCCCGGCCACTTAATTCTTAAAAATACATTCTTTACTTATTCTAATTTTGAAGTGTCTCATTAACTTTCTTATTTTTATAGTAGAGGAATAAGTCAACACCCTTGCTTTTCTGCTCCGATGGTTTACTGTCTTATCCAATTTGAGTTCTATAAGCTTGCTTTGATCCAGATAGCTCCTGGGCGTTCAGTAGGGTTGTGGGGAGGAGGAATGGGAGGCAGGGTAGGTATGAACTATGGATGAACGTGCCTAATTGACACCTTAGAATGCTCCTAACTCTAAATTCATACATTAGGGAAAATTCAGGGTTATTTCATGAAGCATCTTTTCTGTATAAATTTTGGCCCTAGCAAGAATAGAATACCTTTAACAATATGTGTATATCTGTGTGATTTAGTAGGAAGTTGAAAGAGGATGGCTGATTACAGATCTTTTTAATTTCAATTTATTAAAGAGAGAATTCCTGGATTAGATTTATGTTCCTTCCTTGGAGTGGCCCACCAGAATTTAAACGAAAATGTCTCAGGTAACTGGAGTCGTCTGAGAAGTCCTGAAGCCATTCTTAGGCCAGGGATAGCAAATGGACATTCTCAGCCTGCTCAGTTCAGCCCAGGGACAACTTATTATTGGCAGTGGGAAGTATCCACTTGGCAATTTTTTGGGGGAGGTTGTAGGGGCAGAGTCTTGCTCTGTCACTCAGGCTGGAGTGCAGTGGCACAAACACAGTTCATTGCAGCCTGGACCTCCTGGGCTCAAGCAATCCTCTCACCTCAGCCTCCCCAGTAGCTGGGACTGTAGGCATGAGCCACCATGCCTGGCTGATTTTCTGTAGAGATGGGGTTTCACCAGGTTGCCCAGACTGGTCTCAAACTCCTGAACTCAAGCGATCCTCCCACCTCAGCCTCCCAAAATTCTGGGATTACAGGCGTGAACCAGGATGCCCAGCCCACACTTGGCAAATTTTTTAATGAGATACATTTGCCATTAACCTCCCAATTCTCTTTTTCTTCACTTCCTTTTCTGGTGGTTTCTTCTTCTTAGGTAGCCAAGCTCTCATGCTTTCACCCTTCCTCAAATCTGCCCAGGAATGATGATTATGTCTGAAAGTATCATCTTAACATGTTAGTGGAGGGCCAAGGCTTACTTTCTAATAGTGGAATGCCAGGGCTCAATAAAACAATGCTTGCAGAGGTCTGTTTTTGGGTAGCTATTTAGGCTAAGAACTGAATACATATGGACATATGTGTTGTTTCTAAGCATCCATTCTCTATCTCGTTCTCTACAGCCACCAACATCTTTGGGTACCCATATACTTTTATAAAAGCTGAGCCCACATTTAGCTTCAGGTGTGGAATATTGACAAATTAGCTCCTTCAATGTTCCTAGCCTCTGAGATTGATTCATGGATGGGGAATGTGACCTAAATTGGTTTGATGAGAGTGCATCTCAAGACTAGTTCAGAAACTATCAGAAATTTATTCTCTACCCCTCCAAACAGTGGATTGTAAAATTGTAAGGGCTGAAACTGCTGCCACAAGAGGAGAGCATCTATTTGGAACTTGGAAATGAAGCCAACACTGCAGATGGCAGAAAGGATAGACAGTGAGAAAAGTCCTTGGTGATATCATTGAATTGCCAGGTCAAACTTTGGTGGAATACTTCAAGACCGTTCAATTGTGTGATGCAGTAAGTTTCCCTTTTTAAAAATGCCTTGTCACTTAACTGAAAGAAAAAACTGGGCTTTTTAAGGTTACAAGGAACTGAGATAGTTTCTGGTCTCCTCAGGTTTATCAGGATATATCAGAAAGTCTCAGCAAGTCTCATGAAAAATTGAAAATTGATTCAAGAAACAGTTGAGGGCCAGGTGCTGTGGCTCATGCCTGTAATCCCAGCAGTGTGGGAGGCTGAGGCGGGTGAATCACTTGAGGTCAGGAGTTCAAGACCAGCCAGGCCAACATGGTAAAACCCTATCTCTACTAAACATACAAAAAATTAGCCAGGCATGGTGGTGCATGCCTGTAGTCCCAGTTACTCAGGAGGTTGAGGCAGAAGAATAGCTTGAAGCCAGGAGGCGGAAGTTCCAGTGAGCTGAGATCATGCCACTGCACTCCAGCCTGGGCAACAGAGCTAGACTCTGTCTCAAGAAAAAAAAAAAAAAGTTTGAGATTTAGCAAATCTATTTTGTATTAATCTCTTCAGAAGTTAGCGTCTAATCTTACTCCAGTGCTCTAATACGTTGGCAATTTAACTGCTGTCTTCTCTAAATGCTACTAGTTACCTGGCTGTCTTACACTCTCTCACATCCAAATTTTAGTTTAGTCAGTCAGTTAAAATTCCAGGGCAACACGTGTGCTTGACAATCCCTCTAAAACCTTGTTGGCAAACATAGATATCTGCCTGCTTAATTCCACTCTGGATATTCCTAGGATAAGGAGATCAATGATAAAAACGCATGGTAATGAGGGATAAGGAAGTCTTCAGCAGCAGGCAAGAAGTGTGGAAGTCACTCAAGAGCTTTCTTAGAAGGGAGTCTACTAGGCACCGTGTATATATCCTGTCCAAGACAGTATGCTTTCTGGAATCCCTATACTTACAATGAGAAGCATGAGAAGACTGAAGGATCTAGGAAGCTGAGTCAACAGGGATCTGAACATGTGTCTATAGGAACTACTGGAATGAACCTGTTGGCAGTTCCTATGTAATCATGTAATAAAAATGCTAAAAGGTGATTTTGGCAAATATAACATGAGACTCTAAATGTCAAGGTGATGTGTGTGGGGTCCCTACAGTGTCTCCTGCAATCATATCAACCGGCTTCCTTTCCTTTGGCTTCTGGTTGGATTCTGCCAAGAGAGAAACCTGGTGAGAAATGGGAGAGATGGAGGAGAATGCTGTTAGACTGTTTATTTCCCTGGCTCTCTTCCTACTGGATTGCCTCAGGCTGGCTGACGCAACCTTGACCAGATCACATTCTGAAGATCACAACCATGTGTGCTGCAAAAGTCTCTCCTTCTAGGTTGTGGTAGCCTCTCCTTGCCCTCTGCTGTTACCAGCTCTGTTCTGGCACCATCTCTATTGGTTCTCCTATAACCTGATTACAACCTAATAAACAGTGCCCTTCTTTTTGGCCAAGTCTAATTTATCGTTTTCCCCAAATCAGTTACTGCTTCTGTGTCCTAAAAAAATGTTGCCATCTCACACCAGTCAGAATGGCTATTATTAAAAAGTCAAAAAATAACAGATGTTGTTGAGGTTGTGGAGAATAAGGAATGCTTATACACTGTTAGTGGGAGTGTAAATTAGTTCAACCATTGTGGAAGACAGTGTGGTGATTTCTCAAAGACCTAAAAACAGAATACCATTCAACCCTGCAATCCCATTGCTTGGTATATACCCAAAGGAATATAAATCATTCCATTATAAAGACACATGTGCGTGTATGTTCACTGCAGCACTATTCACAATAGCAAAGACATGGAATCAACCCAAATGCCCATCAATGATAGACTGGATAAAGAAAATGTGGTACATATACACCATGGAATACTATGCAGCCATAAAAAAGAATGGGGTAATGTCCTTTGCAGGGACACGGATGGAGCTGGAAGCCATTATCCTTAGTAAATTAATGTAGGAACAGAAAACTAAATACTGCATGTTCTTACTTAGAAGTGGGAGCTAAATGATGAGAACACATGGGCACACAGAGGGGAACAACACACTTTAGGGCCTATCAGAGGGTGGAGGGTGGAAGAGGTAGAGGATCAGGAAAAATAACTAATGGGTATCAGGGTGAAGACCTGGGTGATGAAATAATCTGTACAACAAAACCCCATGACACAAGTTTACCTATGTACCTGCACATGTACCCCTGAGCTTAAAATAAAAGTTAAAAAAAAATGATGTTGCTTGTCTCCAAGTCATAAAGCTATTCGCCTAAGTTCTCTTCTAAAAGAGTTATGGTTTCAGATTTATATTTAAGTCTCTGTTCATTGCAAATTAATTGTTGTGTACAGTGTGAGCTATGGGTCAAAGACTCTTCTCCCCCATATGGATATCCAGTTATTCCAGTGCCGTTTATTGAAAAGACTCCTTTCACTTTTAAATTGATGTTATTGATGTGGTTAGATTTATTTCTACCATTTTGGTATTCTTTTCTGTTTGTCCCCTCTGTTGATTTGTTTATTCTTCTTTTATGCCTTTTTTGGGATCAACTGAATGTATTTTAGAATTCCATTTCAATCTATCAATAGGCTGTTTAGCTATACCTCTTAGCATCATACATTTTATTAATTGCTCCAAGAATGACAATATCTATGCTTAACTTTTTATGGTCCACTTAGAGATATTACTTACTATTTTGTGTAAAATGTAGAAAGCTCACATTTATAGAGGTTCATTTACCTCATTTGTCCTTTATGCTATCGTTGCCTTATTTACTGCATCTCCATATATTATAAATCTAAACTGCATGCTTTTTAAAAGTTGGGGAAAAAAGAGATTTTAATAAATACCCAGCTCTTTACCATTTTCAATGCTTTTTATCGCTTAAGTTTCCATCTAGTGTCATTTCCCTCCAGCCTAAATAATGTTCTATTTCTTTTAGTACAGGTCTTGTGATGATAAAGCTTCTTACTAGTTTCTTTTTGAAAAATCTGTATTTAGTCTTTATTTCCTCATTATTCTTGAAGGATATTGTCTCTGGCTATGCTCTTTTTTCCTCTCAGCACTTTAAATATGTCATTCCACTGCCTTTTGGCCTCCTTTGTTTCAAATAAGGAGTTAATGATAACTCCTATATAATGAGACAGTATATAGTTTTTCTCAGACTGCTTTGAAGATTTTTTCTTTGTTTTTAGCAGTTTTATCATGTGGTAGGCATGATTTTCTTCATATTTATCCCACTTGAGTTTTGCTAAGCCTCTTCAATCTATGAATGTATAACTTTTACAATTTAGAAAACTTTTGGTCATAATTTCTCCAAATATTCTCGTCTTCCCCATTCTTTTTTCACTGTTCTTCTGGGACTCCAATCATAAATGTGTTAGGCATTTTGATACTGTCTCTCAGGTTCCTGAGTATGTGTCTTTTAGTCAATCTTCCTTTCTCTCTCTCTCTCCCTCATCTTTTTCTTCTTCTTTTTTTTTTTTTTGTAAGGGTTAATCTGTCACCCAGGCTGGAGTGCAGTGGCATGATCATGGCTCACTGCAGTTTCCACCTGCCAGGCTCAAGCAATCCTCCCACTTCAGCCTTCTGAGTAGCTGGGAGTACAGGCATGCACCACCACACCCAGCTAATTTTTGTTTGTTTGTTTTCTGTAGGAAGAGTCTCACCATGTTGCCATGGCTGGTCTCGAACTCCTGAGCTCAAGCAGGCCTCCCACCTCAGTCTCCCAAAGTGCTGGGATGTGAGCCACCATGCCCAGCCTGCCTATTCTTTAGATCAGATAGTTTCTTTTTTTTTTTTTGAGACGGAGTCTCGCTCTGTCACCCAGGCTGGAGTGCAGTGGCGCGATCTCGGCTCACTGCAAGCTGCACCTCCTGGGTTAGATCAGATACTTTCTATTAATCTAAAAATTCTCTCTTTCCTCAGTCAAACTTATGCTCCATCGAGTGAATTTTTTATTTCAAGAATTTTACCTTTCAGTTTTAGAATTTCTATTTGCCCTTTTTATAGTTTCTGCTTTTCTGCTGAAATTTCCTATCTTTTAATTCATTTTGATTATATTTTCCTGTATCTCACTGACTGTTGTTTAATAGTTGCTTTAAAACTCTTGTCCTCTTGTTTGCTAATTCTAATGTTTAATCACTTTGGGTTTGGTTCATGTTGACTGGCGTTTCTCTCCAGAATGGGCCATAATTTACTAGTTTTTATGTGTCGGATATCTTAGATTATACCCTAGATATCATGATTATTATGCTGTAGAAATTGAATTGTGTTAAATTCCTCTGAAGAGTGTTTTTCTTTTCTCATTTGGATTTAGTCAGGCAATTAATTTGGTTAGACTCAAACTTCACACTCTGTTTCTTGAGTGGTAGATCAAATCTCAGTCCAGTTCTTTTATCCTTATCTAAACTTCAGGGGTCAGGCAAAGATGTATGTAGTTATTTGGATCTCCATCTCTCTAAATACTTTCTGGGATAATTCTTTTACTTTCTTACAGCTGAATTCTGCCACTTTTTGTCTTCTGCTTCTCCAGGGCAGAACAACTGGATTTTCTATCAGAGTTCTAGCTGCTCTGCATGGTGCCAACTGCAGCCAATCCCTGGACTAAAGCCATAAAGGTGGGAAGCTCACCCCATACCACCTGCTTGTTCCTTGTGCTACACCCTTCCAAAATCTGCCTTTTTTTGTTCACTCTCTATGCCTTCGGATTGTCGTGTTATTATATTTTTCCTAAATTTTGTAGTTTTTATCTATGGTTTAACAGGAGCTTATTCAGCCATTCCTAGAAGCAGAACCTCTTGATTCTATAAATTTTTGGAGTTTTTTCTCTCACAGGACAGGCAATATCTGGATTCCTGCTACAAGAAGTGGGTCACCATGAAATTTACCCACCTAATGATGTTTTGCATATTCTGTGTTGATCTTCATCATTTCCTCTCAAAGCCGTCCAAGTATTCTGTTACTGCTTAGTAAAGCCATTTCATTCTCCAAGGTGTACTTCCCAGTTTGCAATTTTATGGGCATCCTATTTATGGCTTTAGAGAATGCTGTTCAGTACTTATTGCCTCTGAAATCTCTCAAGGGATGCCATTCCAGTTTGCCCTCTGAGATTTTCATTCTTTCTCTTTTACATTTCTTTTGAGCCCCATTTGCCTTTCAAGGAGCAGTAATGACTAAAACTTCACCCTGTCTTATACTTCCGTATTTATGAGCAGTTAGACTCAGTTGCATATCCCTCTCCATATTGGGTAGATTAAGTTTGGCCTCCAGTATCTCATTTTTCTCTTCACAGTTTTCTAGCCTGACCACTAAGATCACATTTCTCCCAAGAAAATTTCTTTCTCCCTCCAGCTTAATCAGTTTGTATTTCTTTATTTTTCTTTTACTCCATTGCTGCTCCTATTCTGCAAGTCAAAAACATATTTTAATATTATATTTTATTTTTGTAAAATAAATACATGTACATACATCAAACCATCAAATATTACTACAAAGTTTTAACAAACACCAGTTGTTCCTTGGCCACCTGTTTCTCTATCCCTATCCCAAAGCCCCGCACCAGAGGCAATCACTTTGAATTGTTTTACCTGATTTTTCTGGCATTATCCTCCATATTTTTAAATAACATGATTAGGTTGTTATAGATATTTACTGATTCTTTTGCCCTATATGTTCTTCTGGCATGGTCTGGGTGAACCCAGAGAAGACCCTAAATTGAGGACTTGAGTAAAATAGCTTATTTAGATGGGAATCCTTAGAAGTACAGGTAGGGCAATGAGAAGTGAGACAGGGAAGGAGATGAAGCCTAATAAAGACTATGATATCAAGCATTGCCACTGTGGACAATTGAAGCTTGGTCATACTGGTGAACTCTTGGAAATGGGTAGAACATGACTTGGAATAACCTGTGAGGGGCAAGGAGTTGTGGTGGCTATCCTCCAACTCCTATCAGTCATTGGTTGAGGAGTGCTTTCAGAATTCACTACCCATCAGGGACCTTTAGCTGCTCCGTGTACAGGTCAAGTCCATTACACTGGCTTAGGAAATCCATCAAGTAAAGAGTTGCAGGTGCTTTCAGTTAGAAGCCATTGAGTAGGCATGAATGTCAATGGGCAGTGCCAAGGTGATACGTGGGGGAGCCTTCATCATATATTGTACAACTATATCAATGGGTTCCTTTACCCTTGGCTTCTGGCTGGATTCAGCCAATAGGAAGCCCTGGTGGGAGAAGACAGGAATGAAAAAGAGTGGCACTAGGGTATTTATTTTCCTGACTTTCTTCCTGTATGATTGCCCCAGGCTAGCTGTGTCCCTTGATCAATGGTCACTGCTCTACATTCTGAAGCTCACAGCTCCTCTCAAGGTGACCTTTCTATAGATTCTCTATTTCGAGGCCCTGGTAATCTCTCCCTATCCTCTACTGTCACCAGCTCTGTCCTGGTGTTATCCTTTGTCCTTTTGCTACACTCTGCTCCCATCTTTGTCAACGGTCCCTTTGAAAATATACCCTTCTCAAATTCTTCTAATTGGAGTGTGCCATCTTTTTCTTGTTGAGACCCTGATGGAAGAATGCAGCTTGAAACAGCAACCAAATTGTTCTGAACTAGGTTAGCCACCCAGCTACCACCATAAAACTATGGACTCTCTCCCATGGAGGGCAAACCCCTTCTTGGAAAATGAGGAGAATGTTTATTTCCCCAGGGGCTAGTCATATCAAAAGCAGAAAGGACTAAGCTAGAAGCAGTTCAGTTCCTTTCTCCAAATTCACATATACATTATTCCTTCCTTGGGGAGGAGTAGTGAGGTGGAATGAGGACAGACACTCTCTTCCCATTACTTTCAAAAAAGTGGATTTTCCCACTCTACAGGCCATGGAGGAAACGCTGTGAGGAGCAGATAATGGCCTCTACAATTTAGTCGAGCTGAGCTTAGGCAAACTTGCTCGCCTGCTGCCCTCACACTCACTGGACTGTGGGTTTGTGTCGGATGTCATAACCTCACAACAAACTAAAGTGTCTGTGAAGTGGAGATTTAGAGAAGCAGAGATAAATTAGAAAAGTGAATTGCAAAAAAAAAAAAAAAAAAAAGAAAAGTGAATTGCTCATGGTGTGTGACATAGTAAAATAACAAAGATATTCCTATCACAAAAGGGAATGCTTGGCCAGGCGTGGTAGCCCACACCTGTAATCCCAACACTTTGGGTGGCCGAGGCAGAAGGATTGCTTGAGCCCAGAAGTTCGAAACCAGCCTGGGCAATGTAATTAGATCCATATCTACAAAAAAACAAAAACAAAAATTTAACTGGGTGTGGTAGCATGTTTTTGTAGTCCAAGCTATTTGGGAGGCTGAGCTGGGAGGATCGCTGGAACCTGGGGGTTGAGGCTGTAGTGAGCTGTGATCACAGCACTGCACTTCAGCCTGGGTGACAGAGCAAGGCACCGTCTCAAAAAAAAAAAAAAAAAAAAAGGCAGTGTGGCGGGGGGGTGTGGTGTGCAGGGGGTGGGAATGCATGCAATCTGTATTCTTATAATTGCTGGCATTTTTAATTTCTTTTTTTTTTTTTGGATGTCCTCAGAGCTTACCAGCCTGTGAGCGTGAAAGAGGTTATGTTATTAATAATATTGGGCAAGCTTTATATTCCCACCTGCATTGCCCTGAGATCTTAGCTCCATCCCCCATTGGAGTCTCCTTGAAGGTCCCCTCCACCCTGGAGACCCCAGTTGGTGTCTCATGGTGACTCAGTTCTTCTGACCCTGCCTTTGTGAGGGAAACAGTTATTTGCCAGGCACTCAAAGGAAGCATCTTTACACTTCCTTTGCTGCTAGGATCCTCACTGATGGTGCCTTGGCACTGTCTCCTGATGCTGCCAGGGGCCTGTTCCACCAGAGTCACTGAGTGTTCTGTGTAGAAATAAGTAGAATGATAGTGTGATCTTCTCCCCAACTTTGTGATGCTCTTTGTCTCCTGGATCCCACATAGTACTATATGAACTTCAATTCTTCCCAAAACCCTGACTTCCAAAGCTGATCTCAGATTCTCTTTTTAGATACACGTTCTGACCCCAAATCAGCTTGATTAGATGGGCTATAATAACATTCCTGGATATGGAAAATCTCCAAAATCTAATGGCCAAATCAATACTATTTCCTGCCCTTCTCTGCCTCTTTTCCTCCCACCCCTACTCCTGGAACAATATATTCACCACTCAAGGATGCAGTGGACAGTTGTGCAGGTTGTAGACTATGTGAGTAACAGCCTCTAGAACTGCACAACTCATAATCATGCCAACTGGCCCTGTTAGTATTAAAGCCATTATTGCTGACCTGCTGGCCTTGTGGCTTTAGCAATCTATTCTTTTATTAGGCACTACATTAAATAAATAACTTAAAACATTTAAAATAAGTAAATGATCAACATAACCAGTAGCTTATAACCTGTATTACTCAAAAGAGTAGACCTTGGACTGGCAGCAGGAGCATCACCTGAGAACTTGTAAAAATGCAAACTCTGGGTCTCATAGAGCCTTCCTAAATCAGAATCTTTGGAGTTTGTGCCTGAAAGTCTGTGGTTTAACAATCTCTATAGGCGATTCTTCACAGGTTCACGTTAGAAGTACTGGTCTACAATCTACACAATCTCTTGAGTTTGGCTAAGCAAACAGGAGTTGAATGTAGGTGAGATATAACAAAAGTAAATAATAATGTATAATTATAATACATTAACATATGTATTACATATGTATTATATAAATGTAATAATGTGTCGCTGATGCTTCCAATTAGACCTCTTGGAAAAGGGGGCTGACAGGGATTCAAGATCTGTTACTGGGAATGTTCTTATCTTGTCCAGCCTCTAACAACCATATCACCTGTAAACAGGGAATGGGGATAATGACAGAGAACTTACTGGGCTGTTGTGCAAATCAAATGAGAAACTAGTGTGATGGTTCTATGCTCCCAAATGTTTATAATTGTTATTAATAATATGACTCTTTTAAGTCACTTGAGTACCATTTATTAAATTTCCACTTTAGGGAACTAAAATAGTATATGGCAACTCCCGAAAATGCTTTTATCCATGTTTTTCTACTCATGCATAATTGAAGAATGCCTTATTACACTATACCTTCTACAAATTGCTCCTGGAAGGGGCAAGGCTTTCTTTCTTTTTTTTTAACGATGGATTTTTAAAATCTTTTGTATTAGTGACTATTCATTGTGAATCAGAATAAAAGACATTTTTGCCCCTCCAGTAATTTATATTTGATGATCACATGCTCGGACAATTTCAGTACACTTTAGAGGTACAAATGGGTCCTTTTAAGTGCTATTATTTTAAAAAATTGCTATTTTTGCTACAGATTCATTAACAATTAAAAACTTGAATTAGAAGTAACCTAAAAATGTCTTACTTTATGTCAATGAAGTCTGTTAAATACAAATGAAATTCATTTTTGCAACACTCAATGAAGAACATATCACACCTAATGCAAATCTGTTCTCAGATTTTTTAGAAAATAATCTGAACAAAGAGGAACTAAGTAAAATGTAATTTTAATATCATACTAACATGACAGAATAGGAGAAATAGAAGGTCAAAATGCTGCACTCATTTTTAGTTAATTAAGGTAAGCCCAGGAGGTTTCATTTTAATTATACACCAGAGGTGATATCTTCAAGGAGTTCAAATAAATGCTCATTATCAATTTGAACTTAAAGTAGGCTTTGGAAAATATCTGCATAAATTCAGTAAAATCATCACACTTCTGTTAAATCCACAAAGTTCATTGGTAGTTTTCCTTTGCTTTGCTCTAAGCTTTTTGCCCATAATAAAAGGAGAGACTATATATGACAGGACCTAGCACACAAGTTGGCACATATATACATAATAAATGTTAGTTTCCTTTCTTTCCTTGCCCTTTATTAAACTTAAAGAGACTTATTAAATTTCTGGTCACATATTCATCTAGGATTTTTTTTAACCATTTTTCAAACAGCAAGTAAATATCCTTGGAAAATGGAATTAAAACTCTAGGGAATATTAGAGCTATTTGAAGACAAAATCTTTCAAGTACTATTAAGTGCTTAAAGTATTGCATAATCACACATATTAATAGTAAACATTTCAACATGAGAAGGATTTTGTATGTGTTGCTGATGCTTACATTTTTAACTACTATTTTCAGGGATTACAAATTCAGTCATAGAATTTAATTCAAAGGAAAACTAGGAACCTCAGATGATAGATGACCAAGTCAAAAGGAATTCATATTTAAAATAAAAGCAAAAAAATTCTTTAAATGTTTTTAGATCACTGGAAGAAATTCAAAATCAGAAATATATTTTGAAATGAATAATCCTGCAGTAATAGAATTCTCAATATTTTATTTCTTACAATCAAAATTTGTAGATTTACGTATAAAATAGTATAATGACTCAATTGTATAAATCTACAAGTTAAAATCAATGTTATCATTATGCACGGCATTTGTTACATATTAATTACATTGTTTGGAGTGTGTGATGTGTGTGTGTGTGTGTGTGTGTGTGTACGTGTTCACGACACAAATGGACTAAAGAATGTTTAACTTTTCTAAATTCAGAAATGCAGGGCCAATTTTATCCCCTTCCAACTTGAAATTAGGGGTCTCAAAGATTCCAGACTGGAATACAGGAAATGAAAGTCCCTGCAATGCCCACAGAATAGGTACCAGATGGAGAGCAGGGTTACCCAGTATTTGGGACAAGGCAGCCCAGAAGATTATATCCTAGGAAACAACAAAATGAAAGTAACTGAACCATAAAGTACATGTTGTGGCTCATTTATGTAGCCAAATGCACAAGAACTGTCTTGCCTTCTCTGTTTAACCATTTAGGGTAGAATCTTAAACAAGGCAATAAAGGACTTTAGATCAATCTAGTTTGATCTCTTTATTGTACAAATGAGGCTCAGAAAGATTAAGTGACTCATTCATATCACAAAGAGTAAGTGGAAGAACAGAGTCTTGAACTCTAAGTTCTCAGCCGAGTGCTTTCCCCACTATAGCCAAGGCCTTTCTCCAGTATTAATTACCAGCATCACAAATGCTGTGTGAAGGCTGAAGTCAAAGCTTGACTCTGACTTTGTGGGTACAATCAGGGAGGGACTCCAGTCTTGCCCAGACCTGCCTTGAAGTTTGGTCCTGCACAAGTGGGAAGCCCTAAGGAATCTCTGGAATGAAGGAACACACACCTTCAAGAGTGATTATGGGGTACGTGAAGATGCACCCAAAAAGGCAGACTGGAACCACATCATAGGGTCGTCTATATCCAGGCTACTAAATCTGGAAGTTATTTGGCATGCCAAGGCACGTCCCTCCCGATGCCCGGAACAGTGTAGGTATTAATGTTTGTTATATGAATAATGAGCTGTTGATAGTTTTGAGCTGGTTCTGGGCTGTGTTCTTATCAGACATGTACTGCAGGCTGCTAGATCTTTGACTGAGGCTCAAGGAGGCTGGTGGTTGGGAGAGTAGATGAATCACAAGGATGAAAAAGAGTCTACAGTAAGTTCTAAAATTTTAACATATATAAATATACTTTTAATAGCCTTATTGGTGCATAATTAGACTTTTTAATAAAAGGATTGCTCATAGGTGAATCCAACATATTTAAGTTTAAGCGAAAGAAGCCAGACACACAAAACTTGGCTCAGTGCAGCTCTTCTAGCAAGCAGACACCAATAGATAATTGAAGGCCAAGAGATACCTTACAAAAAATAACGGAGAGAGGAAGTAGATACAGGCAGGGAGAGCCATCATGCAGCAATACCAGTCAGACACCTATGAAAGGAGAGTGGGGAAGAAGAAGGGAGGAGGAAGGAGGGTTAGGTAGGAGGCATCTTAGACTGGAGGACATCTCTGAGAAAGACTTGGCCAAGCTGATGGGGATCCCTAGAGCAAAGATTGCCCACAGGGGGATCCCATGTTGGCCGGCAATAGCTTGGCTTTGGTGCCTTTACCATGCCCAGTCATTGGCTGGGGGCAACCTAGGAAGAGTGTGGTTTTGGTGGAATTCTGCAATGGATCCCGATAGTGCAATAGCTAAAGGCCATGGGCTCACTGCACTGTTTGCTGCAGGTTTTCTCCTGAAGGGACATCTGAGTGGCACACATCCATGACAACTGTAACAGTGTTTGACTCCATCTTCATGAAGTTAAAAAACAGGCAAGTCAAGATAGTGGTTACCTTTAGGGAGAGGTCATAGCTGGAAGGGGATACAAAAGGGGCTTCTAGGGTACTGATAATGTTCTATCTTTTAATGTGGTTGCTGGCTACACATCAGGTATGTTTGCTTTGTGAAAAATTCATTGAGCTGTAGACTTATGATTGTGCATTTTTCTGTTAGGTAATATTAATGCCAAAAGATAAAATAAAAAGATTGCTTACCAAGTTCAAAAGAAAATAATATTGAAGAGTTTACTGTAGTAGAAAATATCAAAAATTTGTTAGAAATTCAAATAATTTACTTTAAATATAATAAAAATATAGACTAAAATGGAACAGTGTGGACCAAGAGAGGTCACAGGGGCAAGGCTGATACATTCTGGCAAGTTTGTAAGGCTTCTTAGTTGGAGGCAAGGGCGGTGGGGGATTAGAGTAGGGAGAGGGACCTGTGAATAGAGGCCAGTGGTGGTGGGTTGAGCTGGGCAAAGGTTACCATAAAAGAATGATCAGGCAGGGTGTGGAGTCCCAGCAGACAAAACAGCATTAGCAACCAGAAAGCCAAGTTGGACAAGACAACAAAGATGCATTTTGGAATCAACTCTTTGCATGCAAATATTTAGCACACACCTTGTCAGCTACAGGAGAGAAACATGTCAATATGTAGACTGGGGGCGTCAAGCAGAATTATTTGACCATGAGGTTGGATTTCAGGTCCAAGGCTGGTTATCAGGTAAATGGATGAGCCTACTGACCCATCAATTCTGTTGGCTTTCTGCTCATCACTGTAAAAGAGATTAAGCTTTAGAAACGTGGAAAAGGTGGTTCACTTGTGGTATGAAAATATCCATCGTTTATGTGTGACTCTGAGTAAAAAATATGACTCAGGAGAAAAGTGAGAGGACTGTAAAATTCATGGAAGGGCTATTTGCAGAAAAGGAAATTTCTAATTGCTCGACTTTAAGTAAATTTTTGATTTTCACTGTAAATTCTTAAGTTCATGGTTTACTGAAATAAATCCTTATATTTGTTCAGTACATTACCTATTTTACATCTTTTTTGCATGTATGTTTTCTTTAGATCTTCGGATCAGCTGTGATGTCTGCAGAATGGATTTAGTTTCTCCCATAATTTAAAAAATATAGGGTTACATTAGTCAGTGTTCTCCAGAAAACAGAATCAATACTGGTGGTGGGGGGAGAGATTTTAAGGGATTGGTTCATGTGCTTCTGAAGGTTAGCAAGTCCAAAATCTGCAATGTGGGCTGGCACTCTGGAGACTGAGGAATGGGCTGATGTTGCAGTTCAAAGTCCAAAGGCTGGCCATCTGCTGCAGAATTCACTCTTAAGCGGGTAAGTTAGCCTTTTTGGTCTTTTCTGGACTTAAACTTACTGGATGAGGACCACTCACATGATGAATGGCAATCTGCTTTACTCAAAGTCCACCAATCCAAAAACACCCTTACAGAAACATCCAGATTAGTGTTTGACCACATATCTGGGCACTATGGCCCACTCAAGTTGACACGTAAAATGAACCATCATAAGGTCTTAGAGTCCAGGACTTACTCAAGTCTATGGAGTTAATTAGTCACAGAATTGTTTCTAAAATTCTGGGCTTCTGACATTAAGTTCCCTATACAAGACTTACTGAGCACTAGAATTAAGGGATAGTCTTCATAAATTCCGATTTAGGGAGCAAGAATGGAAAGGAGTTAGCCAGAAATGTCAGTTATAATTATGTAAGTGCTAAAAGCAAGAATCAGACCCTAGATAATTAGGAACCATGAAAAACCTTACTCCTCCTTAGTTAATGTTATGTGTAATTATACAAAATCACAAAACCATAAATGAACTCAAAATAAGAGAAAAGAAACTAAACCATCTGCCTAAATTTAAAAGATGCCTGTGAACGCTCAAGTTCAGGCCTGGAGTATTTCACTACAACATCTAGTTGTAGTAGATGTGAATAACCTGGCAGCATATGGGGCCAGGGTGGGCTGGCAAGGAGCGAGGTTCAGCTGGAAGGCTGGTTTATTCTGGGAAGTCTGACCTATATTGTGGGGCAAGCTTAGGCTTTCAGACTTGCAAACCAGCAGAGTAAGTAGAGTTTCAAGCAGCATGGCTTTCCCTGCCATCCACATATCATTCCCCAACCTCCTCATCTTGGCAGGAGTTTCTGTGTCTCAGATGGGTCGGCCAAAGCAACTCATCATCATCACGAAGAGTGTGAGATCCATGGCAAAAATTCACATTCCAAACCCATAAATCCATGAATTGATGATTCTGGAGGCTTCCTTGTCGCAACACAGTAAATTCACACACACTACAGTCTCCTACTCCTATTTACTTGTGATAATGAAGAATACAAATCGTATCACTCTTTGAAGACCTCAGATAATCCCCAAACCTAATTTTAAGTTAAATAGTTTCAACTTCCTGCCTCACTAAACAGCTGTTCTTTCAGTCAATTCTTCTCACCCTCCCTTTGCAAATCCTGGTGGGGACAAAACAGCATGCACAAATGTGTGTCCTGTTTTTCATATGCTAAAAATTTCATGGCTCAGCTGTACATATATTGTTATATTTCAAATACACCCTGAGTGAGGGGACTTGAGATTTAAAATCATCCCAAGGTAAAGGAAAAAGTCTTTTGATTTTATAGTGTTCGTGTCCAAATTTACCTGCCATATAGTTCTGACTTTTATAAGTCATATTTGCTAAAAGGAAGGTAAAACAGTATTAATAAAAAGATGGGTGAGAAATGCAGTTAATTAAGTGCCTACTAAGTGCCAAGTAGTATGCTGGACATGGCCTTGCGTACTCAGTGAGAACAAAACATGTTGAACATCTCTGCTTCTCAATAAGCACCTTTGATACTCAAGATAGGCCTTAAGTTTCTAATGAAAGGCAAGCTCCAATATTTAGCCCCTAAATATTGGAACAATAAATGTGCAACTGCTTAAGACAAAACAATGAATCACGTTTCATTTCTCTGCCTGAATAAGAGAAGCAGTCCTTTGTCCTGCCTTTGCTTCATGCTCAGCAGATGCTGGCTTCCCCCAAAGATAAAGCGTTCTTTGTGTGCTGTGCCCTCAGCTTCTCTGGGTATAGGATGACAGCTTCTGTATGCAGATGCTGAAAAATCTTTCTGAGAGTGTTTACATAGTAGTTGTCTCTTGAGCACATGCTTATTTTTAGTGGTAAATTATCAGAGCTTGTGAGGCTGAAACCTCAGCTACTTTTTGCATGTGTTTTAAGTAACCGAATTTCAGACTCAGAAACCATAGACCACATATCACCCATGACAATAGTTTTCAGACCTCACCCTCTCATCGTGCCAGGTAATTGAAATTGATTAATGACTTACCGATTTAACAATGGTCAGTGAGAGTCCACAAAATGCTTATTTTCAGATTATTCATAGTTGGAAGTCAATTTATTCATCACCAAGAAGAGTGAGCTGAAATACTGCTCTTTGTGGAGGTAGAAACCTTAGGTCAGTGATCTCAAGTCATTGCTCAGTATCTGTAGAGAACCAGAGCAAAGAAAAAGGGTCAAGTCCTAAGACCTGATGGAAAAACTGCTTAAATTGCTAGTAGGGAGGTGAAGACTGCCTTGGATACTTAGAATTCCACAGATGCTGCCCTCAGCAACATCCTTGATACTGCCCGAAAGTGGCAGAGATTGCTCCAAATCCTTCCGGAAGAGACCTGGGAGACACAGTGAACTCATATCCAAGATAGCTGTTTTTATGGGGTACAGCAAATGAAGAGCAGAGGCTCTGCTCCAGGCCCTCTGCTTTGTGCTTTGTCACCTCAGAGATTTAAGGAAGCAGCTTCATTCACTGATGACCAGGAAGGTTTAAGGGCAACACAGATTTTTTGTTTTTTTTTTAAGTCAGGACTCCTGGTTCTAAGCAACAGAACTCAGCCTAACTTTTACTTTTTTTTTCTTTTGCATTTTATTTATTTATTTATTTATTTTTATTTTACTCTAAGTTCTGGGATACATGTGCTGAACATGCAGGTTTGTTACATAGGTATACGTGTGCCATGGTGGTTTGCTTTGCTGCACCTATCAACAACACATGGTGGGCAAGTTTCCCGTAGTACCTGGTTAGAAATCACAGTAAAAAAAAATAGCTGTCTCTACTGTGTTCATATGGCAGTCCCAGAAATGGACTTTGATTGGCTCTATTTGGACCACATGTGCATCTCTAGACCAAGCACTACACCTTGAGAGCCATGATTGAATACCCTGACTCATGTGCCCACTCCTATGGCCAAAGTAGGTGGGGCTGTGTGATAATAGCTCTATGAGAATCTCACCACATATGCAAGGGGTGGGTTCTCCAAGGAAGGGATGGTAATAAACAAAAACAATGCCCAGTATAATATCTAAGTGGTTCATAGAACTCTAGTGGTCTTAAAAATAGATTACCGACTGCTCCTTTTTCCATCCACACTCTTCTTTTGTCATTCAAGGCAGTCCTTAATACACTGTGTACGCACTTGAGATAGGTCCAAATAAGACATGTACTAACCTACACCTAATAAATGTTAGGTTGTTGCTGCTTTCATTAAGCCAAATTTTTTTTTAATTAACTGAACAGTTTATTATTTTAGTTATTTCAGAGCCATGGTTTTGCTACGTGGCCCAGGCTGGACTCAAAGTCTTGGGCTTTTTAAACGATCCCCCACCTCAGACTCCCAAGTAGCTGAGATTACAGGCATGGGCCACTGCACCAGCTAAGCCAAATTCTTCTGTTAGGATAGCGTGCCATTGAGTGATATTTGGTAGACAAAAATACAGAGGAATATAAGCTTCTTAGGAGGCAGAATTTGGTTTCATGTTTATTTCTGCCATAACAATGAACATACAGTGTCTAGCACACGAAGGGCCTAAATGATTGTTTGTTAAGTAGGCCAACATGTCCTTTGGGGTCTTGGTAAATCCAATAGCTAAAGAATCTACATCTTCTGAGAACGTCCAGTTCTCCCAGACTCTTCCACACCAGAAATCCCATTTTTTTTTTCCTAAAGGATTTCCTTTAGCTAAAGACCTTGGGAAGAGTCTAGGCAGGTAACATACGAGATTGGCAAAGTGTGATGGCTGATGTTTTAGGGTTAGGCCTGATTTTAAAGTTTCTACTTTTCAATAAAATTTCCAATAAATTCGGTTACCTCAGTGTGATGGTGAATTTTATGTGTCAACTTCACTGGCCATGGAGTACCCAGATTAAACATTTCTGGGTGTGTCTGTGAGGGTGTTTCTGGATAAAATTAGCGTTTGAATTAGTGGACCCAGTAAAATAGGTTGCCCTCTTCAATGTAGAGGGACATCATCCAATCACAAAACGTGGAGGAAGGAGGAATTTCCACTTTTTGCTTCTTGCCTTCTTGTTTGAACTGGGACTTTGGTCTTCTCCTGCCCTTGGACTGAGATTTACATCACTGGCTTATTTTGGTTCTCAGGACTTTAGACTTGGACTGAATTACATGACTGGCTTTCCTAATAGCATGAGCCAGTTCCTCATAATAAATTTCTCTCCCTTTCTCTCTCTCTCTCTGAGAGATATATAGATATATGACAGACTGCATATAGTTTCTTTGGAGATCCTTGACTAATATACTCAGGCAAATTATTTAACCTCTTGGATCCACAGTTTCCCCTGGTAGTATTATCCTTAGTGAAAGGGTAATAAAAATATCTGCTTCACAGATTGATAGGAAGAACAACTGAAATAAAATTTGAGAAAATTGGCACATAATAATAGATATTGTTGAGGGAGCAGAGACAGGTACTGATAGGTGGACCAGAAACAAAAGAACCTAATATGGTAAGGGGTTGAATGGGGAAACCAAAGGCCCAGAAGACAAAATTTATTTATTTAAGTTTGCCCACTATGATGTATTTGTGCTGTTGTGACTACAAAATCTAAAATCATTGGTAGAGAAGATATATCCATTAATCAATTAATTGCTGCCAATCTTGCACCCCAAGGGCACAGCATCTATGGTTTGGTCACAGTATATTTTTTAAATTCATCTAGTGGCATCATAAGAAAATTTCGGGGATAGCTATCAAAATGAAACAACAATCACTCTGAGAGTAGATGCTAAAAAACTAACCGCAGAGTTGAGAACATCTTTGAGGGGGCACACCAGTTAGTGGCATTTGTATTAAGCTCAAAGATACATTCATAAGCTTTACTAGAATATGAAAATTTTAGAGAAATAGCATAGTATTAGACCTTACTTTTATAGTTACTAGAATGTAAAAATTCTCCCTAGAGACACAACCCTCCCCTCTATGGCTTATGCTGAATTAAGTGGTACTATATTTGAGGAAGTTTTACATTTTCCTCAATGCAAATCTATTTTAAGGTCAGCTAAGCTCAACCAAAAATAAAAGCCCAGCGTGGGCCTGCTGCTAATGCTTTCTACGTTGCATTTATAAAAGAGCTGGCTGGCTTATTGCTGTGTATTGGTATCTAGTAGAATTGTTGTTATATGTTGATTATTTCTGTGTTGGTCAACTAGGAACTACAAATGTCTATGCCCTGACAACGATTTTTAGCTGTATGTGACAAACTTGTAAAGCATGGGACTTACAGTTTTGAAAACATTTTGTACTGTGATTTTAGAAAAGAATACAATCTAAAATAACACACAGAAAAATTCAGTTCCACATTAGTCCTCCGTGGATCTGCACGTGGTTTTAGGATTGGCCCAGGGTTACTTCCAGCTCAGGTTGTCTCTTTTCTTCCCTCCCACAGGTCTGGGAGATTTGTCCCCTCTCTGGTTTCCTCTGGGGGAAAAAGGAAAGGCATACTTGAGATAATGGCAGAGAAGTTTTTAAATAATTACAAAAATAATTTTACCATGTACTCCTTTGGCAATTGTCACTGGTTGATAATGCCTGGTGGCTCTGCAACCCCCAGACCTCTCACAATCAACATGGCTAAAGCTTGAGTTAATTCTTTTCCTGCCAAACCTGTTGATTCATCGTTGCTTACTAATCTGTGCTGATGGCACCATTTCCACCCTGTCAACCTGACAAGAAACTTGAGTTACCCTTGAGTAGTCCTTGTCCTTTATATCTAATTGACCACCAAGTCCTTCCCCAGGATATATCCAAAAAGTTTTTAATTCCATTCTCCCTCTCCATTATCATTGTCATTGTCTGATTCAGACACTATTTTTCCCCTTGACTTTGGCATGAGTTCCCATTGATTCTCTCCTTCCCTTCCTACACTCTTCCTTCTTATCTATTATCCATATAATAGATACATTTTTACAAAATGTGATCATTTACTTTCTTGCTTAAAAAAAAACCCAGTCATCCATGATTTTAGTTAGTAACTCTGGCCCAGACAAAATATTACCAATTTTAAGTATTCCATCATGCAAAGAATTGACAATAATTATTATTAGATTGGTGCAAAAATAATTGCGGTTTTGGCTATTCCTTTTAGTGGCAACGGCTGCAACTACTTTTGCACTAGCTAATACATTAATATTGCAACAAAATTTCTGGGAAGAGGAAACCTAATGAAGCAAGATCAGCACAAATAATTTATTAGAGCTTGACCTAGGAAACTAATGTATATTATATTGAGAATGTTGTCTCAGAACTTTGTTAAGATGACTTCTTATAGAAATTTATCAGTCTCTATTTGTACCTCAAAATGGAGACTTAAAATAGTAATTGGTTAAAAGTTAAAGCAGACTATATTTCTTAAAAGATAATTGAGCCGTTTTCTAATCAAAACCAACTATCAAGACAAAAGTACAATAAAAAGTGACAAAGATAATGAACTACCACTATTCTCATTTAATTCCAACATACCACATGTACTTCCAACAACAACAACAACAAGAAAAAGCACATAAACTGACTTAAAGTATTTGGAAGCCTAGAACAAATTTTTAATTGTAGCAATGCTTTTTCATAATTTTCTAATTGTGGTAGCATAAGATGTTATCCAATATAAACAAGTAATAAGCAATTTATTTTTGCCTTATCTTTAAAAAATTTCATTAGCTATACCTAAAAGATTATATATAAATTACTAGGTAATATGACAACAGTGAATCTGCCACGCCACCAAAGAACCTGAACATTAACTATAATTCCCGTAAATCTGTTTACTCCTCCTCTATGTAGCTCCCAACTCTTCTGCAGAGGTAACCCAACCTGAGACAGTTGTTGCTAGGGGTGGTCTGAGAAAAACCAGTGATAAGATGAGGTTTTGAAGCTGGGTCACACACCTCCCTGGTGGCAATGGGGCCTTCATCACTATGGTAGGAGGAGTCCATATGGCACCTGGCGCAAAGTGGCAGTCCAGTGGTTAACCTTCTCACCAGAGGTGGATTGGGATGGTGTACTGGAGCAGTGTACTACACTAGCTGTCATGACACTGACATGCTAGGCACTTGAGAAATATGTAAATAGAAACCGTGAGGGCAATGGGATTAGATGGCTATAGCTAAGAACTGTTGATGCCCCAGGAAGAGGTAAGAAAAAGCTGCAAGTGACTGATGAGCAACTGAAAAGCTAGGATTGAAAGACAGAGGGCTTCTCTGGCAGCTTATAATGGGGCTCTCTTCTTCTGCAGCAAAACACAGAGAAAGCTGCAGACCAGTCCCCAGCCCAGGACTTAAGGGACCAAGCTCCAGAGAAGGTTAAACTTCAACCAACACAGGTCTGTTATACTAACGTCAGGTCCTGTTTGGGGAAAAATGGGCCCCACTTTTGGGATGCAGACATCTTGGTAAATCACCCCTAATATTTCAAGTGCCCAGACTTCTGAACTCTTGGAACCTTCAGAAGTGTCTCACCACCTTCTCCTATGAAGAATTAGCACACTGCCCTTTTTAGAGAAAATGTAGAGGTCTCTCCCAAACATGATGACATGTACCCCCTCAGAATCTGCCCCTACCTTCCCTCCTAACCACTCTGCCTATATAGTGAGGGTTAAGTTGTAGCATTCATCAGATGAAGAATGTTAGGGGACTCATAGGAAAGAGAGGGATCATGTCCCAGAAGGAGCTTCAAGACTTGCTAGCATGCTCCCATAGGAAGGCAGAGATTTTCAAGGAATGGTTAGATTCTGAGGGAGGTTGACCAACTGACAAGAGCATAAGCTTGAGTAGGAGAGAATAAATTGATTTGAGATTACTCTCCTGAGCTACAGGATTTAATACCATGGCAAGGACCTCAGGAGACAGGGCTGGCTTGCTATTAGAGTGGCTCCCAGAAACATAGAAAAAGAGATGATCCACATGCCGTTGAAATGCTCAAATTGTCATGACAGATAGTTGAGGAAACAATGAAAAGGCTTGGTGAAGCAGGAATGAAGGTTCATCATGGGAATGCCTAGAGGATATACTATCAACAAAGAATTGCTGGTGAGGGGGCACCAGCATCACTAACATGTTCAGTGGTGGCTCTCCTCTGCAGTCTGGAGCTGGAGTAGGAGAGGTCAGTACAGACTGAGGCTTGCGGATAACAATGGGGATGCTAGGACCCTGACACCATAGAGGCTCAGTGGACACAGTGGTTTGCAATGAGTGGTGAGTGTGGAGTGGCAGCCAAGGAAGCCTTCCCTACAGAGAATTATGAAGATGCTTAATGGAACATGATATTCTTAGATGCAAAATAGGTGGGCAGCTGACAAGACCACTGCTCAGCTTGTACTGTCAGAAAAAATCAGAGATAATGACCAGGATACCAAGGGCAGTTGCCTCAATACAAAGTCTCTTGCATTTCCCCCAGACCTGTGCCAAACCTAGAGCCTAGAAACTGACAATAAGGCCAGGTCCCCAAGAGAAAGAATTGGGCAACACCATGATGAGTATACGTGGTGATGGTTCCCTCAGCACTTCCCCACAGGAACCTATGGCCATTTACTCAGATAATTATATACATGGGAAAGGGAAAAACCCAAATATTTTGGGAACTATTGGATGGAGGGTGTTTTCATGGCTCATTAGCATGGAACACATTAGGGCCAGGTAAAAAACTCCTGGCTAAAGTTAACTTACAGTGGGCCTCCTGGCCTATAGACTCAACTGCTCCATTGGTCATTTCTTTGGTTCCAGAATGTACAATAAAATTCATATACACAGCAGTTGGAATAATCCCCATGTTGGGTCTTTTGCCTGTAGGGAAGGTGAAATGGAGGCCTTAAAAACTGCTCCTCTTCTCAGCCATGACAGTAAATCAAGAACAATAATTCTGGAGGAGTGGTGATAAGAGTGGAGGTTAATGCCACCTTTATGGAACTAAAGTGGGGTTGGCAAACTATCTTTGTAAGGGCCAGATGGTAAATATTTTATGTTTTGTGGGCTAGATGTCTCTGTTGCAATGACTTTACTTTTGTAGCAGAGAGCAGCCATGAGCAATACATAAACAAATGAGCATGCATGTCTGTGTTCCAAAAAACTTTTATTTATAAAACAGGTCAGCTCATAGCTTGCCAGCCCTAATCTAGAGAATGAGTGAGTGGGTAGCGGGGAGATGCCCATCACTTCTTCATTGAAGTCACCAGTCTTGTGCCGGAAGAACCCAGATTCTGGGAGGATAACAGTAGACTACCCCAAAGCCAACCCACTACTATCCCTAATTGCAGCTCCTGTGCCTGTTCTGGCCTCTTTGCTACGGCAGATTAACATGGCCTCAGATACATCGTATGCAGCTCCTAATTTGGTGAATATGTTCTTTCTATTCTGATCAAAAAGAGGATCATAAAGAGTTCACATGCACATGGAATGGGCAGTGATACACTAACATAGTTTTACAGTGTTGTCCCGGGTTGTGTTCTTTTATGCCCTCCATCATGACAGAGTCTGAAGCAATCTTCGTTTACAAAACATCACATGGATTCAGTAGCTCGATGATACTGTGCTAATCAGGCTGGATGAGTTGGACTGGATGAGCAAGATGCAACTGGAGGCTTCAGTTAAGACACACATGCTGCAGAGGGTAGGAGATAAGCACTGTGAAGATCGAGGGGCCTGCCACATGGGTAAACATTTTGGGATTCCTGTGATCAGGGGTATGCTGAAACCTGCCCTCCAAAATTAAATGAGGGAGATCCGCTGTTATACAGTGGGAGCAGATAAATGGGTTGCATTACCCAAGTGATCCACATAGGTGCTTTTGGGCACTCCTTTGCTCATCTCTATTGGCAAGTGGGTAAGTTCAGCAACTCCCACTGAGAAGGACATGGTGACCAAGGGCTCAGATCCTTTACGGATGGTCTGCATCACACCAGGACATTAGCCACCAAGACAGCAGAGCTCATAGTTAAGGGTGGGGAAATCCAGAATGGATAGTCTAGGAGGTAGATAATGGGTATCAGTTGCATCCTTATGTCCAGCTGTAGTGGCAGTCGTTTGTCCTGTTAACCATACCAAGTTTCCTGCAGAAAGACAAGCACACTTTGATCCTGGAAGAGCTGAATGCATATAAAGAAATAGATTTGAGTGGTGCAAGGGGTGGACTATGGCGGCGGATATAAAGATGCCTGCCCAGATGCGTCTTCAATAGGGATATTTTTGTAGTAGGTGCTGGGAATCAGCAGATAGTCTCCAACTATGTTTGCCTCAAGAACCGAGAGTCACTTGGCCCCAGGTATACCCATTCTGGGTTGGCCCACATCCAGTGATTTATCTTGGTGGGGGTCTAAAGGCCTGATTATTTGGGTCCACTGCAGGACAATCCTGACAGGTTGTAAATGCACCAGTGCCCTCCTTGGATTTGGCCTAGGCTCTGTGTCCGCATTGCAGTTGAATTTCTCCCTTTGCCCTTTCACAGGTGTTAATCCCTAATAAATATCTTGCCTCACCATCTACTTGCAGACAATCCAACCTGTGATATGCAGTTTCACTATGATGGCATGGATTTCTTTTTGTTTATGATGCTTGGTATTAATTTTTGTTCCTAGATCTGCGGATTCATGGTTTTCATTAATTCTGGAAAATTTTGATAGCTATTATCTCTGTAAATGTTATCTCTTCTCATTTAACTTTGCTTTTTCTGGGATTCTCGTGTGATGTATATTACTGCTTCTCTTTCTACCCTCTATATAATTTTTCACCTTTTTCTTATTACTTTGTGCTAAAATTTTGGTAATTTTTAAAATAGACCTCTTCCAGTGCACTATTTGTCTCTTCTTTGAACAGTAAACTGATGCTGCAGTCTTTGATTAAGATTTATGTTACAAAATTTTATTTTTTACTTCCAAAGTTTTCAGTTAAAAAAATTAAATTTGTCTATTCATTTCCTCATAGTATTTTATCAATTGGTTATAGTTGTAATTGAATCCTTTACAATTTTGTACATTTTATACATGGCTGTTCTATATTCTGTATCTAATAGTTCCAATATCTAAGTCTAAAAGGGCCCATATCTGTTTTTGTTTTTCTTTTTTGGTTTGATTTTTGTTTTGGTTGTTTCTGTCACCTCTTGGAGTGGCTTGCATTTGTGTGAGTTTGTTGATCTTTGATTGTGCATTCATTACTTGATCTTAATTAGTGAGAGATAAATTGAATATTGGAAAAGTTTACCCCAGATATGATTTGATTCTGCTGGTGACCAGTGGGGCTCTATACCTGAGAGCCCCTTGGTCTGTTCTCACTCTCTTCACATAGCTAAACCACAGAGTTTTAATTATAGAAACTTTATAATATATTTTAATAACTGGTAATACTACCCCTCCCACGGAAGATCTCAGCTAGTCCAGGAAATGTGGAGTTTTTTTCCTCTGCCATAGAGGGCCATGCTATTGCTCAACCAGTCTTAGTTAACTAGACTGGTTAACTAAGTCAACCAGAGTTAGTTAACTCTGTCCCTTCCAGCTGCCCCAGCTCTTGGCACCTCTTATCTAAGGTGAGTTTTTGGAGCTTAGAGAAGGATCTCTGAACACATCCTCTATCTCTCGTGAAAGTAGTCATGTCTTAGAGTGTATCCTCAATAGGATTTATTGTTTTGCAGTAGGGGAGTTGCTCAGAGCATCTAGTTAGCCATGATAATAGAGATGATAGCTTTTACTTAAAAAATAGAACAGGTAAGAACTTATTAGGCTAAATGTGTATGACTGTGTTCAAATTCCATTCATGCTCACACACGTATTGAGCATGACTGTAATGAGAGGAGTTGACATTTATTGAAAGCTACTTGTGTGCTTTATATAGATTTTCTTCCAAAAATGTTTTATCTTTTTAAGTATGGAGAATTTCAAATATGTGGAAAAGGAGAGAGAATAGTATAATGGGCCTCTATGTACCTATCATTCACCTTCAATAATTTCAATATAGCCACTCTAATTTTATCTATTCTCTCATCTCTTATTATTTTAAAGCAAATTCAAGACAGCATATGATTTCAACCATAAATATTTAAATAACTGTCTCTAAACAATAAATACTGTTTTTTTGAAAACATAACCACAACAGCAGCATCACACCTAAAAAGTTGACAATGATTCTTTTATATCATCAAATATATTGAGAATACTAACTCTTATCTGTGATATCAGTTACAAATACTTTTTCCAAATTTATCATTTGTTTTTATGCTCTGCTTATGGATATTTTTGTGATACAAAAGTTTCTTTTTTTATTTTTTATCTTTTTTTTTTTTTTTTTTTTTTTTTGACAGAGTCTCGCTCTGTTGCCCAGGCTGGAGTGCAGTGGTGCAATCTTGGCTCACTGCAACCTCTGCCTTCTGGGTTTAAGCTATTCTTGTGCCTCAGCCTCCTGAGTAGCTGGGATTACAGACATGCACAACCACTCCTGGCTAATTTTTGCATTTTTAGTAGAGTCAGCGTTTTGCAATGTTGGCCTGGCTGGTTTCAAACTCCTGGCCTCAAGTGATCCACTTGCCTTGGCCTCCCAAAGTGCTGGGATTACAGGCATGAGCCACTGCGCCTGGCAGAGTTTCTTTTATTATATATAGTCAAATACATTGTATTAGTCCATTCTTGCACTGCTATAAAGAAATACCTGAGACTGAGTAATCTATAAAGAAAAGATGTTTAACTGGCTCATGGTTCTGCAAGTTATACAGAAAGCATGGCAACATCTGCTTTTGTGGAGGCCTCAGGGAACTTACAATTAGGATGTAAGGCAAAGCGGGAGCAGGTGACTTGCATGGCAGGAGCAGGAGGAAGGGGTGGTGGTGGTGGTGCTACACACCTTTAAACAATACATCATACAAGAACTCACTAGCCATCATGACACAATACCAAGGGGGAAATCCACCCCATGATCCACTCATCTCCCACCAGGCCCCACCTCCAACATTGGGGAATGCAATTTGACATGAGATTTGGGTGGGGACGCAGATCCAAACCATATCATTCCACATCTCATGTCTTTCTCACATTGCAAAATACAATCATCCCTTCTCAACACTCCTCCAAAGTCTTAACTCATTCCAGCATTAACTCAAAGTCCAAAGTCCAAAGTCTCATCTGAGACAAGGTTAGTCCCTTCCACCTATAAACCTGTAAAATAAAAAAAACAAGCTAGTTACTCCCAAGATACAATGGGGGTGTATGCATTGAGTAAATATTCCTATTCCAAAAGGGAGAAATGAGCTAAAAGAAAGGGGCTATAGGTCCTATGCAAGTCCAAAACCCAGCAGGTCAGTGATTAAATGTTAAAGATTCAAAATAATCTCCTTTGACTCTATGTCTCACATCCAGGGCACACTGGTGCAAGGGATGGGCTCCTAAGGCTTTGGGCAGCTCTAATCCTGTGGCTTTGCAGGGTTCAGCCCCTACAGCCTCTCTCACGGGCTGGTGTTGAGTACCTGTGGTTTTTCTAGGTGCATGGTGCAAGCTGCTGGTGGATCTACCATTCTGGGGTGTGGAAGATGGTGATTCTCTTCTCATAGGTCTACTAGGCAGTGCCTCAGTGGGGACTCTGTGTGGGGGCTCCAGTCCCACATTTCCCCACTGCACTTCCCTATTAGAGGCTCTCCATGAGGGTTCCACCTCTGCAGCAGGCTTCATACATCCTCTGAAATCTAGGCAGAGGCTCCTAAGCCTCAACTCTTGCATTCTGTGCACTCACAGGCTTAACACCACATGGAACCTGCCAAGGCTTACAGCTAGCACTCTTTGAAGCTATGGCTGAGCTGTCTACCTGGGTTCCTTTGAGCCATGGCTAGAGCTGGAGTGACTGGGATGCAGGGAGCAGTGTCCTGAGGCTGCATGGGGCTGTGGGGCCTTGGGCCTGGCCATAAAACCATTCTTCCCTCCTAGGTCTCTAGGCCTGTGATGGGAGGAGCTGTCACAAAGGTCTCTGAAATGCCTTTGAGACCTTCCCCCGCCCCCCCACCCCGCCGTGTCTCTGCTATTAGCATTTGGTTCCCTTTTACTTATGTAAATTTCTGCAGTCATCTTGAATTCCTCCCCCTCAAATAGGCTCTTTTTCCCACCACATGCCTAGGCTGCCAGTTTTCCAAACTTTTACACTCTGCTTCCATTTTAAATATAAGTTCCAATTTCACATCATTTCTTTGCTCATACATATAAGCATAGGTTGTTAGAAGTAGCCAGCCCACATCTTGAACACTTTGCTGCTTAGAAATTTCTTCCACCATATACTCAAAATCATCACTCTCAAGTTCAAAGTTCCATAGATCCCTAGGGCAGGGGCATGATGCAGCCAGGCTGTTTGCTAACACATAACAAAAGTTACCTTTGCTCCAGTTCCCAGGAAGTTTCTCTTTTCCATCTGAACCCTCCTTAGCCTGGCCTTCATTGTTCATATCACTACCAGAATTTTGGTCATGACCATTTAACCAGTCTCTAGGCAGTTCTAAACTTTCTCTCATTTTCCTATCTTCTTCTGAGCTCTCCACGCTCTTCCAACCTTTGCCCGTTATGCAGTTCCGAAGTTGCTTCCACATTTTCAGGTATCTTTTTAGCAATGCCTCACTCCTTAGTACTAATTCCCTGTATTAGTATGTTCTAATTTCTAAAGAAATACCTGAGACTGGGTAATTTATAAGAAAAGAGGTTTAATTGACTCATGGTTCTGCAGGCTGTACAGTAAGCGTGGTGGCATCAGCTTCTGGGGAGGCTTCAGGGAACTTACAATCGGGGCATAAGGCAAAGTAGTTAGCGGCACTTCACATGGTCAGAGCAGGAGGAAGGGAGAGATGGGAGGAGGTGCTACAAACTTTTAAACAACCAGATCTCATGAGAACTCACTCACTATCATGACACAGTCCCAAATGGGAAATCTACCTCCATGGTTCATTCACCTCCCACCAAGCCCCATCTCCAACCTTGGGGATTATAGTTCAACATGAGATTTGGGCAAAGACACAGATCCCTGTTTGTTTCTACACTAAACTGGAAAAGATACTAACAGAAGGTATCTCACTGATAACCTCTACATGTAATATCTGGTTGTTCTGTGTATAAGTAACTTTCATTTCACTAGCATAATCTTATTTTATTTATTTAGAAAAATATCAAATATCAATCCTTTTCCCTCATTGTTCCTAGATATTTGAGTTGTAGTTAGGAAAGTTTTTCCACTCCCAGATTAAAATTCACCAATGTTTTCTTCTACTTATTATATGATTTTATTTTTTATGTTTAAGTCTCCTATCTATCTGGAATTTATCCTGGTATGTGGTGTGAGGAATGGATGCAATTTTACATTAATCCTTGTCATTCTCCGGTTATCCTTTACCATTTTCTAAAACATACATTTTCCCTCACTGATTTGAGACGCCAAGTTTATCAAACTTTAAATTCTTACATGAAACTAATTCGATTTCTACATTTTCTGTTTCTTTCCACTGGTGTGTCATCAATCTCTTCATGTACCAAATCCACACAGTTTTAATTATAGAGGCTTTATAATATATTTTAATATCTGGTAATACTACCCCTTCCACACATATTTATCCTTTTTTTGGAGTTTTTATTCCTCCTAACCTTGCTTGTGTTTTTTTTTAAACATGTAAAGTTTCTAAAAGGGTTTTTCCTGCTATTATTGCTTGTCTTATAAAAGAACTTTAAAATCAGGTTAAAACCCTCATTCTTAATGAATATAGTTTCTACCAAAATAGAATTATCTTGCTTGTTAAGTTATATTTGCTAACTTATTTTCCTACACATATATTGGTACTTCTCAGTGCACTACAGGAATATTTTTAGAGCCTATGTATTGTATAATATTGGATCCCTTATTTTGAATAATTTTTAGTATTTATCTTTGCACTAAACTCAAGAAAACACTAACTGAAACAGAACGTATCTCACTAATAATGTCTACATGTAATATCTAGTTGTTCTGTGTGCAAGTAACTGTCATTTCACTAGAATGATCATATTTTATTTATTTAAAAATGTATTTCTTATTGTATATATTTAAGGTACACAACATATTTTGATACACATATAATCAGTGAAATAATTACTATAGTCAAACAAATCCATCATCTTCCATAGTTACCTTTTGTGTGTCTGTGTGTTAACAGCAGCTAAAATCTACTCTCTTAGCAAACTTTTGGTATATAATACAATATTTGTAACTGTAGTCTTCATGCTGTACATTACATCTACAGACTTATTCATCCTACATAATTGCAAATTTGTACTCTTTGACCTATTTCTCCCAATCTCCTCTCCCTTTCTGCCCCTGGTAACTACCATTTGACTCTGTTTCTATTTATTCAACTGTTTTTATTAGAAAAAGGTTCTGCATTTACATGCGATCATATAGTATTTTTCTTTTTGTGTCTGGCTTATTTCACTTAGCATAACATCCTCGGGTTCATCCATGTTGTTACAAGTGTCTCTCTGCTTGTTGGAAACCATGTCCTTTCACAGGGACAGCACGATGCTGGGTACTTAAAGGCTGCTCAGTATGTATGAATTGGCTTTTGCATGGCAAATACACATTATCTTTACATTGCTTATATTTATAGAGCGATTACTGAAAGGGAAGCCCTGTACTAAGTGCTGTGCAAGGTGTAAAGATGAATCATCACAAAGATCAAGGAGCTTACAACATAGTGAGGAAGATAAGATGTGTACCTAAATAATTACACCACAAGACCTATAACCAGAAGAGATGTACAATGCATGCCAAGCAATAAAGAGAGAAAGAGAAATTAGTTCTACCTTGGGGACCGGGCAACTAGTTAGCATGCCAACATCTTGTTTGTTTTGAGAGTTAATCAACCAGGAATGCACCCACTGAAGAATCAGGGCAGAACTATCAGTTTGTCAAACCGGTTTCCATGAAAAGAAATTAATGCGTATGTCCTTGTAAAGCACTTCTTTCCTCCCGTATTTACTTACCGTCTTGTAGATGTGCCCTGGAGAAATGAGTATTTTTGGCTGGTGAGGAGGTAATGAGTTACTTGTAAGTCCTTATTATGAAGAAGCTATTACTCCAGAATGATATTCACTGAGGGCTCCAGAATGATATTTACTCCTTGTCTGGATGCAAGGCACATCGCTGCCTGATTGGGCCTGAGAAGAGTGGGTGCACCCTAACGTCGGAGAGGGAGGGTGCAGCCTGGGTACAATTTCAAACTGAAATGTGTTTCTGGTTGCAAAGCAAAATGAGTACTAACAGACAAAGCAAAGCAGAGAAATCGGCTCTCTGGGACTGATACCTGAGCTCACCAACCAGCTAAACACTCCCTTTGTTTCCTTTTGGAGCCGCCTCACCATTCCCTTTACTGGACATCCCCAAAAGATTGTTCAGTTCTTAAATCCCTTGTGTGGTGGTAAGAGGTCTGGGAAGTTTCTGGAGGGAAGAAGTGGTTTCTGTGGGTGTGATCTGGTGGACACCCAACTGGAAGCCTCTTTGGAAACCCCGGGAAACCCCCATGGGCTCTTGCCAGGCCCTCTGCCCTCCTGTTCCCAGTCTACTGCTGACTCCACACTTAGCAACCACTCACTTCAACTCCCGAGAAGACTGGCCCTTCAGAAGAGACAGGAAAATATCTGTGAGGGGAATCCCTCAACTCCAGGTATGCCCTTGCCCCAAAAGATGAATTCCTGGTTGGTTCTCAGGCTAACAAGCAGAGGTGTGTCTTACGCTGTATTCTATAGAATGAGAATACGGCTTTATTTATAATTTTATAAATCCAGCTGTGATGGTTAATTTTATGTGACAACTTGACGGGGCCATGAGGTGTCCAGAACCCTGATACACCAGCCTTGTGATAATATTGCTTATTGTAATAAAATGTTCAATATGGCACAATTGCTGCAGATACAAATGGTAATCTAACATATTCTCTTACTATATCCTTGGGAGAAGTATAAAGGACGACTTAGCTAAAGTTTAAAAAAGTCTATGGTTGTACCTGGAAATAAAGAAGACTCATGAGTACCATATTAATTTCTACTGGCTTATCTTGCACTTTGTATCCTGAGAAACCCCCACTTTCATGCAGAAAACAGAATATTTTGCCTTCCACACCATTGTGGGGATCTGAAAGAGTTTCTAGCTGTGTTATAGGAATTTTTGGGGGCACATTAGGTAGGCCTCATTACTAAAATCTTACTAGAGTGATCGTTTGAGTTTTGTCAGTGAAATGTTACCATTCAGACAATGTAGAGGCCATGAAAAGACACCCTGGCCAGAGAGCCTGAATAAACACCTGAACAAACACCACAGCCTCCCGTGGCCCAGGGCTGCTCAGTGTATCATCCAAAGAAACTCAGTCTAGCATCCAAAAGCAATCAAAGAGCCATTCACATCTTTAATTGCATTTTTGAAAGAACTTTTATCTTCCAGTGATCCCATGATTTTACTTTGTGATTCAGTTTACAACCTGTAGAAACGTCTTTGAGGGACTCGGTTCCTCACCAGGCGATCCAGAGCTTCTCCCTTTCTTGATGGCTCCTCTTCACTTTCTGATCAGCTCTCTTCTCCAAGTCTCAGCCTCGGTGGCCCTAGTCCTCAGGGCGCCTCCCGACTGCCTTTCACCTTTCTGATCTTGTTTTTGTCTTATCCATTTACCCGATTCTGCCTCAGGGAACCTGGAAACTGGGCCAGTAATGAAAGAAGGCCATTGATAAAGTGGGGGAGAGGGAGAAACTGAAGGGACAAAAGTGTACATCTTTTTCTAGATGAAATCTTAAAAATGCTGATCTTTTATTTCCTCTCACTGTCACACTACGAGGTGGCGCCACAGGTCAGTCTGGAGTAGGAGACATGTTAGCTGTTGGCTCAGCACCCGGGGAATATTCCTTCCATCCACAGCTGCCTGCACAGGGCTTCTGGATTGCCCATTGGAAGAAAGCTGGCACATCTCTGAGGCTTTGCTAAGCTTCATCCAAACTCTTGTGTGGATGCGAATCCTTTTCAATGACTTGACGCTTGTACCCCTCATTCCACACACAGATGGTGTTGGGTCTTGATGACCAGAGTGCTGGGATAGAAGGGAAAGAAAAGTCTCTGTGCTGGTGCTGAGTTGGACCTGCATTACACACACTACTGGCTCATTTTATCTTCTAGAATAACCCTGTGGGATGGGCAGAGCAAGCATGAATATTACTATTCTCATTTTCTAGCCCATCAGACCTGGCATTTCTGTTAAATGTTAGTGAGTGCTTCAGAGCAGTAGGGAGAGTTGCTCAGGCTAATTGTAATTATATTAACTTACCTTAAGCATCCTAGGTATTCTTCCCTTTTTTATGTTAAAAAAAAGTCCACTTTAAGGTATGAAATAAACATGTTGTTTTTTTCCACTGGAAATCATGCACCACATCTTTTACAAAGAAAAACATTGAATTTATAAGCATACTTATACTGTAATCATTTTCTGTGATTACTTTTCATTTTTATGCTAATATAACTAGAATTTATGTATTGCATTATTTTTTCATAGTGCATCTATCCTGATAAATACAGAAAAAGGAAAAAGCACCCAAAAACATCTCCTGAGAAAGACCATAAATATACCTTTTATCATCCTTAATAGCAAAGCATTTTATTCTGTCTTCTTTCTCTCTCTGCCTCTCTCTCTGACTTCATCAGAAACAATCTATAATATTTATGGGCATTGCATAGATTTAGAAATAGATTTATTTATAGGATCAAAGTAGATATCGACCCTAGTTCACCAAAAACAAGGTCATTCTTCAGTTCCTGTGAATCTCCCAAGTCTGCATCCTCTTCAATTACATGGCCTGACCCTTCCTTGGTCTGTGGGATTTTTGGAGGACCATTATGCTGATTACAAAGCTACTTCTCAGTGAACTGATTGCACTGAATGGCACAAATTACCTTTGGGCAACCAACAGGTGTATCAGCGGCGCGCATTCAAATGCATGACCCTTGAAGCCTGAAGAATATATCTGAGGTGAAATAAAAGGGAGGGCTGGCCATAATGGCTCAGATGTCCATATTATGGACACCAGCCAAATAAAGTGGGTCTGTAGATACCCCCTCGTCTTCTGGGGGGCTGGGGGCTGGAGGACAAACTGAAGGCAGGTCTGTGTCACATGGAGGAGGTGGGATTAAACCCACAGTTGCTCAGCATTATTGTTTTTTCCACTTGAAATCTTTATTTTAATAATCATGTTTGAATTTCTTCTGACCACGAAAAACAAGTTGAGTTGAAATCTGTGGCAGCATCTTGTTTTCTTGCTAGAGGCGAGCAGGAAACCTCCTGTTCTAGGTACAGATATGAAGAACTCCAGAAACTTAGTTTTCCTTCACTTTTCTTTTTTAAGAGGGAATTGGAAGTAGATGTAATAGAGAAAAGCTTAAGCATGATGAAGATTTTCTTTTTTCTTTTCTTTTCTTTTTTTTTGAAACAGAGTCTTGCTTTGTCACCTAGGCTAGAGTGCACAGGCACGATCTCTGGTCACTGCAACCTCTGCCTCCTGGGTTCAAGCGATTCTCCTGGTTCAGCCTACTGAGTAGCTGGGATTACAGACATGCAGCACCACCTCTAGCTAATTTTTGTATTTTTAGTAGAGACAGGGTTTCACCACATTTGCTAGGCTAGCCTTGAACTCCTAACCTTGGGTGATACACCCGCCTTGGCCTCCCAAAGTGTTGGGATTACAGGCATGAGCCACTGCACCCAACCCAGGCACTGTGCCTAGCCAAGATTTCTGAAATGAGAACTTGGATTGTGCTACACTTATGAGGCCAGCAGGGCCCTCCCCACCTGTTTTCCGGACACAGATGCCAACCTTCTCTGCATGCCCCAGATCTCACGGCCTGTGTTCACCCTGTAGCTCCACAGAACAAAAGCCTGAACTGGTCAACTGGTGCTTGACTTCATGCTTTCCAGTACTGCTCACTGGAAGTCACATGAGTTCTCCTCTAGGAGTCCTGTCTTACATCCTACCCTGCCTTCACCCCCCATCTAGACCAGGGCTGAGTTCATGACAAAAGCAGAGCAGGTGCTGACCACCAAAACCCCTTTTGGTCTCAAAGTGCTTCAGCCTCTAAAATGTGGATCATGTTTTGAAACATTAAGCAATGTGTACATCCTTCCTCTTCCCTGTAAATCATGTTCTTTGATAGCCATTGTAGCTCCAGAGAAGGGAGTGGGTACTGCTTTCAGGAGGGAAGGAATGTGACCAGAGTTGCTGGTAGCCCTTAGAATGGCTTTGTGCAAATTTTAAAAGGGTCTTCTTGCTCTAAGTAGATACAGCCCAGTGCCAGCTCACTCATAGCTGGGTGAGCAGAGGTAGATACCTGCTGTCTCACTTGGGCATTCTTGTGCAGGCCACAGTCTGTACAACTGTACATGGTGGCCCCTTTTGTAAGTGCTAACCCTGGCCAACCTGAGAGAAGAAAAAAGAAAGGTCATCTCTCTGGTCCTCAGTGGCTTGTGGGGAGGAGAACGAGATGGAGGTAAGAGAAGCTGCTATCCTCAGTGATGGACAGTGTGTCTGGGCAGAGAGGAATGTTGTGCTAGCATGCCTCTGCTTTCGTGTCATTTCAGAGCCCCGAATGTCCTGCATGGCTGTGGAGGAATGCATGGGGACTGAGAGTATAGCTGGGAAACCTGCCAGCGGGTATCACTGCAGTAGGATCATTGTGACCTGTGGCTAGGAGTACAGAGCACCATCCAGGATGGGCATCCAATGGAAGTCATGGCCAATCAGGAGACCCTAATTCCAGGGATAGCCTGGGGATATCCAGAGAGCAGAGGAGTGGGTTCTGCCTTTATTGAGCCCAGGGATTTGACTGCCCATTCACAAGCCCCAGATCTGGCATCTAGTGCCAGCAGAGTGCCCAACAGCCAGAGCCAAGAGACCAGGGAGCAGGCAGATGGACCCGAGCCCATCTCAGAGCTCTCAGAGCTGTCCTTCTCATGCCACTCAGAGGTCACACAGCCTTCCTTGGTTCTCCAGGATGTCACCTCAGAAAGGAGTAGGAAATCTGAAAGTATGGCATTTGCCTGAAAGAGAATGATTTCTCTAAAGAGATTATTTAAATGATTGCATAAAACTATGTTGATGAGGCTGGAATTTCATGTTGTCCTCCTTACACAGTGGGACAGAGGCTTACAGCAAAGACTGGATCAGCCTTAGGAGATAAAGAAGCTACATTTTTGGGAGGCTGAGGCAGGAGAATCGCTTCAACCCAGGGGGGCAGAGGTTGCAGTGAGCCGAGATCTCACTACTGCACTCCAGCCTAGGCAACAGAGCGATACTTCGGAAAAAAAAAACAAAAAAAAAAAGAAGCTACATATTTTTCTGGCCTCTCTTCTTTGTGGAATTGCCCCCACCTTCACCCTCATTCCATATCTTCCTGGCCAGCCACCATATGACAAGAGTGGAGCAGGTAAAGCTAAGGGTTTTGTGACTTGGCCAAGGCCAAACACCTGGTTGGTGGTGAAGCTTGGACTGGAACCCAGCCCTTTTGTCCAAGTCTATTCTCCAGACTGTCCCTCAAAGGCCATGAACAGACTGGCACCAATCTAAGAAGACATTTTTACCCATCTGTCTTCAGCCAGGCTTCCCAGAAGACGACCCTGAGACAAAGATGTATGTGCAAGTGAAATATGAAGGAATGGCTCTCAGGAGAAACCAATCAGGGAGTGAGAGAAACAGGACAGGGATGGGAGGGAAGCCAGGCAAGGGCATGACTCCAGGGGAAATCCCAGTCTCAGCCTGAGCATGTGGAGAGCTCAGGAGCATGTATTCTCCCCGGTGACAAATTCTTACAGCTTGATAGTTTTCTCCCCTCCTGTACTTTACCAAGAGTGACTGGGTTTTGCATTTAGATAAAGTTTCATGCATTTCTCTCCTGCCAGCTGAAAATTGCAAACAGAGGTTGTTTACCTCCAGGAAGGCAGCAGGGCTTTCATCCTCAGGCACAATCTGTCAGGCGATAGACCACACTCGGGTGTGGAGTGGGGGCTAAACTCCCAAACGTGAACCCAAACCATCTCTAGAAGCCCAAGGGCTGTTCTCTGAAGGTGCGCTGGTGGAAGCTATCAAAAGCGAAGCACAGAAGCTGAGGGATGAGCACAGATAACCCATAGGAGGGATCTGAGATTTGGGCACACCCCCCAGAACCCCCAACAGTGTCTGCTTTCTCTGTGTTGTTTGAGATTATCAACTATCCTTTTTCTTGGGAAAAACAGTCCTTTAGTCTGAAATTATGTTCTTTTGGTATTAAAGTGCCGTCCCTTTTATGAAGAACTGGCAATAGTGGCTAATAAGAGTTGGTATTGATCCTATGTCTTACTTAGAAAAAGGAAAGTTGCCAACTGCCTATTAGTTCCTCAATCTTTTTTTTTTTCTGACATATTACTTGTCCGCAAAACCCAAAAAATCTGGGAACCACCATATCAGTCCTTGTTGCTTCTCCTTTTGATGGGTTTCCAAAGTACTTCCCAACCATTCTCTCTGTGATTTAAAACAAAACAGGCAACTAAAACAATAAAGAGTTTGGAATCCAGCTCAGCAATAATTGTGTAAACACTGCTTTTCCTCCCAGGAGAGCCTCTGTAGTCATCAGCATGTGCATTTTCCCATGCAACTTGAAGGCAGGGGGGCAAGGGAAAAGCTGACCCAGAAGGAACGTCCCGATTGCCACTCTGGCCTCACTTCTCCTCCATGACTCCTAGGCTAGGAGGCACTGGCTGCAGTGGTAGGTGGGAGGGTATCTCTTCCCCACCTCCTACCCTTCCAAACCCATCAGGAAGTACCCAGAAACCACCGGTATGTGAGTGTATGAGTGTGTGTGTGTGTGTGTGTGTGTTTGTGTGTAGTGGGTGACTAAATGTTGCATGAGAACTAGAGAGTGGTGAGAAAGGATAGTAGTGATGAGAGTCCAGTTAAATGTGAAAATTAGAAGTTCCTCCATCTATGCCTTGTTCTTATTCAAAGGAGTAAGTTGCGTCAGCTTAATATTCTCCCCAGTGACAAATTCTTACAGCTGACAGTTTTCTCCCCTCCTGTACTTTACCAAGAATGACTGGGTTTTCCATTTGGATAAAGCTTCATGCGTTTCTCATCTGCCAGCTGAAAATTGCAAACAGGAAAATTCTGTTCGTTGGAGCAGTTCCTGGAGCAGAGGGATAGTTTGAGTTGATCAAAATAGTTTATAGTGCTTGACGGTTTTTACTTGAACTGTAAGAATCAAAGATGTATTTGTGTAAAGGAATATCGTTGATCATTCTGTTCAATTTTATGCTGTTGACTCTTAAAAAATGTGTGGCCACCAATAAGGTATTCCAATAGTCTCATTTTAATGAGCAATAATCAATATTTATATTTTGATTCCATATGATCTTATAGAAAATTTTATTTAAAATTATGATTTTAACATAATCTTATGTCTAAAATATTTATTCAATATCAAATACATACCAGGTGCAGTTTTAGGTGCTGGGGATCCAGCAGTGAGTTAAAGCTATAGTATTGTTGTCAAAGAGTTGAGCTAGCATTTCTTGTGAAATTGCTTTTTAAATAACTTATTTTTATGGAGGCAATCTAATGTTATATGATGTAGAAATTAAATTTTACTAACAAATATTGAATTACTATTATTTTGTTCTTAAAGTCAGAAGGAAAGTCCTACCAAAGCCAGAAAATATCATGTTTTAATACAGGTGTTTAATAGATTTAATCTTCTCTGAAAATAAGTAACATTTAAACAGAAAATAATTCTTGAAGTTCACAAGTTCCTAAATCTGTAAGACTTAAATGGCTTAAGGGCCAGCCAGAGAACCTGGATTTCATCAGGCAGACAACAGCAAGGAAATCATGTAGATGAAAACCCCCATTAACTCGTCATTTAGCATTAGGTATATCTCCTAAAGCTATCCCTCCCCGCTCCCCCCACCCCACAACAGTCCCCAGAGTGTGATGTTCCCCTTCCTGTGTCCATGTGTTCTCATTGTTCAATTCCCACCTATGAGTGAGAATATGCGGTGTTTGGTTTTTTGTTCTTGTGATAGTTTACTGAGAATGATGATTTCCAGTTTCATCCATGTCCCTACAAAGGACATGAACTCATCATTTTTTATGGCTGCATAGTATTCCATGGTGTATATGTGCCACATTTTCTTAATCCAGTCTATCATTGTTCGACATTTGGGTTGGTTCCAAGTCTTTGCTATTGTGAATAGTGCAGCAATAAACATACGTGCGCATGTGTCTTTATAGCAGCATGATTTATAGTCCTTTGGGTATATACCCAGTAATGGGATGGCTGGCTCACATGATATTTCCAGTTCTAGATCCCTGAGGAATTGCCACACTGACTTCCACAATGGTTGAACTAGTTTACAGTCCCACCAACAGTGTAAAAGTGTTCCTATTTCTCCACATCCTCTCCAGCACCTGTTGTTTCCTGACTTTTTAATGATTGCCATTCTAACTGGTGTGAGATGGTATCTCATTGTGGTTTTGATTTGCATTTCTCTGATGGCCAGTGATGGTGAGCATTTTTTCATGTGTTTTTTGGCTGCATAAATGTCTTCTTTTGAGAAGTTTTTCATGTCCTTCGCCCACTTTTTGATGGGGTTGTTTGTGTTTTTCTTGTAAATTTGTTTGAGTTCATTGTAGATTCTGGATATTAGCCCTTTGTCAGATGAGTAGGTTGCAAAAATTTTCTCCCATTTTGTAGGTTGCCTGTTCACTCTGATGGTAGTTTCTTTTGCTGTGCAGAAGCTCTTTAGTTTAATTAGATCCCATTTGTCAATTTTGGCTTTTGTTGCCATTGCTTTTGGTGTTTTAGACATGAAGTCCTTGCCCATGCCTATGTCCTGAATGGTAATGCCTAGGTTTTCTTCTAGGGTTTTTATGGTTTTAGGTCTAATGTTTAAGTCTTTAATCCATCACCAGCATGGCACATATATACATATGTAACTAACCTGCACATTGTGCACATGTACCCTAAAACTTAAAGTATAATAATAATTAAAAAAAAGAATAAGGAAATAAGGAGGCCACCGGGCTCATCTAAGCCTTCAGCTAGGCAAGAAAAGGACCTTTGGAGGCTCACATTCATTCTGTTCCTTCTGTTTACCACAATAAGATACAGCACAGGGTATTTTTTTTTTCAGTCGAAGTCTTGCTCTGTTGCCCAGGCTGCAGTGCAGTAGCACAATCTCAGCTCATGCAACCTCCATCTCCCAGGTTCAAGCAATTCTCCTGCCTCAGCCTCCCAAATAGCTGGATTATGGGCACATGCCACCATGCCCAGCTATTTTTTTGTATTTTTAGTAGAGATGTGATTTCACCATATTGGCCAGGCTGGTCTTGAACTCCTGGTCTCAAGCGATCTGCCTGCCTTGGCCTCCCAAAGTA
The DNA here is from genome assembly GCF_000001405.40 of Homo sapiens. Lineage (NCBI taxonomy): Eukaryota > Metazoa > Chordata > Mammalia > Primates > Hominidae > Homo > Homo sapiens. The sequence continues at coordinate 200,250,164 of NC_000002.12, read as the reverse complement.
CTGGGACTACAGGTGTGAGCCACCGTGCCCAGCCAACACAGGGTAACATGGTCAAATCCTCAGCTGGCAATAATAGCATGCACGTTTGCCTTAATTGTCCTTTCCATCACAGTTTTTCCTTGGCAACCCAGGTGACAAAAAGCAGCTGGCAAGTTATTCAGATCTCTGCATTACACCGTCACCTATCAGAACTAACAGCATAGACATTACAGATGAGGAACAGCCTCAGAGTAGTTATGAGACAGGACTGCTCTTCCCCCTACATCCTGTTTCAATTACTTTTCACTCACTGAGAATGTGAAAAATAAAATGAATGTTTTAAAGAAGCATACTATATGAAAATACACATTTTGATTATTATTTATTCCTTGGTTGAGAGGCAGACTTTTAAGGTAAATTGACTTTAAGACAATCAGGCAATGCTAAAGACATAAACCAGCCTTAACATTTAAATAATAGGAACATCCTATGACCACCTCGACTCATTGATTTGTCATGTTCACTTATTGCTTCTTTTTCTCCTTCCAGGCAATTTTCTGGAAAGACTGAAAAGTTTTTGTTCTCATTTTCTTCAATATGGCAGTAATCCTAAATCTTAAAGCAATAAAAATAGACATTATAAATTCAAAAAAAAAAAAAAAAGAAAAAGAAAACCCCCATTTCCTTCCCTGAAAGGGAGAGTGACTTGTGGATTACCTAGATCATTGTCTCAGTTCTCTACCTTTAAAGATTACCTGAGAGATAAGCCAGGATAACATGAACGTATTTAATGTTGTTTAGTTCTCTAAATTCTTTAACAACATAAAGAGATTTACCTTTAATTGCGTCAGATCACCAAGCCAGGACTTAATCTGTTGAGGTCTTTGGTGCTGAAATCTAGTAAAGCCCTCAAAATGTTTCTTGTCAGGGATTCTGTGCCAGAAACAATCAATAGAGAATCGCAAAGGGAGGCTCATGTAAGTTAATGACACTTGGAATGTGATAGGTGCCTTGCAACATCACACTGATAATGCAGCTCTTCCTTATTTTTTTATTTTTTATTTTTTTTTTGAGACAGAGTCTCGCTCTGTCACCCAGGCTGGAGTGGAGTGCAGTGGTGTGATCTCGGCTCACTGCAACCTCCGCCTCTGGGGTTCAAGCGATTCTCCTGCCTCAGCTTCCTGAGTAGTTGGGATTACAGGCACGCACCACCATACCTAGCTAATTTTTTTCCTGTTTTTAGTAAAGATGGGATTTCACCATATCGGCCAGGCTGGTCTTGCACTCCTGATCTCAAGTGATCCTCTGGCCTCAGCCTCCCAAAGTGCTGGGATTACAGATGTGAGCCACCACGCCCAGCCAGCTCTTCCTTCTTAAACATGTATTACTCTACTGTGTTATTTTGCCACATGATGCCAGTAAAGGGCCTTTTCATTAAATTTTGGAGAGAACCAAATTCAGCCAAAAGAGCCCCTTTTAACTAAATAATGGAGTTTTATAAAAATAATAATGCACAGCCAAGCGTGGTGGCTCACACCTGTAATCCCAGTACTTTGGGAGGCTGAGGAGGGAGGATTGCTTGAGTCTGGGAGTTTGTGACCAGCCTGGGCAATGTAGCAAGACTCCATTTCTACAAAAAACAAAAACAAAAACAAAACAAAACAGCAAAGCGTGGTGGTGCACAACCTGTAGTCCCAACTACTCAGGAGGCTGAGGTCGGAGCATCACTTGAGCCCGGGAGGTTGAGGCTGCAATGAGCTGTGATCATGCCACTTGCACTCAGCTGGGTGACAGAGTGAGACGTTGTCTCAAAATAAAATAAAATAACAATAGTAGTAATAATGCTTCTCTAGCTCAAGGACATTTGCTCATGAGTAATTTTAAAAATTAGCTTTATAATTACTTATGAAGTTTCTTTTTGGGTCCTACAATTTAATTTAATCGTAGCATTTATTGCACATTTTCCATATACCAGACATTTTCCCAAGTGCTTTACATGCATTATCTCATTTAATCCTCACAAAACCCTGTAATGAGGGTATTCCTGCTTTACAGATGAATTAACTGAGGATTTGGAGAGGTTAAGCAAATTGCCCAAAGTCACATAGGTAGTAACGGGGAGAGGTAGGTCTTGGAATCAGGTCTCGTTGTGCCCAAAGTCCACGTTGCCAGCTTCACACTGCTCTCCCACTACTTGATAACACGCTGATGCCACCAGAAATTAAGTCAGATTCCAGGATTATAGAGCAATTTCTGGTAACTTCGAGGAAATGACGGGAATCTTTCCTAGAGTCGTTTCCCCAAGCTCCTCTCCCATTCCACCCATGTAGCATAATGATGCTATTGTGCCTTAGAGTGAGTTTTTTAGTTGGATAAACACCTAGCCAGCTGGAACCCATACCTAGCAGCTTCCTCATACAAACACTCACTATTTATAATATTAATTACCCTGTGCAGTACAATTCTTTTAGAAAAATGCATGATGTGTACTCAAAAAGCATTTTTTTCCACACAGTCTTGTTACTCAAAAATGTTGGCAAGGGATCATAAGAACATCATAAGCCTTGCATAGAATGTAAGAAAAACAAAAATACAACTGAATTTAAAGAGGGTGTATTCATTCCAGAGATGTTTTTGCTTCTTAATGACCATTCCTCCTTCAAAGTTGAGATGGCTATGTTTCTGACGAGGATGGTGCTATTCTGTCTCCAAATGCTGTTCTTTAGTTAGATGTTCCAAGCAACTCTATAATTTGAAAATAACATCATGAGAGAAGAAAAAAGCACACATACCATTTTAAAGTTTTCATACCTGTGTATTTAGACAGGTTTTTTTTAAGTGTGGAAATTTAAAAGTAAACTTAGAATTTCAAAGACAAGAAGTTTTCAGAATTTAAATATTTTTAAGATAAAATTAAGTTCCGCATTAAGATAGATGTATAAAAGAGAAAAGAGTTGAATCCTTATTTTTCAACTAACTCAAGGTGTAAACTACCTATATATTTATAAACCACTGTTGATATCTTTATTGGTGGTCATCTTCAAATTTCAAAAATATGTAGATTTAGAGAATAATATATTATACAATAATAATTTGCAGGTAAGCATTCGCCTATATCAAATGTATTAAGATGTTTCTGGCTGGGCACAGTGGCTCACGCCTGTAATGCCAGCACTTTGGGAGGCCGAGGCAGGCGGATCACCTGAGGTCAGGAGTTCGAGACCAGCCTGACTAACATGGTAAAACCCTGTCTCTACTAAAAATACAAAAATTAGCCAGGTGTAGTGGTGGGTGCCTGTAATCCCAGCTACTCGGGAGGCAGAGGCAGGAGAATCGCTTGAACCTGGGAGGTGGAGGTTGCAGTGAGCCAAGATCACACCACTGCACTGCAGCCTGGGCAACAGAGTGAGACTCTGTCTCAAAAAAAAAAAAAAAAAAGAATTGTTTCCAGCAGATACCTGGAGTGGCAGCCATTTTGCCACCATGAGGCCATAAGCAAATGTGCTAATGGATATACTTCCTCAATGACATTGATGAGACTGCTCTCTGCTTGTTAAATAAATGATATGTTATTAACAACAACAAAACATACTTGATCTAAAATTTAACCAAATAACATATTGTTTGAAACAAAAAAGAATCCCTAGTCTAATGGCTAATGCTTATAGGTGTGGCCCAACACTGCTTCAACTACCTGTGACTTCAGGTGTGTCACAGAACCCCTCCTCCAAACCTCATCTGTGTCATTTCTAAATAATGAGCTCGGCCCAAATGTGGGTCACAACCCAATAGTAGGTTGAGAAATCAAGTTGGTGCATCAAAACTAGTGATAAAAAATATCAAATTATGGCCAGGTGCAGTGGGTCACGGCTGTAATCCCAGCACTTTGGGAGGCCGAGGTGGGTGGATTACCTGAGGTCAGGAGTTCGAGACCAGCTTGGCCAACATGGTGAAACCCCGTCTCTACTAAAAGTACAAAAATTAGCCGGGCATGGTGGCAGGTGCCTGTAATCCCAGCTACACGGGAGGCTGAGGCAGGAGAATCGCTTGAACATGGGAAGAAGAGGTTGCAGTGAGCTGAGATTGTGCACTGCACTCCAGCCTGGGCAACAGGACTAGACTCTGTCTCAAAAAAGAAGAAAATTACATAGAATGGAATTAAAGAATAGAAAGTACCAGTGCATCATGCTTGAGAGGAAATAACATTTTATACAATGTTTCAGATACTCACACATGTGTGGTATACTGGGTTGTGATGTAAGATTTATTTCATTCTGTAGGTGATAGTCAAAAAAGTTCAAGAAATGCTGAGATAGATAACTTCTAGGTCCTCTTCAGCTGTGATATTCCTTGGGCCTTTTGTGTAAGTGATACTGTGGCAGAGACTGCAAACAAATTGTCCACCAAAATTAATGATCCCCTTCCATATTATGAAGCTATGACTTCCATATTATGAAGCTATGACTTCATAATATGGCTCAGAGCCAGAGACTCTAATTCCTAGTTCCTCTTGCAGGTAGATGGGACCATGTGATGGGTCCTTGCCAGTGGAGTGTAAGCAGAAGTGATACGCATCACTTCCAGGCAGAAGTGGTTAAGGAGCAAGTGAGTCTTCTCGCTCTCTTCTTCTCTTGCTATTGCCTCCATGCAGACGAACTTACTGACCTTGGGAACTCTGTGTTGGAGATGGTGAAGCCAGAAGATGGAACTAGCCTGGTGCTTCAGACGCTGCTTGGAGAACAGCCTCTGCCCTTCAGGAACACCTATTTTGGTGTTCATATGAGCAAGAAGTAAACTTCTCTTGTATTTGTGCCATTATACATATTGGAGGGTCTGCTTGTCATGACAGTGAGTGATTTGAATCCAGAAAACACCCAACAGCTGGAGAGAGAGCACTGGAGGCTGTGCTTCACGCAGGGCCTGGCTGGCACGCAGGCGATACTGCATTCTGTTAGAGTTCCTGTATGCTTGTCCTGCATGTGAAAGAGGTAACAGAACATGTGTTCAGTAGTCTTGCCTTCTGATAATCCTCTTGACAAAAATCAGGATAGGCAGAAAATTCCTCTACTGCAGCAATAGTCTCTTAACCACAACTAGGAAAATGATTAGAAAAATTAAAAAGTATTTCATAACCTGGAAGAAATTATAGTAGGTATAATTCTAAAATAGCTTACTCCATTTCTGTTTGTGAAAGTAATATTTTGTGTTTCTGTGAGTCTAAATAGTTTACAAAGACCTTTAAAAAAAAATTTAGACAGAGTCTTGCTCTGTCATCCAGGCTGGAGTCCAGTGGTACCATCTTGGCTGTCTACCTCCCAGGTTCAAGCGATTCTCCTGCCTCAACCTCATGAGTAGCTGGGTTTACAGGTATCCACCACCACGCCCAGCTAATTTTTGTACTTTTAGTAGAGACGGGGGTTTCACCATGTTGGCCAGGCTGGTCTTGAACTCTTGACCTCAGGTGATCTGCCCGCCTCGGCCTCCCAAAGTGCTGGGATTACAGGTGTGAGCCACTGGGCCCAGCCTACAAAGTACTTCTATATGTAACATACATCACTTGACTCTACAAATAATTTTGGCGATAGGAAAGCAGGAAGTTATTGCCCCCATCTCACAGACGAAAAAATACAGGCTTTGTGGAATTTAGTAACTTAAAGTTTATACCAGGAGTAGCAGAGCCAGTCCTTGAATCGCACACCTTCAAAGCCCAAGTCTGTTTCTCCTCTGAGCTTGTTAGGTCTGGGTTTTGTTTGCTGCTGTATTTTCAGCACCAGTCTGAAATGTAAAAAGATCTAATAAAGGAAGATCTCTTACTGCTTCTCCTGGTTTTGGCTCAGGTCCCCACTGTCTTTGCTACAGGAAAATGCCTACTTTTTTTTTTTTTCCATCCAGTGTTGGAGCAGTAACAGTGGACTTCAGCTGTGAGTCAATTAAGGTGATGTTGGAAAATGGAAAATGGAGTGGTTCACATTCTGCTGATTAAAGAGTATTTTTTGGATTTAATGAGATTTAAAACATTTTGCAACATTTTCCAGGGAATTCAAAACTCCCTTGGAATTATAAGAATTATGAAACTTATTTTGAGCAGCATAATGACAATACGGCATCGCTAAGCATTAAATGAAATAAAAATATCCGCAACAATTTTTGCCTGTCTAAATATAGGAGAGTAGCTGAAAAACAAAAGAGACCAAAACGCGCCCAGATTTTCAGGAAAAGAAAGTCCTTATCAATGAAGCATCAAACCCGAAGTAGATGAGTGGGCTCTGTTTTACTTTTTTTTTTTTTTTTTTTTTTGTAGTCTTGGTTATGTTTGTAGACATGGTTGCTGAAGAAAAACAGAAAAGTTTTTGATCTTACCAGTAAAAAGAACTTCTCTAGAAGTTACAAAAAGATTAAATACTGGGCCCCACGTAACTATTTCAAAAATGGTATTTTTGTAGCTATGTATATAAATAAAACCATTTCCAAAGCAGAGGTCTCTGTAGGAAATTTTGGACCAATGTTTCCATTATTAAATATGTCTATGAGCTAAAAAGTTTCCTAGATCCAAACCTGCCTGTCTAGTTATTTTTGGACACAGTGGAGTCTCAAGCTTGGAGGGAAACCGTCTGCAGTGCTCGGTTGGATCTCAAGGCACCCACAGCACAACTGAGAGGCAGCCTCTTCTGACGAGTCTGTTGCTGGCACAGCATGGCTTCGTCTCCGGGAACGTATTGTGGGGGGGAAAACCCAAATAGTCACTGGATCCATTCTTGAGAGCATAATCTGGGGCCTGTCTGAAAATTTAATAGCTAGAAAGGGAGGTAACCCAGTTAAGTGCCACAGAGAGGGTCTAGGGGGTCTGAAAAGGGTGGCCAAAAGCTCAGAGCTTCTTGCAAATGTTTTCATAACTGGGACATCTCTCTTCAACTGGTTCATAAAGAAAAATGCCTTTCATTTGTAGAGCTAATCTAGTTTGGTGATCAGCCCAATGCATGTAAGAACCAAACGCTCTGCTATTTGCAGATTAGCTCAACTGATGAAGTATTCTAAAGTCACTTATTTTGTGTGTGTGCTAAAAGTTTCTTCCAAATATTAGGGAGGGAGAACATTCTTTGATTTAATGATTTCAGTGTCCACATCATTCCCATGTTGGAGACTGTGGGTCCATGTGGGCTGGGCATCCTCTAAGAGATAGAATCTGGAATTAATTAGAAAGAAATTACCACCCCAATAAACATATGTTAAAATTATCTTAACGTTCAATAATTAAAGAGGTAGGAAATACCACTACTCTGAAACTCTCTTATAAGTGCGGATAAAAGAGTCAAGCTCCTAGTTGTGCGCATACATAATACAGCTCCCAGCACAGTGCACTGTTTAATGAAAATTCCTGGCTGGAGAGCTGACTCCATTAGGAAAGGTTCACATCAGACAGAAGTGTTTACCAGGGCACGTTATGTGTTCATTGCAATGATTAGAGGAAAATGGTTTTATAGCCATGAAATTGCTGCAGGGGAAAAAAAGCTAACATTAGCCTCTTCCTCTGCACAAGGCTTTATATTCTATAAATGTGAGGAGACAAAGAAATGTCTATTAGTAATTCTTTTTGGGGAGAGAAAAACATATTCTACTATCATAAGGATTCTGAACATAAGTGAATTATGATGGAAGCAATCCATGATGGATGCAATGCATAGACTTGTTGATTATTCATTCATTAAAAACAATTATGGAATACCTTCTAGGCCAAAGGTACCCTGAGAAGGGATAGAAGCATATAAAAATAAATGTCAAAATTCCTGCCTTTAAAGAATTTACAGGCCAGGCATGGTGGCTCACGACTGTAATCTCAGCACTTTGGGAGGGTGAGGTGGGCAGATTGCTTGAGGCCAGCAGTTTGAGACCAGCCTGAGCAACATAGTGAGACCCCTGTCTCTACAAAGAAGTGAAAAAAAAAAAAAAGCTGGGCTTGCTGGTGCACACCTGTGGTCCCAGCTACTCAGGAGACTGAGGTGGGAGGATCACTTGAGCCCAGGAGATTGAGGCTGCTGTGAGACATGATTGTACCATGACTCCAGCCTGGGCAACAGAATGAGACCCTGTCCCCCGCCCAAAAAAAAAATCTACAGTGTAGAAATGCAGAAAGAGAAACAGTAGGACCACAAACACCTCTAAAATCAGGTACAATGAGAGAAGTTAGTTATAGCAGAGCAACAATAAGGGAAGAATAATTCTGGCAATGAGGGAGGCTTTAAGAAGGAGGTAACATCTGAGCTGGGCTTGGCAGGATGAGTTGGATTTCAGGAGGGGAATTGCAGGAGGGAGCAAGGCATTCCCTGCAGAGGAAACATGGAGCAAAAGCATTGCTAGGGGAAGGTGCAGGGTGTGTTTTGGGAACAGTGGGCAACGTGGCACGATAGGAATCTCCTGTGCTTGGAGAGGTGCAGTGGGACATAGGCCTGGCAGGGAAAAGGGACAATTATAAAATCCCTTTGAAAGTATTTTATAAATTCAGTGTGTTCCTATTTCCTCTAGGGAAATTGCATTTTTCACCTTAAACACCAGCTGAATTGAGGACGTAATTGGTGGTTTTAAGTCCAATTATATTTAAGTCTGTTGAAAGTAAGGACTATGGATTTTGATATTACTTTTGACAGGGTATGCATAATAAGGCCTTTGATAGAAGTTAAAACAATGGCACAAAGTACAGTGGTCTTTCCCTCAGCTAGGAAACAAGAAAGAGATGACAAAAAATGAGAAATGAGCCAATTAAATTACGCAAAAACATCATGCTTGCAGAGAAACAGAAAAAACTCAGGCTTTAGGATTGTACTTCAAAGACTAATTTACTTTCCCTTTTAACCAGTTTTCTTATTTCCTTAGGATTTCCTCTAAACTATTTAGTAATTAGATTACACTAAGGAAAAAGAAAAATTTTTTAAATGATCTTAATGACTAATTTTAGGAAGGAATTTGAAGGGTAGATTCTATTTAGAAGTTGTTTTTTCTGTTATCTCAGTTCTTCACTGGAGGAGAATGATTCTTGTGTTTCTCCCTCCCTCCCAGAAGATGATTCTAGAGATTGCATTCTGCTCCTGATAAGTTAAGTTAGTAAACACAGATGCAACCAAGTGCAGTCTAAGTGAAAGAAGAGATGAGAAATTACCTGGTTTTTTTTAGAGGTATAAACAAATCTCTTAAATTAAGAGAGTTAGTTTCAAATTATATATATGTACATCTATATTTTATAATATATATTTCAAATTATATACAAATATATATTTCATATGTATATTATTAAATATCTGAGGAAGCAACCTCAGATCCATTGGTTCAAACCTTTACATGAGACTCAAATCATTTAAAAATTACTTTCCTAAATTACTTTCCTTTTCTATCAAAACAAAACACTTGATAGAAAAGCAGCACTTATCATACTGGTACTATCTTACTGGTTTTGTGTGTTTTCTGTCTTGTCCAACCAGAAAGAAACGCACTTAAGGGCAGGGACCATATCTTTTTTGTTCACAAGCGTACATCTTTGCATTTAGCACAATGCTTGGAAAATCACCATCATCATGATGATTATCTTCATCATGCAACTAACACTTATTGAGCAGTAAACTTCCTATATGTGCTTTGCATGTATTACCTCATTCAATATTACATTGAAGGTTATTGATATATGTTTGTTGAATATAAATGGACTTCTTCTGAAGAAACGGAATATAATGCTGACAAGTTATTCAAATGGTGTTCTAAAGGTTTAATTGTACTAAAGATTTTTGCTTATGGCAGAAAAATTGGAAATCTTGGAGAGACATTAGATGGGAAAGAAGTACCAGGAAAAAAGAAAAGGGTAGTGATGGTTAGGGTCACACATTTTACCTGTCTTCTTCACTTATTCTTTTTCAAATGGCCTAATTGTTTATTTTCCTCATTATGTAAGCATACATACTCAATGCAAACTTCAGAAAAGTTTTCTATTCTGGAAGCATTACACTTATGCATAAGCATCTTTTTCCCACTTTGCAGAAAAAGATAGCTTAGTAACATGCCACCATCCAAGTAACAGAGATGTAGACCCTTAGTAGCAACTCAATAAATGCACTGATGATTAATTTAAAGCTGCTGCCCAGAGGGCACTGATTTTTCATTGAGCCAAATTTCAAATCAATGTATTACATTTCTTTCTTATGAATGATATCGTCTAAAAAGGAAAGGGCAAATAAAAAGTTAGCAAACTCCTTCCTGGCATGTATTGATCCTCAAATATTGAGGCATATATTAGAATCAACTGAGTTCATTGCAACGGAAAATTAATACACCCAACTAGCCTCAAAAGCACAAGCATTTTACAATTTCTGAGTGGTTTAAAAATATGTACACATTTTTTAATGTGTATGGGTTGGTAGGTGCAGCAAACCACCATGGCACATGTATACCTATGTAACAAACCTGCATGTTCTGTACATGTATCCCAGAACTTAAAGTAAAATTTAAAAAAATATATGTACACATTTTAAAAGTCTCATTAAGTATGTAACACCAGCAAACTGATGTTTAGAGACCATTACTTAATCTCATCTCTGCCATTCCTGATTGTTGGAGGCGATGATGTGCCTATGGTGTTTGAACTTCAGAACAGCACACAGCTTTTGAATGGCAGTGACACAGCCTCAGCAGGGAGTGTGCCTTGTAAAGCTGTCTCCGTCTGAATCAGTCTGCCTAAGTGGTTTCCTGCAGTCCACAAAATGCATTCACATGTGGTGTCTACATCAGATAATGTTGTATCTTGTGGCTTCTATGGGGTCTGGAAGTAGTGAACAACATAGGAAAGTGAGAAGTCATTCAAATGCTGGAAGGAAGATGGCAAAGATAAAGCTGCAAACAGTGTCACTGGGAAACAAAGATTGAGGTCTGTACAGGGTGAAGCTTTAGGAGTGCCTGTTAAAGGCTGGAGTCTCAGGGCATCCTAGTGACTTTTCTTTCTCCTGCCTCTTTTGTCTCCTTCTTACTTTTCCAGAAAGAAGTTCCTGATGGGAGCATTTTTCCCATGGCTACTATCTCACCTGTAGTTTGAGTGCTATCCTCCAAGAATTAGCCTTCCCTCTTTGCTAAGGAACAATCAGAGCCAATGCACTGTGGCCACAGCCTTGTGAAACTCGGAAAAGATGCTGATGCCTGAGGTGCAAAACACACTTTCATGTACAGTGTTTTCTTTTCTTCCTATAACAATCTTATAAAATTATTAGGGATGAAATTATTCTTTCTAGACCAATATCTTGTCAGTAAATGTTGGATTCCAAGCTCACTATTCTAGTAACGGGAATCTCATACCCCTGTTGTTCCCTCCACAGTGCCTAATATTATGCTTGGCACATCATAAACATGTTTATCATTAATTGCAACTAAATTCCTTGGAAGGAATTACCTTGCCTCCTCCTCTTGAATAGAAATGGAAAAAGATCTTCAGTATAGGTACTGTTTTATTAGACTCTTCTAAGGAACCAGAAGGTCCTTAAGCTTTAATGGATAGAGTTTAACAAAGGTTCAAAGCTTTAATGGATAGAGTTTAACAAAGGTTCTCTTTGAAGAGGTGTGGGCAGGGAACTGGAACCAATGTGGGAGGATGAGATACCTAGGATGCATTAGGAAGCCATGGCCACCCTCAACCCTGAAGGGGAAGGCAAGTGATCTTACTGGAACCCAGTGCAAACCAAACAGAATCCTTGAAAGAGGAACCTTCTGAGAAAAGCCGAGGATACAAAGCAACCTAGAGGAATCTAGGAGAATGCAACCATTGCCCAAACCTTTGGCCTAGCGGAGGGCAGGAAGGTCAGGGAATAAGTACTCCAGCTTCTCTCTCTTCCTTCTCCTTCATCTTCTACTAATGCTTCTGATTGGCCAAACCCAAGTAAAGTCAAGGAGGTTGAGAGTGAAGCAGTCCATGGACGTCTGCCTCCCAAGACTCAGAGTGGGGAAGAGATGATGGAGAGTAGGTCTGGAGAGGCAAACAGAGTATTAGCACAGGAAATTAATCAATACTTGGTGACTGGAATTTTTCTTTCTTCCCCGCTTCTTTATACCAACTTTATACATCAAGATTTACCATAGAGCCATAGATTTTCCTCCTTCTGTTTTTTTTGTTTGTTTGAGACAGGGTCTCATTCTGTCACTCGGGCTGGAGTGCTGTGGCACAAACATGGCTCACTGCAGCCTCAACCTCCTGGGCTCAAGTGATCTTCCCACCTCAGCCTCCCGAGTAGCTGGGACTACAGGTGCCACACACTTCGCTATTTTTAAAATTTTCTGTAGAAACAGGGCCTCCCTATGTTGTCCAGGCTGGTCTTAAACTTCTAGGCTCAACTGATCTGCCCTCCTCAGCTTCCCAAAGTTCTGGGATTACAGATGTGAGCCACTGCCCCCGCCCCTTCTGTTCTTTATAATGGAAATGGCTATTACTTTAGTGTTTGTCTTTAAGAAACACAATTTCTCATGAAGTAATATGTATGTGTATACACACACATAAAATTAAAAAGGCATAATGCATATTTTTTTCATTTGCCCAAGAGAACTAGCTTAATGAATAAGCTAGGATTTGTGGAGTCATATCATGAAGTAGCTTTGTTTTTCTCACACCACAATATTTCAGAACTGCTCTATTTGCTCTCTTTTCTCCATCATGCAAAGATATCTAAAGCAAACCCCATCATTTTTTTCTAGCCATATTTGTATATTAAAATATTGTCATTCTCATGTATTAAGAAGCCCAGCTTAACCTAGGTCAACATTTCCAATCTGTCAAGAAATTTAAAGCTTTGCTCCTGGCCTGCACAGTTTCACCTGACCCATGCTTGAACACTTGCAGAGGGAAAATGCGGAGAGAGAGGGCCCTCTTTTCTCTTCTTATTCCTTGTTTTCTGGCTGTATTCTATGTGATGGTTTCTCTCATGGAGCACCTTTGTGGGTTCTGTGATTCTTTCGTGACCTCCTTCTCTTAGATTCTCCCACTGCACCCTCCCCTGGTTATCTGTGGCTCACCCTTCAGTTCCATCACGTCTCCCATGGAGTTGTGCAGTACAGCAGCTCTCCTGCTTCTGGTAGGATGCTTCTCACAGAATCCAGGATGAGGGATGACTTCTCTGGTAGCTCTCTCTGCTCACAGCCCTGACTATGGACTTGTCTAAGTCAAAGTCAGGTATGTGTCTGTGCCCTTCAAACTTCACGGACCCACATCAAGCTCCCTGAGAGGTATTCCTAAACCAGCCTTTGAAGGTGGCTGGGAAAAGCATAGCACTCCAACAAATCTCTCCAAAGAAATTTCTCCCAACCTTCCATCCTTATCCTTTCTTAGTATGGAGAGAATGGAGATAGAAGGGCCTAGAAGTCATGCACAGATGTTTTCGACCCTTCATGAGAACCTATAAGCACTTAAAAGCTATTGTTCTCAGTCTTAATGCACAGACTGGAAAAGTTTCATTTAGACTCCTGTTATGGCTTCCATATTGTAAAAATAGTAAAAACTAAATTTTATAACCTTACCTGCACAGGAAAGTTATCATTCTAAGTATTCTACTCCAGTCTTTTTGATAGACCTGTGTTACATAGTTGTAAACTCACCACTGTGATCTTCTTCCTTGTTTTATTTGATAGTTGGTTACTAGCAGTTTTTCTTATTTCTATATTGCTTATTTAATAATTTAACAAAATAAATTGAATGCCAATTTTGCATAGACACTATGCAGCACCAATAATATGGTAGTGAAGAAAACAGACAATTATAGGTCACATTCCAAATGGGCTGTTAGGCATTAAAGGAATAATCACAAAGAAAACATGAGTTATATGATCACTTAACATGTATAACTCATGTTTCATTAGGTGGATATGCCATGTTTTACTCAACTATTTCCCTGTGGTTTCATATTCTGAGTAATATAATCATGCAAATCACATTTTCCATACTCTGAATTATTTCATTAGGCTAGATTCCAACAAAAGACAATTAGACACAGTGCATTTTTCATTAGCTTGAGTTGAAATGTTTGTGTTTTGAGAATTCTTATACAATTTCACAATATCCACATAAAGCACTTAGAATAAGTTGGCCGTATGGTAATCACTCAATACACATTAGATATTATTAGTATCACTACTAGCATTTGCAGTAGAGTTATCCTTGGATGTTGTGACATCAGATTTAGCAGTCATAGGATGTTAAAGGGATGCAGCACTTTTATGAAGAAAATGTATTACATACTTCCCTTGAAAATAGCTTCCCATGAAAACAAAGCAAAAACCACAGAAAATAGAGGTAGAATTAGATATTTCAAGTTTCTTTGGTTTCCTTAGACTTCTAGACTAGTGCTTTTTTCCTGGACTACTCTAATTTCTCTTTGTTACAGAGCTAGGCTGATGGCAGTCTAGAAATTAAAGACAAGAATCAGAAAGTTAAGTTCCGCAGTTTATGATTGCATCATCATCCAAATTTCCACCAGTTGCTTCTAGCTCATCTACTACTTCTTCATGTAGTTTATGAGAGAAGTTTTGTAAAGCACAAAAAATAAAAACATGCTTGTCATTAGAAACTATCATATGTTATATAATATTATTACTACATGTATTATTATAACATATTACAATACAGTATAAGAACATGTCTGTCCCTAGAAATAATATACGTATTTTCATATATAACTCATTCATGCTTGTTTCAACTCATCTATTATTAACCAAACAACCTAGAAAATAAGTAAATAAAGCAAAATGCATTAAAAAGTCAAGGAGGGCTGGGTGTGGTGGCTTACGCCTGTAATCCCAGCACTTTGGGAGGCTGAGGTGAGTGGATCACCTGAGGTCAGGAGTTCGAGACCGGCCTGGCCAACATGGTGAAACCCTGTCTCTACTAAAAATACAAAATTAGCCAGGCTTGGTGGCACATGCCTATAATCTCAGCTCCTTGGGAGGCTGAGACAGGAGAATTACCTGAGCCCAGGAGGCGGAGGTTGCAGTGAGCCGAGATTGCATCACTGCACTCCAGCCTGGGCAATAGAACTAGATATATTCTGAAAAACAAACAAACAAACAAAACACAAAAAATGAACAACAACAACAACAAAAAATCAAGGAGAACTTAACAAAAATTATAATGTAAGGTTTCAATAGATCTCTCTCAAAATTGGAACCATCTAGGACAAAACCTTCAGATTTTGCTCGTATTTTTTTTCTTCCCAGAATGGCTTTATCCTACCTCAACACCAGTGGTAATCATGTTCACCCCTTAAATGTTATTTTAGGGTCATTTTCTTCAGGAAACTTTTCATTCCACCCTCTCTCCAGATAGAAATTTAGCATTCCTCCCATTTGGACTCCAGTGAATTCCTTATATACATGTGTCTAACACAGAGCTGAAAGCTTTTCTCGTGCTTATTGGTGAAAGGTCTATCTCCTCTACGAAGCTGTACATTCCTTGAGAACATTCACTGAGACATTATTTTGTTTGAATAATCAAGCTGTTTCTACTGTCACCCTGAACTTCACTGAATTTCTTCTCTTGAACCCTGATCCTTCTCCAGTCAAGCCACTAAACATGGGCCCACCATGCCCGAGGGGCCATAATGACAGTAACATTTTGTCTTTTAAGTTTGAAAAAGATAAAGCTGAGGTTCAGGGAGGAAGATAAAGAGATATTCCTGTCCCTTCTTTTATATTAAGAAATATTTCTCCAAGCCATGCCAGGGGTGTAGAGCTATGAGTTGGAAGGAAAGTTAGAGGACTGAATGTTGAAGGGTCTCTCCAAAGTTTCCCTGAGAAAGCACTCCTGCACTACTTAGCTAAATTCTCATAAGAGGACCACGGAATTCTCAGATAAGTCTGGGGTTCTGTGAGCATGGGATAAAGGAAAGCGTTCCCACATTTTTCCAACTCCCTAGAATTTTCTCTGCACATGTCAGAATGGGGTTTGTGTTAATCAGCTTTTGCTGTGGCAACAATCAACCCCACAATTTCAACGACTTATGGCAATGAACATTTATTTCTTGACCACAGTCCTGTGGGTCATGTGGGTCTGTTAAATGTGTCTTTTCATCCCAGACTAGAACTGATGAAACATTTCTTATTTAGCCCAAGAGGTCAGGCCAAAACACTCAATTGCTTTTAGAGCTTCTGCTTAAAGTGACAAATGCCATGTCCGTTCACATCTCATTAAACAAAGCATGTCACATGGCCAAACCAAAAGGCAATGAGGCAGGGATGCATATTCCTCCCACCATTAGGGAGGACAAGTCACATGACAATGGGTGGGGAATATAATCCTATTATATGGGGAGGAATTGCTCAATTGGGAAAAATAATTCAATCTACCACAGTGCAGTACCAATGTAGGGATGTTCATCATGGGATGCTGGCTGAGAGGCTTGTGGCTGCCCCTGAAAGGCACAAGAGAGCTTCTTTTTTTTTGTAAGTCAATTTGCTATCTTAATATTAAAATCACAGATTGTCCTGTTTCTTTTTTTTTGTTTCATTTTTTTTTACATCATAATTGCTTTTTTTTTTTTAAATTATACTTTAAGTTCTAGGGTACATGTGCACAAAGTGCAGGTTTGTTACATATGTATACATGTGCCATGTTGGTGTGCTGCACCCATTACCTAGTCATTTACATTAAGTATTTCTCCTGATGCTATCCCTCCCCCCTCCCCCCACCCAACGACAGGCTCTGGTGTGTGATGTTCCCCGCCCTGTGTCCAAGTGTTCTCATTGTTCAATTCCTACCTGTGAATGAGAAAATGCAGTGTTTGGTTTTCTGTCCTTGCGATAGTTTGCTCAGAATGATGGTTTCTAGCTTCATCCATGTCCCTACAAAGGACATGAACTCATCCTTTTTCATGGCTGCAGAGTATTCCATGGTGTATATGTGCCACATTTTCTTAATCCAACATTTTGGTTGGTTCCAAGTCTTTACTATTGTGAATAGTGCAGCAATAAACATACGTGTGCGTGTGTCTTTATAGTAGCACGATTTATAATCCTTTGGGTATATACCCAGGAATGGAATCACTGGGTCAAATGGTATTTCTAGTTCTAGATCCTTGAGGAATCACCACACTGTCTTCCACAATGGCTGAACTAGTTTACACTCCCACCAACAGTGTAAAAGCATTCCTATTTCTCCATGTCCTCTCCAGCACCTATTGTTTCCTGACTTTTTAATGATCGCCATTCTAACTGGTGTGAGATGATATGTCATTGTGGTTTTGATTTGCATTTCTCCGATAACCAGTGATGATGAGCATTTTTTCATGTGCCTGTTGGTTGCATAAATGTCTTCTTTTGAGAAGTGTCTGTTCATATCCTTTGCCCACTTTTTGATGGGATTGTTTGATTTTTTTCTTGTAAATTTGTTCAAGTTCTTTGTAGATTCTGGTTATTAGTCCTTTGTCAGATAGGTAGATTGCAAAAATTTTCTCCCATTCTGTAGGTTGCCTATTCACTCTGATGGTAGTTTCTTTTGCTGTGCTGAAGCTCTTTAGTTTAATTAGATCCCATTTGTCTATTTTGGCTTTTGTTACCATTGCTTTTGGTGTTTTAGTCATGAAGTCCTTGCCCACGTCTATGTCCCGCATGGTATTGCCTAGGTTTTCTTCTAGGGTTTTTATGGTTTTAGGTCTAACATTTAAGTCTTTAATCCATCTTGAATTAATTTTTGTATAAGGTGTAAGAAAGGGATCCAATTTCAGCTTTCTACATATGGCTAGCCAGTTTTCCCAGCACCATTTATTAAATAGGGGATCCTTTCCCCGTTTCCACAAGAGAGCTTCTTAGAGCTCCGCTGCCCCAGGAGGGCCACACAGATGGCTGACAGTAGACTTGCACACCTGGATGAGGAGAACACAGTGTGCATGAACTGAAGACAAGACTTGTTTCATTAAAGCCAAGATGAAGGGGTGGCCATGCCCGAGAACTCAGCAATTGATTAGACACCTTAGCAGGTGCCAGCATAAGGCAGAGGGGAGCTGCCAATGAGACCCCTCTCTATTTTCCCCCCACCACTGCTATGTTAGCCCCTGGGGAACTCAGCCCCCAGTACCTGGAGAATGGAAAGAGGAAAAGAGAAAATCTGCAAATGGACCCTGAAACAACCAATTTTATCTGGAAAGATTAAATTATTCATTACACCATTAGACAGACAGAAGCTGATTTCCGTTATTGAAAAACAAATTGCATTTGTGCTCATCTGAGTCAATGAATTGAAAATATCCTACGTCACATGTGTTTATATCCCTCAGTCGTGGCACACGTCTGGCAGGTAGTAGGTGTTCAAGAAAAGTTTATTTGAATGAAGGAAGAAATAATGTTTGGATAATTAAGATAGAAAATTTTTTATTTGTCATTGGAATTTGGGTAAATCATTTATCTTTTTTAGACTTTAAAGATTAGCTTTTGTTTTCTTTCTTCCTTTCTTCTCTAAAGAGGATGGTTTTTGAGACACTTGTGTCTCAAATGTTTGATGTGATTAAGATGTGGTTATTTTGAAAATAATGCATGTAAAAGAGAGCCCAAACATGAATGTCTATTTCTTTAGTGCAAGCCAGGTCTGTTGATGGCTGTCTGAGATGGGTTCTCAAGACTCATTCATTGTTAGTTGGGACAGAGACTTAATATCTTGGAACCCATTGAAATAGAAATGGCAAGAAAATGTTCCATCTATCTTCAAAGACTTGACTATACATATGTGCAAACACAGAAACAGTCACTGATCTTTGAAGTTGAGCTAACAGTTTTAATTCCCTGATAACTAATGAAGTTGAGCATCATTTTGTGCATTTACTGGCCATTTGGATATCTTCCTTTGTGAAGTGTCTGTCAATTCATTGGCCAGTTTTTTTTACCGAGTTTTCTGTTTTCCTTCTTATTGATTTGTAGGAATTTTTAAAAAATGTTCTGTGTTCAAATCCTTTGCGTTAATATTTTCTCCCACTCTGTGGGTGTAGATTGTCTTTCTGTTAAATGTATCTTTTTATAAACAGAAGTTGTAAATCTTAATATAATTTAATTTATTCATCTTTCTTTTATGATCAGCACTATTTTTATGTCCTGTTTAAGAAATTTGGCCTACTCTAAGGTACACTCCTTGGAAAGTGACTTTTCAAGCACTTAATTTTTTACACTGGTTCTGTTGCCACCTTTTTGCCTTCTTGGACTCTTGCAGCACAAGAAGGATTCCTCTGTTACACATCTGGTTTCGTATCTGGGAATCTTTGTGTACTTTAAACATCATCATCATCAAATATTGAATTTCTGTGTGAAGAGCATTGCATAAGAGCAACACCTGAGTTTAACTTTTGAGTGTGTGAAAAAGAGGTCTTTGAAAAAAACCTGAATTCTTAACAATTCTCTTTCCTCCAAGTTTGTGGAGATTTTTATGTGCTTTCATAATTTACTGTCCATCCAGAGGCCTATCCAAATCCAAATCCAAATCCAAATCCAAATCCAGTCCCATAAGACCACACTCAGCTGAAGCCATGTTTTCCTTAAGGTAACAGACGAAGCAAAAGTGTGGAAGGATACTAACTTCAATGCCCTAAAACTAGGATCCAGGCCAGTCTCTGAGTGCACCTTTCCTCATAATCATCAAAAAAAGTAAGGATTTTTTAAAATTGTCAAAAATCAATAGCAACACTGAATTTGGTATTCCATAAAATTCTACCTGATGTAAACTCTGTGTAAAGGGCTTAAAGTGTCACCCCTCCTTCTCCTTCATGGTCTTAGATGTAAGCTGCAGCTCAGTTGTTTTACAGTTGAGAGGAGGTACTATGACCACTGGTTTCCAGGACAAATCGTTATGGGGGACAACAATAAAGCATGTCTCTTGTGAGACTTTTCCAGAGTTTCATTTTGTTCCAACAATTTGACAAAATGTTTTTTTCTTTTTCAGGAGGATAAGGCCATTATTTTAGCATCATTTTGAAGCTGCTATAAGGTTAATTAACATATTTTATGCCTTATGCCTAACTTCATTTTCTCTACAATGTAGAAACCATTAGGAAACAAGAGTATAAAGAGTAATAGCACTAGCATTAGGCATGAGAAGACCTGCAAATGAAGAAAAGTCTGCGTGCAAGGCTTTTACTGTCTCATTTTGGTCTGTTATTGTCGGAGCCAAACAGTAGTTCCACAAATAGTATTTATAGTCCAAGTGTGCTAAATAGCCATAACAATGAAATATGCCTACTTAAAACAAAACAAAACAAAAATAAACAAAACTAATGCCTTCTGTTTATACAACATCTTGTTTTAAAATAAATTTCTGTTCATTGAGGTCTAGGAATAAGAAACCAGATTCTGTTTTCAGATTTAGCATGCTTCTCTGTCAATCAATTACGCATCCAATGCACATTGAGTGTCTAGTTTGTGCCAGGAGTTGTACTCAGTGCTGAGAATACTAAGATGAATACACCAGGGTCTCTGACTTTCAGGATTTTATAATGGGAGACAGATAAGGAAACTGACAATTCCATTACATGGTGCTAACTGCTATGGAGAGGAAGCATGGGGTGTAAGTACTATAAAAATTCAACAGAACATTCAGAGAAGACTTCTTAAAGGAGGTGATATATGAGCCGACAGCTGATGGATGAGCTGGAGTCTGCTAGTTGGAGATGAGAGTGATCTGGGAAAAGGAGGTGAATGGAAAGAGCCATATATAAACAGTACTGCACTTCAAATAATGGCAAAGAAGAGTTCTTGCGGGGAACAGTGGGAGGGAAACTGGAAGGTTAGGCGAGGAAAAGGTCATTAGCTGTGTTGAGCTTCTAAAAACAAAGTGATGAGTGTCAAATGCTGCAAAGAAGAATAAGACAGAAAAATGCTATTGAATTTGGCAGCACTAAGATCATTGGAGATTATATCAAGACGATTTCAGTTGGGCGATGGATAAGGATGATGGATTGCAGTAGGTAGAAGTCAACGAGAAGTTCAGAGACTGTTAGTCTTTTTCTTAAGAACCTTGATTGGAGGATGAGGAAGCAAAGACAAGTTTGATTGGCTTGTGGTGGTGGGTTTTATTTTTCTTTTCACTTTATATTTTGACAGAATTTTAGACATCAGAAAACTTCCAATAGCGCAAATAATTTCTATACTCATATTTTATTACATTCTCTGTATTTGCTTTACTTCTCTCTTTCTCTTTCTCTTTTGGTCACATTTATTTTTTCTGAACTGGTTAGGAGTAAGTCACAGATATTATGCTGTTTTAACACTTCATACTTCAGTGTATTTCCTAAAAAGCAATAATATTCTTTTATATAACTGCAACATAATGACCAAAATCAGGAAATTAATATTGAGACAATACGATTACCTAGTTAACAGACCTTACTGAGATTTTGCCAGTTGTTTCATTAATGTCCTACATTGCACAAGAACACTCCAGACATGTGTGTTGCATTCAAGTGTCATGTCGCTTTAGTTTTCTTTAGTCTGGAACCAGCCTTTCTTCATACATCATGAAGTATTCACATTTTTTAAGAGAACAGGATTCTCTTTTGTAGGATGTCCCTTTATTTGGATTAGTCTGATGTTTCCTCATGATTAAATTCTGGTAATGCTTTTATGGTAGGAGCAGTATATAAGGAATGTTATGTCTTTCATAGTGCATCATATCGGGGACACCTGGTGTTGATTTATCCCAGGATTGGTCAATTGATCATTTTGGTCAAGGTGGTATTTGCTAGGTTTCTCTACTATAAACTTACTGTTTTTCTCTTTGTAATATGAATTTTGTGGGAAGATACCTTGAGACTATGTAAATGTCCTGTTTCTCCTAAAAATTTCACCCCTAGCTATAAAATTTATTGATAATTCTTGCCTAAATCAATTATTATTATATTGATTACCAAATGGTAACTTTCTAAATTCATCCTCCCTTCTACATTTATTGATTGGCTTCATAATATAAGGAAAAGCTTCCCATTCTCCTCCACTACTATAATTATTTATTCATTCATATCACTGCGAACCTTGGATTCTTTTTTTTTTTTTCAGATGGAGTTTCACTCTTGTCACCCAGGCTGGAGTGCAATGGCACAATCTCAGCTCACTGCAACCTCCGTCTCCAGGGTTCAGGTGATTCTCTGCCTCAGCCTCCTGAGTAGCTGGAACTACAGGCGCCCACCACTATGCCCGGCTAATTTTTTTTTTTTTTTTGTATTTTTAGTAGAGACAGAGTTTCCCATGTTGGCGAAAAGGAGGTGCATGGAAAGAGCCATACATAAACAGTACTATACTTCAAATAATGGCAAAGAAGAGTCCTTTAGGGGAATGGTTGAGGCCAGGCTGGTCTCAAACTCCTGACCTCGGATGATCCTCCTGCCTCGGCCTCCCAAAGTGCTGGGATTACAGGCGTAAGCCACTGTGCCCAGCTGAACCCTGGATTCTTATTTATTCGAAGGTTAAAGTCTTTGAGATGCCAAGGCAGGAGGATCACTTGAGGTCAAGAATACGAGACCAGCCTAGCCAACAGAGCAGAACCCTATCTCTACTGAAAAAAAAAATTAACTGAGCATGGTGGTGCACATCTGTAATCCTAGCTACTCAGGAGGCTGAGGCAGGAGGATCTCTTGAGCCCAGGAGTTTGAGGTTGCAGTGAGCTATGATTGTGCCACTCTGTCACCCTGGGTGACAGAGAAAAACCTGTCCCTAAAAAAAAAATATATATATATATATATATATATAGTTAAAATATTTTATAGTTTGAAAAGATACCTGAGCACATTTATAGGCATAGAAGAATCAAGGGAGATATAGAAGAGCGTGTATGATTGATGCAGTAAAGCAACTAACATGCTTTTACTCTGCAACCCTGTTAAACTCCAAATGGGCTAAGTGTCGAGCATGCAAAGAGGAGCAAAATAGGGCCACATCCCAGAGGGAGTTCAAGTACTAGAAGAGAGGGCTAGGGAGGGGCAGCCCACTGGGAAAAGGGCCAGAACCATTTACAAATGTGACTTGTAAGCATCGTAGATATGAAAATAGAGCTGTGAGTGGCACTTGGAGGAGAAAGATTATTTTTAGTCAGTTGGCGAAGACCTCTCCAAAGAAATGACCTTTGCATTGAATCTCAGTAGATTAGTTGGATGGAAGCGAGGGAAAGAATAATAAAGAAGAGTGGGAAAGACATTCCAGACAGAAATGATACCCATGGAAATGTGGAAATAGCTTGTTAATTTTCCCTGGAAATTTGGAGAAATAAAGGGCTCTCTGTGAGTTGAGAATCAACACCAAAGGCTGCAAGGATTTGTAATCCCTGAAGGTTTAGGCAGCATTGGCTCCATCTGGGGATCAAGGGTCTGAGGGTGTGAAGACTTTGGTTGAGAACAGACCTTTATTTCTAAAGGAAATCCCTCCTGGACCAAGCCCCAGAAAAAGACGCCCTACCTCCCACCTTGATTACCACAATCTTCAAAATGAACTCTATGCTCTCTTTAAGCAGTTAGTGGCTAGATCTGAGTAGGCTTATTCAGGGAATCTCATGGGAATCTGGAATTTCCCTTTAAACATTTGCTCTTGATTCCAGAAAATGTACTCACAGGCAATTTGCTTGAGGAGAAAATAAATCTGACTGCAATGTTAATTATGTATCTTTATTTATTTCATCCACACTAACAATATCAAGATGTAAACCAGAATGCAAAAAGTTCAGTTTATTTCAAATTTTACCTTAATTCCAAAGATGCAGAGATATTGTACATTAGTGAAGCTTTCAATAGATTAATGTTTTATACCTAAAAAAGGCTTCAGTGGGAGTTTTCTGCTTGTGTGTCTTTGTTTTTAAAGAATGAAAAGGCAGATTAATGTGAATTTAAATACCTGGAAGGAAAAAAAAGAAGAAGAAGAAATGCATCTGTTGTTCCATTATCCAGTACATATAATACTCCCAAAGAAATGTAAACTTAAACACTTTGAATCTTTGATTTCATTTTAACAAATGCTGTCTAACTGCAAATGTAGGTCACATAGTTCTGGCATCCTGTGTGGGTTTCCAGCTGTCTGCTGAACACAGAAAACAGAAGAATACGTGTTCCATTGCCCAACTCACTTGAGAGTGAATTTCATATTAAAGCCTGAAGTTATTCACTTATTGAAATTTATGTTTCTTCAACATTCCCGCTTCAGCTTTTTCCTTCTCTTTGAGGTCAAGATTTTTAAGCGGTTAAGAGGATACGGCATTTTCTTCCTCTTTCCATCGGTGGACTTCAGTTTACAAATAAACTCAATCTTGGTAAAGATTAAATGAAATTAGTCTGGTTATGATAACAAAAACTGGCCTGTTATAATTCTGATTATTCCCAATGCAAATAAACAGAAAGTAACATACCAATGGCTTCCTTGAGCTTTTGGAGACAGGAGAACAAGTAAGATAGGGCCATGGCCCCCTGCAGCCTGTGAGCTGGATACTCATGGATACTGAAAAAATAGGGCAATTAATGGTAAATGTCGTGAGTGGGATAACAAATGTCACAGAAAGCCAAAGGAGGGCACAATGAGGGGCAAGGGAGAAAGAAAAAGAAATGTGTGATGCTCTGAACCCATGTGGTCATCCCACCAAATGGACAGAGCTGAAGGGCTCCCGTTTTACCACCAAACAATCTGTGACCCTCTGACAAATCCAGTTAAATAAAATTCCACAAATATATATTGAGCTTTTGGTGTCAAGAACAAAAGTCAGCTAGAATTAGCTTAAATTAAAAGTGGACACTTGTTATAGTAAGAATCAAAGGAGTCTCCTAGAATCCAAGTGCAGGAGCACATCCTTACTTCTAGAACAGTTGAGCCAAGAAGCTGGAAAGTCATCAAAGTCTCTCTCCACATCTTGTCCAGCTTCTCTCACTCTGCAGAGAGACTTTACCACTTCTACAGTCCTCGTGGCACAATATGGCTGCCCATATCTCTCAAGGCAACATACTGCCTTAGAGCTTTTCTTCCATTTCTCAGAAGAGAGACTCTCTCTAAGTCAGCTAGGAGAAAGGTGTCTATCACACATCCAGTCCACCACGGCCAAGGGCAACCATATTGAAAAACATGATGGCGGTGGTGATGGGAGGGGGTGTGGGGCAGTGGTAACTCCCAAAGAAGGGGGAATCAATCAGTGTGAGCTGTGCCATGCCCAAAATGTGTCTCAACAAACACTGACCATGTGTACACCATGGTGCTTCAGGGTCTCTCTGCCCTTATATAGAAGAGGAGGACGGTGAGGTAAGACTGGTTTAGAGTGATCACTATGAAGGAAGACATCACATCAGGGAGTTGAATGGGCTGGAGGAATCTAAGGAGTGGGAGACTCTAGTGATGGGAGGATCAGAAAGGCCTCATGTAGAAGACATTGGAGATGGGCCTTGACAGTGGGTTGGTTGCAGAGGTAGAGATGTACATAACAGAAGGGTAGGGACAAGAAGGGGCTGGACACAGCCAGCAGAGAGAACTCTGAGAACAGAGAGGCTTGGAGGCAAGAAGACCATGCTCTGAGAAAGTGAGAGGGAGCCCCCAGTATCAATTAAGATTAGATTTGGCTGTATGCGATAAAATGAAACAAAAGAATGGACAACAAAATAATTGTGGGTTAAGCAAGAAAGAAGTTTATCTTTTTCTCACTTAGAGGAGTCCAGAGGTTGGGAGTTCAGGGTTGGTAGGATAACACTGTGATCATCGAGAAACCAGGCTCTTTCTCTCATTCTGTGCTGCCATCCCCAATACTTGGCTTCTACTTTATAGTCCAGGAGGGCAGCCCAAGGTCCAGCATCGTATGTGCATTCTGCCACGCCATAAGGAAGAAGATATGTAAAAGTGGATACCCCCTACCACTTAAGGATACTCCCCACAAGATGCACACAACATTTTTGTTTACTTCCTATTTGCCAGAACTTTGTCAAACAGTCATGCTTAACTGCAAGGCAAACTGGGAAATACAGTGGTCCTGTGCCCATGTAACAGTCAAGAGTGCTATTTCTAAGGAAGAAGAGAAGAATAAATATTGTGATACAAGCCGTCTCTTTCACTCTCACTTTGCCAAAAATGTAGGTCCCATGTGAGGGATGAGGCGAGAAAATTAGGTTAGGATCCCTTGAATGTAAGGCCAATGAGGTTGTCTAATTTGATTGGCTGTGGGCAACCATCAGGGGTTTTGGAGCAAGCAAGTGACATGATCTGAGTTATACTTTAAGGAGATTGCTACTGAAATGATTATAAGACAAGTCAGTAACTACTGAGTGCCATTTGAAAGGTAAAGGCTGTTCAGGGTCTGTAGGATGTGCTAGAGGTGGGAGAGCCTCTAGGGGGATGGGAGCAGAGAATAGCAAGGAGACTATACTAGTTGAGTCTAGAAAAAGAATTAATAGGATCTAAACTGGGCCTGTAGCAATGAGAAGATGGAATGATGAGCAAGAAGGAGAGGAAAAAGGAAATTCCAGTTTTGAGCCTTAGAGATTGGGGACTGTTGGTGTTATTAATAGAAACAAGGAAGTCAGAGGAGGAGTAGATGGTTGTGCAAAAAGGGAAGACCATTTGTTTGGCACCAGGTCCTGTGGTTTGGGCATCCAAGCAAGGAGGTCCAGTAGGATGACTGGAAAATGAGGGGATTTAAGCAACAATCTCCAGGACGACTCTTCACAATTCTAGGATTCTTTGGCGTTACATTACTAGCACTTTAACAGCAGTGTGTGGCTCAGGACTTATGATACCACTGATTCATGTCTTGTGCTTGCAACTCTCTGAGAAGCTGAGAAGGCAATAAACCTCCATCACTCTTTAGTATTGAAGTTTCAGATTATTCAAGGCACTCTGGGCACATTTAGCATGGGTAAGTAAGACTTGGGTGTACTGATACTGCTATATTTCTAGAAAAATGTCAATAAAGCTGCAAATGTAATTTTGAAGCTAGGTTTTAAGTGGAGAGATTGGATGTCGAAGTGAACACTAAAGGCTATTCAGAGAAATTCTCACTTCAGGGTTTTATAATTTGTTTATAAATCAACTATTCATTCATTTAATAAATATTTATTGAGACTGCTATGATGTACTAAATACAGGTTTCATAAGAGTGGTAAGGCAGACACGGTCCCTGCCTTTACGGAACTTAGTCTAGACCAGGGGCTGGCAAACTTCAGCCCCTGGGCCAAACCTGGCCCGCTGCCTGTTTTCATTCTGCCTGCGAGCTAAGAATGGTTTTTACGTTTGTAAACAGTAGAAAAAAGAATCAAAGGAAGAGTGGTGCTTTGCAACACATGCAAATTATAAGAAATCCAAATTTTAGTGTTCATAAAAAGCATTTTATTTTGCACAGCCACACCCATTCACTCACATATTGTCCCTGCTTGCTTTCATGCTACAACGGCAGAGTTGAGTAAGTGCGACCGAGATTGCATGGATTGCAAGGCCAAAAACATTTATTATTTGGCCATTTACATAAAGTGTGCCAACTCCTGGTCTTGATAGAAGTAATCAAACAAATGACCACACAAATAAATATATGTTTAAGCCAAGTGGGTGGGTTTTACTATTGTCTGGTCCTACTCAAGCACCTTTTCTCCCTACCACTCTCCCATCTAAATATCAAGGCCTGTGGTAAGTAGCCTCCAAAAGGTGGCTCCCAGTGAATTGTGCTTCCCAGGATTTAGGCTTTTGGAGTCATCCCTTCACTTTAAATCTGGCTAACCTGCGACTTGCTTGTTACCAAGAGTTACTTTTACGGTGGAGGTTACACTGTGTGGTGTGGCTTCTACACTAGGTCAGAAGAAGCCTTGTTCTTCATGGTAAGCAGTTCTATAATACATTTAGTGTAGATGCTTTAGACAATAAAAGGGAATATGTTTTGAATTTTTGATTTATATATAGTTTATATACTAATGAATATTAGCATCAGATTGTCGAATATTTTAAGTACCACCCAGGTCCATTGCTGCTGTCTTCCAGGGCTCCCTGGTGCTGGCCAAGGATGGCGCTTGGCAGTCCTGATGCTGACTCCACTTTTTTTCTCTACCTGGTCCCCAAGACCTTCTCTCAGGTTACAGCATCATCTCTGCTTTCCATCCCTACCCCCCCAACCTGCCCTTTTAATTCTCACAAGCCTCTATTGGAAATTGAAGGACTGAGCATTAAATGTTTCTTGTTTTTGTCATTCCCTTTATAAAAATTATACTTGTCCTTGAGTAAATGGATGCATCTGATTTGGGGAAAGGTCATGGATAAGTTGTGGAAGGAAAAAAACCCAAAGTGAATATTTCAAGTTATTACTGCACAACACTAAGACTTGTGATAAGTGCTACCAAGGAGAAGTACAAGGACATTATGAAAGAGTAAAGTGTGATTTACAAGGATGATGGATTGGGAAATCAGGACCTGCCCCTGAAAAAGTGACCTTTAAGCTCAGGTCTAAAGAAAGAGAAGAAATTGGGCAAAGACCAGGGTGAGATTTAAGGAAGAAAAAGCCTATGTAAAGGCCCTGAGGCACATTAGAAAAGATCGGAAAGAAAGCCAGGAAGTTTGGGTAAAGATGGCAAATGGGACACACGCACCACTTGGTTTTCTTTTGAAATTCCACTAAAGTGATGATAAAGACAGACCCCAGGATGACAGCTGCTCATCAGACATAGAAGTCTGGGCAAGGGAGATTTAAGAAGATAAAAATTATCATGCACTTAATTGTTTGAGAGTATGGAGGAGATGTGTACACACCTGCAGGAGAGTTTAAGGTTAACTTAGTGATAAGAAAATCAAGCCAGTGGGGGAGAAAAGGACAATTATTAACTTTTGGGCAAAAAAGTTATTCAGGAAGAGAAGAGTAACCTTTGATACTACATGGCTCAGCTGTAAAAATGTTTGCTTAGTCAAAATAGTGCAAACACAGGGTATTCCTTGAACCTCAGTGATCAGGTGACTATATGGAGACACAGGCACATGGAAGGGGTTGTTAGGGGAGAACGTGGGAGAGCAACGCAGGAGGATGCATTGTCATCTTCCACAGTAAGGACTCAACAGGAGAAGCTTAAAAATGAAAGTGGCCTTCAAAACATGGTATTTAGAGATGTGTGGGCAAAATCCCCAAGAATCAGCTGACTAGCTGCAAGTGGTAGCCTTTGGGGAGACAGAAGCGAGGGGATGACATTTCCTCAGATGGGGGCATAACGAAGTTTGCAGAATCTTTTGACTTTTTTCTGTAAGTGCATTATAACTTAAATTAAAAATAAAAACCATGCAGTGGCAGGGCTATCAGGAGAGAGAGGGGGTGGGGTCTGAAGCAGGGAGGTGGAATCTTGTCAGCCATAGTGAGGATTTTAAGGGCAATAGGAAGCAAGTGAAGGAAGGAGTTTTTCAAAGGGGAATTGTAGGACCAGATTTATATTTTAGGATGACTCTTGCTGCGGTATGCAGAACACATAGAGGAGGCCAGAGTGGCCCTGGGAGACCTGAAGGGGAGCCATTGCCCTCACATTGAGGGTAGCTTGAAGGAGGGTGGGAGAGGGGTGGCCATGAAGATGCAGAGAAGTGGAAAAATTCAGGATTACTTTGAAAGTAGAACTATTTCATGAGTAACTACGAAGGAGAAGAAGAGGAAAGGGAGATTTTTCCTTTATGAATAACCACTGTAAAGCAACTTCAGAATTGCAGATAATAACTCTAAACTTATTCCACAGAAAAACCATTCAGATTAATGTTGAATGCAACGTTGCAAATTGGCAAGGATATTCATTTCAGGCTGAGTGCCTTTGGAAAATATGCGGGCTAGCCTCTTCGTGGTCTTGCATCCAACAATCCTATTTTCTTCAATTAAGTGGCTATTTCAAAGACTTGTCATCTGTTTACCATTAATACATATTAATACAGCCACCCATGGATCCACAGCAAAAACCAGCTAGAAAGCCTACATTATACTTGTACAATTTCAGATGCTTTTTCATATGCGTACATTTCAATTTCAAAACATTTTTAGAATGAAGTAACACAGTAAAAATAAAATGACAGTAAATTTAACTCTGCTAAAAAAAAGTATCAAACCTTATATTACTTAAAAATCAATGTTCTTTTTCTGGCTTTTGCTTTACTCATATGTTTAAAGCAAAGAGCTTAGTCGTCATCCTACCTCCCAACCCCCACACGCACAGTATTATTTACTTTCAGGCCATCTGGCAGTTTTTCCTCGCCATGATTTAAAATTTTCCTAATGTTTGCTAACAAAATTTGGGTGTTATTTTCTTTCTATAATAGTCCTTTTCATTTCCCCTAGGAGAAGAAGAGACTGAGATGTTCTGATAAAAGTTTAATTTAAAAAGGAAAAAAAAAAAGGTGAGTGAAATAACTCCCTTTAACCTCAGTCCTCTTTGCACAAAGGCACCTTGATTCTGTGACCCAGTAACTTGATTTGCTGACTCATGAAACAGGCAAACATGTCACCAGAACAAGCAATAATTTGTGTGTCTGAGATTTAAACCCAAAGCCCACAAGTGATCAGAATTAGATGGAATGGAGTTTGCTCATTCTTACTAATCTCTTTTTGTCTAATTTTCTTTGCATCCATATCTGGAGCAGTTTCAAAATATTGACAGGAGTAGGGTAGGCAGACAGAGTGGAAAACCTCCTGGTGTTTTGTAGCAGACAATTTTTCCTCCTCCAGGGCCAAAAACTATCTGTTTGGCTCTTTGTAACCCTTTTCTCATCAAACCTCCTGACTAATGTAAGTAAGATCTGTGTACTTCAGCATTCAGATTTAACAGATGTTAATATTTTCCCATGTTTGGTCCACATCTTTTATATTAGGAAATAAAATGTCACTGATACTGCTGAAGCCCATTTTGTCTCCCACCATGATCCCATTTTTCTTTCTTTTTCCAGAGGTAATCACTATCCTGAGGCTTAGTGTACCTTTCTTATCCATGTTTTACACTTTTACTATTACTATATGCATATATATTCAATAATATGTACTATATAGCCTGGTTTAAAGCCTTCCATAAATTGATTTATGCTCTACATTTCATTTTGCAACTTCCTTTCTTTTCTATCAACATTTTGTTCTGCAGGTTTATACATGTTGATGCGGGTAGCCCTAGTTTATTCATTTTCACTGTAACATAGTGCTCTGATAGATGAAACCCCCCCCCCCCAACAATCTATCTATCCATTCTCTGTTTTGATGAACACTTAGGTTCTCTCCATTTATCTTATTACAAACAATCCTGCAGTGAATGTGGTAGATTGCATTAATGGCCTCAATTCTTCACTGCTCCCTGTATCCATATCCTTTGCCATGTGACTTTGTGGTTCCTCCCACTAGAGTATGTTTTCATACCCCTTGACTTTGAGTTTGGCCATGTGACTTGCTTTGGCCAATGAAATGTTAGCAGGCATGAAGTAACCAAAGGCTGGAGCAGTGCCTATATGATTGTGCTCGTGCTTTTGAGTCTCTGACATTGCCATGAGCAGAACATGCTTGGGCTACTCTCTAGGCCCAGGAGGAGGATGAGATATATGGATCAGAGCAGGGCTGCCTGGCTGATTTCAGCCTGTATCAGCTAATCCCCAGGTGCATGTGAACTATCCCAGCCGAGCTCAGTACAGCCACCTGGATCAGCTAACCTCTAGCCAATCTACAGATGCCCAAGCTCAATAAATGTTTCCTCTTGAATGTCGTTGAAATGTATTAGTTGCTTGTTATAAAACAGTAAACTTTTTTTTTTGAGACAGAGTCTCGCTGTTGCCCAGGCTGGAGTGCAGTGGCGCGATCTCGGCTCACTGCAGGCTCCGCCCCACGGGGTTCACGCCATTCTCCTGCCTCAGCCTCCCGAGTAGCTGGGACTACAGGCACCCGCCACCTCGTCCGGCTAATTTTTTGTATTTTTAGTAGAGACAGGGTTTCACCGTGTTAGCCAGGATGGTCTTGATCTCCTGACCTCGTGATCCGCCCGCCTCTGCCTCCCAAAGTGCTGGGATTACAGTAAACATTTTTTGTAAGTGAAAGAAAAGTTCTGATTTCTGCCTACAGATGGAATTGCTGAGTTACAATAGATATGAATTTTCATTTCCTCTAGATATTTCTAAATTCGTCTCCAAGGAATTGAACTAATTTGTACTTCCACCAGTGGTATATCCCATTTTTCTACATTCTTATAGACAGTTGTTATTTTGTGTATTTATTTCTCATTTCTCGCTGCATTTCCCTATTTTCTTGTGAGGTTTACACTTACATTTGAGACTATTCTTCAGCCGTGCCAGCTTGGGTTTGACGTGTGAGTAAAGAAGCCATCTTGGAAATGAATTCTCCAGCCCCAGCTGTTCCGGCCATCAGCCATTTAAGTCACTCCTAATCATTCAAGTTGTCCCAGCTGAGGCCCCAGACACTGGAAAAGAGAAGAGCCATCTCTTTGCCGTTTCTGAATTCCTGAGCTAGAGAATCTATGGGCATAATAAAATGTTTGTTGCTTTATACCACTAAGCTTTGGGGTGGCTTGTTATGCAGCATTATATAAAAGAAACACTGGCTCATCATTTCACCTGGTATGCAACCCTTTTAGCCCCAATGTAGTGCAAAGGTTGGCCTCCAGCTGCCTCTGCCTGCTTGCGTACCTGGAGCTCTGCAGGCCTGCAGCTTCACTCCTGGCTCACTGCTTTCAATTATGACTTCATTTTCATCCAAGACAAGTTTTGGTTTTGTTTCTGAACTCTCTATTTTAAATAGTTGTTTCATACATATCACTCATTGCTGTGTGCCTGGAGTAGAGGTGGCAGGTCTCAAACCAATCTTACAACACTGCTATCTTGCCTGGTTTGCATTTTTAGCATAAGATGTCATCAAGCATGTGGCCAACTCAGGCCCCTGGATAACATTTATACTTCATTCGTTCATTTATTATAAATGTTAATTAGCACATACTATGTGCAAGCACTTTTCTAGACACACTATAGGATACCAAGAAGAGTCGGACATGTCCCAGGCTCTCAAACAGCTTACAGTCTGGTAGAGAGGATAAGGTGAATGCAAAGAACTGTAATAGCACATAGAGTCATAAACTGGAGTATAAGTGCAATGATGGAGATACAGAAAAAGTACTGTGACGTGAAGAAGACAAATAGACCAATGTAAACCAAGTCGGCAGTGGCCCAAGAATCAAACTGGGCTATCTGCTCCGATGTGTCTGTGACACATTGGAGAGCTGAGCTGGAGCTGAACTCAGAGAACTGCAGGACCAGTCATGGGTTTACCTCCACTGTGCCTGTTACCACTGCCCAGATGGCCCTGAAATTGCTACCTCTGGTCTGG